>NC_000002.12:86582227-86887610 GCF_000001405.40 Homo sapiens
AATCGAGTAGCACAAAGATACATAAACACTGTCAGTTGATTTACAACAAATGCTACCACAATTTAGCGGAAGACGTGATATTCTTTCCATTAAGTTTTGTTAGGTCTATTTAGATATCCACAAGAAGGCCAGGCGCGGTGGCTCACGCCTGTAATCCCAGTACTTTGGGAGGCCGAGAGAGGCGGATCACGAGGTCAGGAGTTCGAGACCAGCCTGGCCAACACGGTGAAACCCTGTCTCTACTAAAAATACAAAAATTAGCCGGGTGTGGTGGCATGTGCCTGTAGTCTCAGCTACTCAGGAGCCTGAGGCAGGAGAATCGCTTGAACTTGGGAGGCAGAGCTTGCAGTGAGCCACGATCGCGCCATTGTACTCCAGCCTGGGTGACAGAGCTAGACTCCGTCTCAAAAAAAAAAAAAAAAAAAAAAAAGATATCCACAAGAAAAAGTGAACATAAATCTCTACCTCACACCACACACAAAATTAATCTGAGATGGTCCAGGCACGGTGGCTCATGCCTGTAATCCTAGCACTTTGAGAGGCTGAGGCAGGCGGATTGCCTGAGTTCAGGAGTTTGAGACCAGCCTGGGCAACATGGTGAAACCCTGTCTCTACTGAAATACAAAAAATTAGCTGGGCGTGTGGCATGCACCTGTAGTCCTAGCTACTCGGGAGGCTGAGGCAGGAGAATTGCTTGAACCCGGGAGGCGGAGGTTACAATGAGCTGAGATCATGCCACTGCACTCCACCCTGGGACAGAGGAAGACTCCATCTCCAAAAAAAAAAAAAAATTTAATCTGAGATGGATTGAAACTGAAATAAGACAGGTAAACAGACAAAGCATCCAAAACAGGAAAATATTTTCATAACTTTGAGGTAGGCAAAGGTGACTTAAACAGAACACAAATTTTAATTAGCTATAAAAAATTGCTAAATTGGATTTCTTAAACATTAAGAACTTCTGTTCATTAAAAGACGCCATTAAGAGAGTAAAAAAGGTCTGGATGTGGTGGTTCATGCCTGTAATCCCAGCACATTGGGAAGCCAAGGCAGGTGGATCACTTGAGGTCAGGAGTTCGAGACCAGCCTGGCCAATATGGTGAAACCCCATCTCTGTTGAAAATACAAAAATCAGCTGGGCATGGCGGCGCACACCTATAGCTCCAGCTATTTGGGAGGCTGAGGCAGGAGAATTGTTTGAACCCAGGAGGCGGAGGTTGCAGTGAGCCGAGATCACACTACTGCACTCCAGCCCGGGCAACAGAGTGAGACTCCATATCAAAAAAAAAAAAAAAAAAAAAAAAAAGAGAGAGAGAGAGTAAAACAAGAAGCCAGAGACTGTTAACATATTTTCAACAGAATACTCATATCAAGAATACAGAACTCTTGCAAATTAATAACTCATCATAATTTTTAAATGAGCAAAGTACTTAAATAGGCACTTCACAAAATAAGATATTAAAAGTGCCAATAACAGTATGAAAGGATGATTAATATCATATTCATCAGAGAAATAAAAACCATACTGAAATACCATGGAAAGCACTCACAATATCAAATGTTGGAAAATGATATGGAGCAACAGGGACTCATACACTGCTAGATAGAGTGTACATTGGTACAACCAGATTGGAAAATTCTTTAGCAGAATCTACTAAAGCTAAACATATTAAACCTTATGATAGAACAATTCTATTCCTTACATATATTCAAAATAAATAAGTGGTTATGTCCACTGAAAGTCATGTACAATAATATTCAAGGCAGTTTTATTCATAATAGCAAAAACTGGAAACAAATGTTCATCAGCCACAAAATGAATGCATAAATTGTGGGATATTTATACAATATAATATACAACAATATTAGTTTTTAAAGAAAGAACTATGGATACATGCAGCATTATGGCTGAATCTCATAGGAACCACCACGCTTTGCTTGGACTCAAGCTTTTTGCACTGCAGTCAGGAAACTGTCCTATGCAGACAGCTGAGTAATCATGGAGCCTACCCTGTTAGTTTCCTTTCTCTCAAAGATCTCAATCTTGTACTTATCTTGTACTTCCTGTTATTCATTGCCTGAAAACAGCTATCTCATGTATTTTTGTCTGGTTTTACAGTTATTTGTAGCAAGAGGACTAGTCCAGTGCCAATTACTCCATCACAGCCAGAAGTAGAAATCCTGAGTCATTTTAAGAGGTAGCACTGCACTTGGGAAAACTGGATGTTGGGGTTGAGAGCAGAATGAAGATTAGATGACTACAGGGGCCTTTACTCAGACTGGCATTATGGCATACAATATATAGGTGGAAAGATGACTAGCAAATTTTGGATATGGTGTGATTAAGATGCTGTCATAGTTAAAGGCTAAGCTGCTATAACAGATACCTCAAAATGCAATGACTTAAATAAAATAGAAGTTTATTTCTGTTTTGTGGAATAATCCAGTAATTTCCATAGTAGGGCAGCTCTGCTCTGTGAAGTCATGCAGAAACATTGGCTGGCTAAGCAACTGTGTCTGCCAGTCATACCTAACTTTCAAGGTTGCATCCATTATTAACATATCTAGCAGGTTAGAAGTAGGAAGAGAAAGAAATAACACACATACCCAATGTTTTAAGTCAAAACCCAAAACCGGCAGGCATTATTTTTGCTTACATTCTATTGGCAAGAATTAGTCACATTGCCCACACCTAGCTACAATGTGGGTTGAGAAATATAGTTAACAACTGGGTATTTGTTCAGCTAAATTTCTAGTATACTGATCAAAATCAAGGCAAGGATGTCCCTTCTTATCCTTCCTTTCAACATTATACTGAAAGTCCCAATGAATGCAATAAGACAAGAAAGTAAGAGGTATACTGATTGGGAAGGAAGAAATAAATCTTTGTTCAAACATGACATGATCATCTATGTAGAAAATCCAAAAGAACTGACAAAAAAAAAGAGAAAATAAAAAACCTTCTGGAGCTAATAAGCAATTATAACAAGGTTGCAGGATACAAGGTTTATATATGAAAATCAATTGCATTCCTATACAAATGGTCCCCAACTTACAATGGTTCAACTTACAATGGGGCAAAAGTGATTGGCAACCATGAAGTTTCAGATTTTAACCACTGGTGATTCTTTGTCCAGAGACTCTCTGGGCTGCATTTCAGGCTTACAACATTTTCAACATGGGTCTATTGGTACATAACTCCACCGTAAGTCAAGGAGCATCTACATACAGCAATGAACAAGTGGAATTTGAAATTTAAAACACAATAACATTGACATCAGCAACCCCTCCCCAGGAAGTACTTAGATGTAAATCTAACAAAGTAAGTACAAGATCTATATGAAGAAAATTACAAAACTCTGATGGAAAAAATCAAAGAAGAACTAAATAAATTGAAAGATCTTCTATAGGATAGGAAGACTCAATATTGTCAAGATGTCAGTTTTTCCCAACTTGATCAATAGTCAATGAAATTTCAATCAAAATCCCAGCAAGTTATTTTGTGAATATCAACAAACAAATTCTAAAATTTATGCAGGGGACAATAGGCAGAATAGCCAACACAATATTGAAAGAGAACAAAGTTGGAGGACTAAGATTATACAACTTCAAGACTTATTTTTAAGCTACAATAATAATATCACGATTAAAACAGTGTGATAATGTCAAAAGAATAAACAAATAGACCAATGGAACAGAATAGACAGCCCAGAAATAATCCCACATAAATAAAATAGTCTATTGGTATCCACAGGGGATTGGTTCCTGGACCTCCTGCAGATATCAAAACCCACGGATGCTCAAGTCTCTGATTTAAAATGGCATAGTATTTGCATATTACTTATGCACATCCTCCTGGGTACTTAAAATCATCTCTAGATTACTTATAATACTCAATACAACATAAATGCTATGTATTAGGTTGGTGCAAAAGTAATTGCAGTTTTTGCCATTACTTTCAAAGGTAAAAACCACAATTACTTTTGCACCAACCTAATAAATAAGTTGTTACACTGCATTGTTTAGGGAACATGTTCAGTATATTTCTAATATTTTTGATCGATGTTTAGTTGAATCCATGGATGTGGAACCCACGAATATGAAGGGCTGAATGTACAGTCAACTGATCTTTGACAAAGGAGCAAAGGCACCACAAGGGAGGAAAAGATAGTCTTTTCAACAAATGGTGCTGGGACAACTGGACATCCACATTGAAAAAAAAAAAAGGAATCTGGACACAGACTACACCCTACACAAAAATTAACTCAAATCGGATCATTGACCTAAATGTAAAATGCAAAACTATAAAACTACTGGAAGATAACATAGGAGAAAATCTAGATGACCTTGGGTTTGGTGATGATATAACTTGGTGATGATATAACACCAAAGTCACAATGCATGAAAAAAATTGATAAGCTGAATTTCATTAAAAGAAAAAACTTCTGCTTTGTAAAAGACAATATCAACAGAGTAAAAAGACAAGCCATAGAAAATGGGAGAAAATATTTGCAATAAACTCATTTGATAAAGGACTATTATCCAAAATACACAAAGAACTCTTTCAACTCACCTGGGGATGGTAGCATGAGGCTATAATTCCAGGTATTTGGGAGGCTGAGGCAGAAAAGTCTGTTAAGCCCAGGAGTTTGAGACTAGCTTGGGCAACATGGAGAGATACTATCTCAAAAAAAAAAAAAAATTGAGCTTTTGAAGCTCAGCAATAGGAAAACAAACAACTCCATTAAGAAATAGTTCAAAGACTTTGACACCTCATTAAAGAAGATATATAGATGGCAAATGAGCATGTGAAAAGATGCTCCACGTTATAAGTCATCAGGGAAATGCAAGTTAAAACAATAATGAGATACCACTGCACACCTACTAGAATGACCAAAATCTGGAACAACTGATAACAGGCAACACTGGTGAGAATGTGGACCAACAAGAACTCTCATGGGAAGCCAAGATGGAAGCCACTTTGGAAGACAGTTTGTCAGTTTCTTACAAAACTAAACACTCTTAACATGAGATCCAGCATTAGTATTTATTTAAAGGAGGTGAAAACAAAAATGTACACATGTATGTTTATAGCTGTTTTATTCATAATTGCCAAAACTTGGAAGCAACCAAGATGTCTTTCAGTAGGTGAATGGATAAACTGGTACATCCAGACAATGAACTGTTTATTCAGTGCTAAAAAGAAATGATCTATGAAGCCATGAAAAGACATGGAAGATGGCTGGGCGCAGTGACTCACGCCTGTAATTCCAGCACTTTGGAAGTCCAAGGCAGGCAGATCACTTGAGGTCAGGCATTTGAGACCAGCCTGGCCAAGATGGTGAAACCCCACCTTTACTAAAAATACAAAAAAAAATAGCTAGGCATAGTGGCGTGCGCCTGTAATCCCAGCTATTAGGGAGGCTAAGGCAGGAGAATCATTTGAATCCGGGAGACGGAGGTTGCAGTAAACTGAGATCACACCACTGCACTCCAGACTGGGTGACAGAGCGAGTCTCCGTCTTAAAAAAAAAAAAAAAAAGATAGAAGAAATTTAAATGCATATTAGCAAGTTAAAGAAGCCAGTCTGAAAAGGCTACATACTGTATAATTCTAACCACAGGACATTCTGGGAAAGGCAAAACTATGGAGATGGTAAAAAGACCAGTGGTTGCCAGGGGTTGGATGGAGGGAGGGTTGAATAGGTGTAGCACAGAGGATTTTTAGGGTAGTAAAACGACTCTGTATGATACTACAATGATGGATACATGCCATTATATATTTGTCCAAATTCACAGAATGTATAACACCAAGAGTGAACCCTAACGTAAACTCTGGACTTCGGGTGAGTATAACATGTCAATATAGGTTCATCAATTGTAACAAACGTACCACTCTGTGGGGGATGTTGATACCGGGGAGGCTACACATGTGTGGTGGCATGGCGTATAAGGGAAACCTCTGTACCTTCTCTCTTTTGCTGTGAACCTAAGAGCTCTAAAAAAAGTTCTAATTTTAAAAAACTTTGAAATCTAGTATAATGGAAGAATGGATTAGAGCTGGGGGAGGCAATCAGCAGTCTGCCTTGGATGCCTGTGGGTCATCCAAGTGAGATGTCCAGCAGATAGTCTATTTGCAGATCTGGTATTGAATAGAGTGTTCTGGACTACAGATGTAGATTCAGTATGTGGGAGTCAAAGACATGAGTATTGATGAAATCACCCAAATTGATTAAAAACTGGAACAGAACTCTAGGAAAACAATAACTCTGAAGAAGCAAGGGAGGAAGAAAATTCCAGGAAGGAAATTATGAAGGGAAGATCAGAGAAGTAGGTGAAAATCAGGTAGAGTAGTACCACAGAAGTTCAAGGGAAAGGAATTGCAAGGAGGAAATGCTTAACAGAGTCACCATAGGCAGAGAGCTAAAGTAATATAAGTAAGAAAATGCATTCACTGGATTTAACTATTAATTCAATTAGATATAATCCAATTAATATAGGAAGAATAAATAAATGACTGTTAAATTAAGTATTAAAGGCCTAACAGTTAAATAATGGAAACAAAAGGGCAGATTAGGGCAATGGAAGAGGGTGATTTTTAGTGAGGATATAGCTGAAACAAGGTTGGCTATGAGTCGATAATTGTTGAAGTTGAGTAGATGGGAATTAATCATATTAATCTCTCTACTTTTGTATATAATTGAAATTTCCTAAGAAAAAAAAAAGATTTAAAAAACCTTCTTCCTCCTAAAAAAGGAAAGCCACAGATTGGGAGAAAACATTTGCAATACATATATTTGACAAAGCACTCATATCTAAAATATGTACATAACTCTTATAATTCAATAAGAAAAAGATAGACAGAAACCCAATAGAAAAATGGGCAAAAGATTTTAACAAGCACTTCCCAAAAGAGGTTTTTCAAATTACTAATAAACATGACAACGGTTTTAGCCTCATTAGTCATTGGAGAAGTGCAAATTTTTCCGTTTGTTTTAACTTTTATTTTAGGTTCAGGAATACATGTGCAGGTTTGTTGTATAGGTAAATTCATGTCGCGGGGGTTTTGTTGTACAGATTACTTCATCACTTAGGTACTAACAAGGACGCAATAGCTATTTGTTCTGCTTCTCTCCCTCCTCTCACCCTCCACCTTCAATTGGTCCCTAGTGTCTGCTGCTCCCCTCTTTGTGTCCATGAGTTCTCATCATTTAGTTCCCACTTGTAAGAGAGAACATGCAGGATTTGGTTTTTTGTTCCTGCATTAGTTTGCTAAGGATAATGGCCTCCAGCTCCATCCATGTTTCTGCAGATGACATGATCTCATTTTCTTTTGTTTTTTGTTTTGTTTTGTTTTGGTTTTTTTGAGACAGAGTCTTGGCTCTGTCACCCAGGCTGGAGTGCAATGGCGCAATCTTGGCTCACTGCAACATCTGCCTCCTGGGTTCAAGCGATTCTCCTGCCTCAGCCTCCTGAGTAGCTGGGACTACAAGCACATGCCACCATGCCTGGCTAATTTCTGTATTTTTAGTAGAGACAGGGTTTCGCCATGTTGGCCAGGCTGGTCTCAAACTTCTGACCTCAGATGATCCTCCCGCCTCGGCCTCCCAAAGTGCTGGAATTACAGGTGTGAGCCACTGTGCCAGCCGATCTTGTTCTTTTTTATGGCTGCATAATATTCCATGGTCTACATGTACCACAATTTTTTTTATCCAATCTGTCACTGATGGTCATTTAGGTTGATTCCATGTCTTTGATATTGTGAATAGTGCTTCAATGAACATGTGTCTTTATGGCAGAATGATTTGTATTCTTCTGGATATATAACCGGTAATGGGATTGCTGGGTTGAATGGTAGTCCTGTTTTTAACTCTTTGAGAAATCACCATACTGCTTTCCACAATGACTGAAATAATTTATACTCCCACCAACAATGTATAAATGTTCCCTTTTCTCTGCAACCTTGCCAGCATCTGTTATTTTTTGACTTTTTAATAATAACCATTCTAACTGGTGTGAGATGGTTTGGTGGTTTTGATTCACATTTCTCTAATGATCTGTGATATTAAGCTTTTATTCATATGCTTGTTGGACATACGTATGCCTTCTATTGAAAATTGTCTATTCATGTCCTTTGCCCACTTTTTAGTGGGGTTTTTTTTCTTGTAAATTTGTTTAAGTTTTTTATAGATGCTGAATATTAGACCTTTGTCAGATGCATAGTTTGCAAATGGTTTCTCCTATTCTGTAGGTTGTTTGTTTACTCTGTTGATAGTTTCTTTTGCTATGCAGCTCTTAAGTTTAATTAGATCCCATTTGTCAACTTTTGCTTTTGTTATCTTTGTCCTGAAATCTTTGCCTGTTCCTGTGACCAGAATGGTATTGCCTAGGCTGTCTTTCAGGGTTTTTATAGTTTTGGGTTTTACATTTAAGTCTTTAATCCATCTTGAGTTGATTTTGGTATATGGTGTAAGGAAGGGGTCCAATTTCAATATTCTGCATATGGCTAGTCAGTTATCCCAGCACCATTTATTGAATAGGGAGTCTTTTCCTCTTTGCTTGTTTTTGTCAGCTTTGTCAAAGATCAGATGGTTGTGGGTGTGTGGTCTTATTTCTGGGCTCTCTATTCTGTTCCATTGGTCTATGTGTCTATTTTTGTAACAGAACCATGCTGTTTTGGTTCCTGTAGCCCTGTAGTATAGTTTGAAGTCAGGTAATGCGATGCCTCCAGCTTTGTTATTTTTGCTTAGGATTGCCTTGGCTATTCGAGCTCTTTTTTGGTTCCATATGAATTTTAAAATAGTTTTTTTCTAGTTCTGTGAAGAATGTCATTGGTAGTTTGATAGGAATAGCATTGAATCTGCATATTGCTTTGGGCAGTATGGCCATTTTAATGATATTTTTCTTCCTATCCATGAGCATAGACTGTTTTTCCATTTGTTTGTGTCAGCTCTGATTTCTTTGAGCAGTGT
The DNA here is from genome assembly GCF_000001405.40 of Homo sapiens. NCBI lineage: Eukaryota > Metazoa > Chordata > Mammalia > Primates > Hominidae > Homo > Homo sapiens. The sequence goes on from NC_000002.12 coordinate 86,591,199, forward strand.
CTTGTTATTCTTATTGTAGAGATTTTCCACCTTCCTGGTTAGTTGTATTCCTAGCTACTTTTTTCTTTTTGTGGCAGTTGTGAATGGGATTGCGTTCCTGATTTGGCTTGTGGCTTGGTTCGTGTTGGTGTATAGGAATGAGAAATGCAAATTAAAACCACAAAGAGATATACCTCTATACAGTCACCAGAAATGCTAATATGAAAAAATATATGTAACATCAAATGTTAGTAAGAATATGAAACACTGGAACTCTCTTATACCACTGAAGAAAATGTAAATTGGTACAACTACTTTAGAACACTATTCGTGTTTACCAGAAATGAACATAGCACACTCAATAACGCAACACCCTCAAGAGAAATGTGAATATATATGAACCAAAATTATATACAAGAATATTCATAGAAGTAGTCTTTTTTGTCTTACTGTTTTTATTTTTTTATATTTATTTATAGTAGTACTATTTGTAATTGCCAAAAACTGAAAATAAGCTAGATTGCTCACCACAATATAATGAATAACTATAAATTGTGGTGTGTTCATACAATTCTACACAGTACTGAAGATGAACAAGCTACTACTACATATGACAGAGATGAACCTCACAATTGTAAATAAAAGAAACTGTAGGCAAATGACTATATCCTACATGATTTAAATTGTATAACACTTAAAAAGAGGCAAAACGAATCTATGAATGTAGAAGTTATCATAGAGATTACATTTGGGGAGAAATGTGAAGGTAGAACCTCCCTCTGGTTCCTTCTGAATGTGACAATTGTTCTGTTTCTTTATCTGGGTGATGGGTTACATGAGGGTGTTGACTTTGTGACAAATTAATATTCTTCATATTTGAAACTTGTATACTTTTACGAAGACATATTTCCCTTCAATGAAAGCTTTAACTAAAGGAATAAAATAATGTATTTTCCCTAGATGGCTGGAAATGGTCAAACAAGAGTTGGTGAGGATGCTGCACATTTGTTCCATCCCTTTCCTGTCCCAGCCCTCTCCTTTTTAGCTAATGAATACATGCTACGAGGCATCAAAAGCTCTTTCCACTTCCTACATGTGGTTTGCCCTATAGGAATATTATTTCAGAAAACACTACTACTCCATTCAGACTGTGGAATAACTCTCAGATAACATGTAGCTTATAGTTAACACCACATGTTCCTTGACTAAAAAATCCAAGCTGCTTGAACAAAATCTAGGACTCTGAAGACATGTTTTTCCAGAATAGGTTAATCAGATACATTCCTGCTTAGGTTAAAGGAATACAACTGAATGAGTTACTGCAGGCTTTTCTCATCCTTAGAAATCTTTGAAATTGTAAAGGGTCTTTAATTTCTGCATAGCCCAATCTAGTGCATAGTATGCAACAAACTCTCTTTTGCTTTGGTAGTGTTACCTCTCATCCTTTTCATGCTTTGGTAGTATTACTTCTCATCCTTCCCATAGCCACAGAAATATAGCAAAGTCTGTGTAAATCTGCCCTTGTTCAGTAACAGCAGAGAGTATGCTTGGCTGAAGCAGAAGAAAGCTGCTCTCTTGCCTCCTGTTCCCTTTTTTGGAGATGTTCAGGGTAGTAAAATGAGTTCAGTGCTGAACTCATGAGGATGATCTTTACTACCTTACATTCACAGGTTTCTCTCTAAATAAAAATCCTGGTTAACTATGAGCCATTTTGATGAATAATGGAAATATATTTCAGAGCAAGTAGGTTCTATTAGAACTAGCTTTTTAAAAAAGATAAACTCCTGACTCATCCTGCCTCCCAAAGATGATGACTGGGAAGTGTCCAACAAAGTGTCCAGATCTGGGCTTTCAGCACTTGCTCTTGCTGCGTTGCCAGCTCACTGCTCGCTTTTCTGTGGATCCTGGCAGGTGGAATGTTTATAGATTTTTGCAAATGTAGCATGCCTTTTGTCAGATGATAAGTGTGCCAATTTGTAACCGGGACATAAAAGATCTAAATTCATAGAGAAAATTGTACTAAATGACCTTCACATTTGCTTCTGACACTCAGATTCTATTATTTTAAACAGAAAAACTGTAAGAATCACATTCTTTTTTTTCCTCACTAAACAAACCTAGGTGCTTTTAAAGCAAAGCAATATACGTCAAGATTGGTCACCAAGTCCACCACATTCAAAACTAATAAGTAATTTTAACAAGATGGTTTTAAAATTCCAAGACATTGCCATGTTTGACATTTTGAGAGGTATCTCTTACCTAAGCCTCTGGCAACAAAGCTAGGAGTCAGCTTGAGGAATTCTGTTCCAGAAACCTACTGTTTTAGCCACTTGGCTCAGAAATTAAGTGAAAATAAATGAAGAGCACTTAAACCATAAAAATAAAAGCTACCCTGAAAATATCAAGAAGTTCTAATTTTCCTTTTGCTGTGCCTGAAACCCTACTACTTCATCTTTGTGAAAGGACCTCACAAAACCAAGTTACGCATGTGGAAACGTGGCCCAAGACTCTGTTTTGTCAATAAATAGACAGCATTCTCAAAGCAACTTCCCCAATGAAAAGAGCTCACATAATTTTAGAACAGTAGTGACACTAAATACACACTGCATGTGAACATCATTTTTATATTATACAACTGATGGCATGGTTTAAGGCAAAATTGGTGAGACTGTTAGGCCATTAACCTTTTTTTTTTTTTTCTTCCCATGTTCAAGCAATTCTCCTGCCTTAGCCCCACAAGTATCTGGGACTACAGGCATGCGTGCCACCATGCCTGGCTAATTTTTGTATTTTTTAGAGATTGAGTTTCACCATGTTGCCCAGGCTGGCATTGAACTCCTGAGCGCAAGCGATCTCCCCACCCCAGCCTCCATTAACCTTTTATAAGGGAATCTAGGAACAAGATTTCTGTCCTTCTCACTCCACCCCCCAAAATGAGTTTTCCTAGAAACAGAAACTTTTCACTTTGCCAAAACATTTCAAAGTTAATTGTTTCGAATTTTATAAAATGAATCTTCCTGACTTCTTGTGCAGATGATACTGGTAAAATATTTTTCTTGGTGACACAGAATCATTGTCGGCAAGATAGTGACATTCTTTCAAGACATTATTTGTTACTGCACTACCTGGCCACAAACTACTGTCTTTTGTTTTGTTTCTTCATAACTTCCATCCTTTACACCAAAGTTTGTAACTATGACCTCTTTGGCCTGCCTCTGGCACGCCCCTCCCTTACTCCATAGCTTCTATAGGTGTGACTCCTGAAGACTGGGAAGCCAGATCAACAAGCTCATTGAAATCTATGCAAAGTAAAAATAAATTCTCTCTGGCTCCTCATTCATTCAGTAGATGCTTATGAATAAGAAAACGTCTGCATGCCTTTGACATCTCTTTAGGTGCTTCTCTATTTTCAAGCTTACTTTTGTTCTTCATTATTAGATAAATAGGCTATAAATTTAGTTAAGTATCCTCTATGTCAACACAAAGAGTGTATTTTAAAAGAGACTGTAAATAAGAGTATTCAAAAACCATTTAACGTCTAATGTAAGGAGTCTACTATCCCATTATGCACATAAACAAAGGGAACTTGACAGTAATAAGTGTCAGGGATACCTTGTTTTACTGCATTTCACCTTACTGTGCACCACAGATACTGTGGGTTTTTTCTTTTTTTTCAGATGGAGTTTTGCTGTTGTCACCCAGGCTGGAGTGCAATGGCACGATTTCTGCTCACTGTAACCTCCACCTACCGGGTTCAAGCAATTCTCCTGCCTCAGCCTCCCGAGTAGCTGGGATTACAGGTGCGTGCCACCATGCCCAGCAATTTTTTTAAATTTTTATTTTTAGTAGAGACAGGGGTTCACCACGTTGGCCAGACTGGTTTCGAACTCCTGACCTCAGGTGATCCACCCACCTCGGCCTCCCGAAGTGCTGGGATTACAGGCGTGAGCCACTGCGCCTGGCTAGATACTGTGCTTTTTTTTTACAAATGGAAGGTTTGTTGTAATCCTGTGTCAAGCAATTCTATCAGTGTTATTTTTCCAACAGCATGTGGCTCACTTTGTGTCTCTGTGTCACATTTTGGTAATTCTAGCAATATATCAAACTATTTCACTATGATTATATCTGTTATGGTGATCTGTAATCCGTGATCATTGATGTTACTATCGTAACTGTTTTGGGGCATCATGAACTGAACCCATATAATACAAGGAACTTAATTGATAAATGCTGCATGTATTCTGACTGCTGCACTGGCCAGACATCTTCAATTAGGCCAATTAATAACCCTACAATGGCCTCTAAGTGTTCAAGTGAAAGAGTTGCAGGTCTCACATTAAATCAAAAGCTAGAAATGATTAAGATTAGTGAGGAAGGCATGTTGAAAACTGAGATAGGCTGAATGCTAGGTCTCTTGTGCCAAACAGCCAAGTCGTGAATGCAAAGGAAAGGTTCTTGAAGGAAATTTAAAGTGCTACTCCAGTGAATATATGAATGATAAGAAAATGAAACAGCCTTATTGCTGATATGAAGAAAGTTGTAGTGGTCTGGATAGAAGATCAAACTAGCTACAAAATTCCCTTAAGCCAAAGCCTAATCCAGAGCAAGGCCCCAACTCTCTTCAATTCTGAAGGCTGAGAGAAGTGAGGAAGCCGCAGAGGGAAAGTTGGAAGCTAGCAGAGGTTGGTTGATTCATGAGGTTTAAGGAAAGAAGCTGTCTCTGTAACGTAAAAGTGTAAGGTGAAGCTGTAAGTGCTGATGTAGAAGCTGCAGCAAATTATCCTGAAGATCTAGCTAAGATCACTGATGAAGGTGAGTACACTAAACAACAGATTTTCAGTGTAGGCAAAACAGCCTTCCATTGGAAGAAGATGCCATCTAGGACCTTCACAGCTAGAGAGAAGTCAACACCTGGTTTCAAAGCTTCAAAGGACAGGTTGACTCTCTTGTTAGGGGTTAATACAGCTGGTGACTTTAAGTTGAAGCCAATGCTCATTAACCATCCCCCAAGTTCTAGGACACTTAAAATTTATGCTAAATCCACTCTGCCTGTGCGCTATAAATGGAACAACAGAACCTGGACAACAGCACATCTGTTTACAGCATGGTTCACTGGATATTTTAAGCTCACTGATAAGATTTACTGCTCAGAAAAAAAGATTCAGTTCTAAATATTACTGCTCTTTGACAACGTGCCTGGTCACCCAAGAGCTCTGATGGAACTCTATAAGGAGATTGGTTTCATGCCTGCTAATGTGTGACAACATCCATTCTTCAGCCCATGGGTCAAGGAGTAATTTTTATTTTTAGTCTTATTACTTAAGAAATATAGTTCTTAAGGCTATAGCTGCCATAGATAGTGGTTTCTGTGATGGATCTGGGCAGAGTAAACTGAAAACCTTCTGGAAAGGATTCACTGTTATAGATGTCATTAAGAACATTCATGATTCATGGGATGAGGTCAAAATATCAACATTAACAGGAGTTTGGAAGAAGTTGATTCCAATCCTATGGATAACTTTGGGAAAGTAACTGCAGATGTGGTGGAAATGCCAAAAGAACACGAAGTGGAGCCTAAAGATGTGACTGAATTGCTGCAATCTCATGTTAAAACTTGAGTGGATGAGGAGTCACTTCTTATGGATGAGCAAAGTGACCTTTTTTTTTTTTTAGATAAAATGTAGTCCTGGTGAAAATGCTGTGCACATTGTTAAAATTACAAGAAAGGGCTTAGAATAGTACATAAACTTAGTTGATGAAGCAGCAGCAGGATTTGAGAGGACTGACTTCAATTTTGAAAAAGGTCTGTGGGTAAAATGCTGTCAGACAGCATCGCATGTTAGAGAGAAATCTTTTGTGAAAGAAAGAGTCAATTGATACGGTCAACTTCATTGTCACAGCCACCCCAACTTTCAGCAACGACCACCCTGCTCAGTCAGCAGCCATCAACATTGAGGCAAGACCCTCCACCAGCACATGATTATGACTTGCTGAAGGCTCAGGTGATCATTAACATTTTTTAGCAATAAAATATTTTTAAATTAAGGTATATACATTTTAAAAGACATAATGCTGGTCGGGAGTGGTGGATCATGCCTGTAATCCCAGCACTTTGGGAGGCTGAGGCGGGTGGATTGCCTGAGGTCAGGAGTTCGAGACCAGCCTGGCCAACCTGGTGAAACCCTGTCTCTACCAAAAGTACAAAAATTAGTCAGGCATAGTGGTGGGCACCTGTGATTCCAGCTACTCAGGAGGCTGAGGCAGGAGAATCGCTTTAACCCGGGAGGCAGAGGTTGCAGTGAGCCGAGATCAAGCCACTGCACTCCAGCCTTGGCAACAGAGCGAGACTCCGTCTAAAAAAAAAAAAAAATTAAAGGCAGATCATACACACTTCTGCTCTCATCACCCGACTTAAACTTTCCTGGGACCCTGAAGATATGCAAATTTGAAAGCTGCATCCTAGTCACATCTGTAACTATCTGCGTTGTCCTGAGTTCTTGATCGTCTGGTAAGTGGGAATTCTTCTACTCGACCTGTTGCACAGGGATTTTATGAAGTGAAATAATCTAGTATATATAAAACAATAAAATATTTTGATGAGATTTTACATCATTACAAAAAGTGTAATGATTTTACATCATTACATTTATTAAAAAATTAAATGAAAAGATTGCCTAAATTGATCATGTCAATATATTTAATTGACAACAAAGAACAAGAATGATTAAAACACAGATGATTAAAACATATTTTAACAATTAAATTTCAATTTATTCTTCTTTGAGTTTTTAATCAGATCCAACAGCAAAAAGGACCTAACACAAGATCCAGATCTTTCTCTACGTCACGTCCCTTTGGTAGAATTTTAAGGAATAATAAAATGGCCAAGGAGAAAAACGTGGGAGAGCAAGGAGAAAGATCACATAAATAATCTCCCAGGCTCTCAAACAATGTAAGGAATAGACGAAAAGAAGTATGTAACTATGGGGAACAATTAAGATTTTTGTCTTGGAGCAGGCCATAAATATTAATATTTTTGTCACTTCTAATGGGCACTAAAAATATAATCTGTTTTCTTCAATCTTTTCCACCTATTCTAAATGGATAGTAAAAAGTTTGGCAAAAGCTGGCACGGTGGCTCATGCCTGTAATCCCACCACTTTGGGAGGCTGAAGTGGGTTGATTACTTGAGGTCAGGAGTTCAAGACCAGCTTGGCCAACATGGTGAAACCCCGACTCTACTAAAAATACAAAAATTAGCCAGGTGCAGTGGTGTGCGCCTGTAATCCCAGCTACTCAGGAGGCTGAGGCAGAAGAATCACTTGAAACCAGGAGGAGGAGGTTGCAGTGAGCCAAGATCGTGCCACTGCACTCCAGCCTGGGCAACAGAATGAGACTCCATCTCAAAAATAAATAAATAAATAAATAAATAAATAAATAAATAAATAAATAAATAAAAGTTTGGTAAAGGGAAAAAATAAAATAGATTCTTAAAGTTCAAGCCAACAATTATTGACCGAATATCTACTCTGGTTCTAATATGTTAAGGATATAAGAGTAGATTATAGTGTTACTCCTGCCCTCAGAGAGCTTATCATCCTTAAAGAAAGAAAAGGCTACACAAGGAATTATTAGAGAAGACAGTAGAAAAACTCTTGATCAGAAGAAATTATCTGTCCTACCTACTATTACAGTTAACCATAGAGTTCAGTAACTACATAGCCCACGTACTTGAAATCCGTAGCTCATTACATGAGATAGGTTGTTCTAAGAATTCAAACGTTTATTTTAAACACAGCTAAAGTTTACAGTCTATCAACCTTAAATATTTCCTTCAATGCTCCACCTCCAGGAAAATCTGACAAAAGCATTATTACTTGTTGTGCTTGACAATTAAGTGATGAGTCAAGCTTGCCTGGAGACATGTAACTTTGGCAATTATTTTCCCACTGATCTCATTGTAATATTTTTATTGCATATCTAACGTTGAAAATGTATTATGTCTATTTTGTGCCGTCACTGTGGATACTTGGACAAACAAAACAGTTCCTACCATAAAGGAGCTCACCAAAGACACAGAGTTTTAATTCAATGCAGCTAAGTGTGACAGGCATGTACATGGTATATCAGTGGGATATGGAGGAAAGGCACACATTGGATGATGATAAGTTTGATCACTTGGGTGACATTCACCTGAGTGTCCATTGCATATTTTTGTCTCTTTATAAGCCTGGTGAGGAAGGAGAAGATAGGTAGGAAGGGACAGAATTTCTGGAGAATGTGGGATTTTGCCAGGCAAAGCAGAGAGGAAGGAGTGAGAATATCAGGTAGAGGGAATAGCAAAGCACCAAGCTGGGAAAAATTAGAGCATGAGCCTGGGCCACAAGCAGAATAGAGTGTCATGATGAGTGTAAGAGGTAGGCCAGGAGCAGATTATGAACCTTGAAAGCCAGTGTTAGAGATTGGTTTATCTTCCAAGTTAGTAGTCTCCAACATATGGTGTGCCCTGGAATACTGGGGAAATTTTAATTCTCTTAAAAAATTTCTATGCTTTTGTGTATATTTCATATGCATGCACGTGTATATATGTATATAAATATACACACATACATATATATACACGTGTATATATATAATTTTTCATTCACTGAAATCAGGACCTTAATTAAGAGGATGACTGGGGGTGGGATAAATGAATAAAAAAGCTCTCTTAGGGTCATTAAGTACTTAAAAACATGAGGAGAAGCTGTCCAGCAGACAGCTATAAATGAAAGTGAAGATCTAGGAGGGGTCTTTGCTTAGATATGTAGATTTAGGAGACATCCAATGAAGAGAGAAAAAAAATCAATGAACCAATGGCAGAATCTTGGGAAACACTAACATTTACAATAATATGGGCACTTAAAAATTTTTTAAAATTTGTTTTTATGCTCATATTTGAGAACTGTGAATGATTACTTTTTTCAAAAGTAAAATTAGAGCACAAGAAGCAGTGCTTGCACTTTTATTTAAAAACTCCCAAATATTAATACAAAGTAACTGCTAGGCCTTATTATTCCTTAGCATATGAAAGTGAGACACAATGCATCATGAAGGGGAAAAAATGTCAGCAGCAATTCAGAATGAAAAAAATTTCTTGCCATTTTGGGGGGCATCCAATTAAGGATTTTACAAGTCTACCATGAAACGGGCACTTTGAAGAAATGGCTGATTACAGGGCTGGCTCAGGGAAAATACAAAGTGAACTTAGGATACCTTTGTGTCAAAAGGCAAGGAAGTGCTTCGAGATTAAAGGGACTGTCAATAGGACATAAGAGCCGGCTTAGAGAGGCTCCCTCTAGCCTAATCTGGGATGATTTGAAAATCAAGAAGAATCATAAATTCTAACACATAGGGTATTTTAAAAAATCTGTGAATCAAAAGTGTGAAAAATGGAAAGTTCTTGTTCACAAAAAAGTCAATAAATGTAGAATGAATGATGGTATTAGAAAACCCCCATCTTAGCCAGGCACGGTGGCTCACGCCTGTAATCCCAGCAATTTAAGAAGCTAAGGCGGGTGGATCACTTGAGCCCAGGAGTTTGAGACCAGCCTGGCAACATGGCGAAACCCTGTCTCTAACAAAAAAATACAAAAATTAGCTGGATGTGGTGCCACACACCTGTGGTCCCAGCTACCCAGGAAGTTGAGGCTGCAGTGAGCTGTGATCATGCCACTGCAACTGCAGCCTGTGTGACCAAGACCCTGTCTTGAAATAAATAAATGAAATTCCCATGTTGCAACTCTTCTTTAATAACTGATTGATGCAAAGAATCAACAGATGTTAAAGCCATTGGGTTAGATTGTTGAGGAATAGGATATTTGCATAGTCTCAACAGGTTCCTTCTTAAAGTGAAAAAGTATCTTAGAATGGAAAGAAAAGGCAAATATCACTTTAACCAAATGTCACCAATAATAGGACAAACTGACATGTGCCTTCTGATGCCATACAAATGGAAAGTACATACCTTCCAGACAATATCCTTTAAATCTAATCATGAAAGAAACAGACAAATCTAGAATGTGGAGCATTTTATAAGTCAACCATCCTGTAGTCTCCAAAAATGTTAGTACCAAAAAAAGGCAACTAGCAAGGCATTATGGCTTATGCCTGTAACCCCAGCTACTCAGGAGGATTGCTTGAGCCTAGGAGTTCAAGACCAGCCTAGGCAACAAAGCAAGACTCCAACTCTCAAAAACAACAACAACAAAACAAACAAAAAACAAAACAAAACAAAACTTAGCACTGTGGCTTGAGCCTGTAGTTCCAGCTACTTGGGAGGCTGAGGCAGGAGGATCGCTTGAGCCCAGGAGTTTGAGGCTGCAGTGAGCTATGATGATGCCACTGCACTCTAGCATGGGCAACAGAGCAAGACCTTGTCTCAATAAAATTAAAATAAAATAAAATAATAAAATAAAATAAAATAAATAAAATAAAATAAAAAAATAAAATAAAAATAAGTAAAACAAATTGGCCAGGTGTGGTGACACATGCCTGTAATCCCATCACTTTGGGAGGCCGAGGTGGGCAGATCACCTGAGGCTGGGAGTTCGAGACAAGCCTGGCCTACATAGTGAAACCGCATCTCTACTAAAAATACAAAAATTAGCCAGGCATGGTGGTGCATGTCCGTAATCCCAGCTACTCGGGAGGCTGAGGCAGGGGAATCGCCTGAACCAGGGAGGCGGAGGTTGCAGTGAGCTGAGACCATGCCACTGCACTCCAGCCTGGGCGACAGAGAGAGGCTCCATCTCAAAAAAAGAAAAAAATGATAAAAGAAAAATAAAACAGAACACCAGAGAGAAATCAAAGAAGAGTCTACTTTTTTAAAAAGGGGGCAGGGGCCTAGCGCCGTGGCTCACGCCTGTAATCCCAGCACTTTGGGAGCCGGGGCGGGCAGATTACCTGAGGTCGGGAGTTTGAGACCAGCCTGGCCAACATGGAGAAACCCCGTCTCTACTAAAAGTACAAACATTAGCTGGGCGTGGTGGCGGGTGCCTGTTATCCCAGCTACTCGGGAAGCTGAGGCAGGAGAATCGCTTGGACCCGGGAGGTGGAGGCTGCGGTGAGCTGAGATCGCGCCATTGCACTCCAGCCGGGGCAACAAGAGGGAAACTGTCTTTAAAAAAAAAGAAAAGAAAAGAAAAAGAAAAAAAAGGGGTGGCGGCAGGGGGAATTACTCTAGAGGAAAGGATGAAAAGGAGGAGACTAAACTTAATGTATCGACTATGTCTGAGTTCACAATAAAAATAAAACAAAAACATTTAGATATAAAGGATATTTCAGGAGCAATTGGGGAGTATCGATTTTATATACATTAGCTATTATTGAGTCAATGTTAAATTTCTTGGGTGTCATAATGGTATAGTGGTTACATAAAAGAATGTCCTTGTTCTTAGATATGTGGTGATATATTTAGCAGTCAGTCATCATGATGACTGAAATTTATTTTCAAAAGGATCAGCGGCCGGGTGCGGTGGCTCATGCTTGTAATCCCAGCACTTTAGGAGGCCGAGGCGGGCGGATCACGAGGTCGGGAGATCGGGACCGTCCTGGCTAACACGGTGAAACCCCGTCTCTACTGAAAATACAAAAAATTAGCCGGGCGTGGTGGTGGGCACCTGTAGACCCTGCTACTCCTGTGAACCCAGGAGGCGGAGCTTGCAGTGAGCCGAGATTGCACCACTGCACTACAGCCTGGGCGACCCAGTGAGACTCCATCTCAAAAAAAAAAAAAAAAAAAAAGAAATATACACATAAGAGATAGGAGATAAAACATATAACAAAATGTGAACACTTGGTGAATTAGATAAAAAGAAATGGATGTTCACTGTACTATGTTTACAGCTTTCTGTAGCTTTAAAAAATTTCAAAAGTCAGAAAAAACATAATTTATGTGTGGCTAATATGCTATAGTTGATTTTATTTAGATGAATGTGCTAAGTACTGATAAATTATTTAGTACTTTTTCAAAAGCCCACCATGAAACTCTTTCCCATCACAGCTAACCAAGCTAAAAGGTGAACTGTCACATCTAGCAAGTGCCAGCAACATTTTGTCTTCCTCCCCAACGTGAGTCAAGAATCATGTTTGATCTATCTGTGAAATTAACAAACCAGCAAAACACCTATATCATTCAGCCACCTTATCAAAAAAATTTAACATTGGAAAATCTGTAATCTTCTGGTTTTAAAATAATTTATTTCATAGGTCTGTTTTAATTTCATGTCTCACAGCATACATTATTTAACCAAGAGGTGCTGGACAGAGATTGTAAAAAGGGAGGAAACATTTAGGATAAGAAACCGGCTCAATTCCATTAGAATTTGATCCTATCTTGTAAAGTCTTGCTAGGATAAATTTCTATAATACTTCTTTTGTGCTTACAAAAAAACATTAACTTCTGAATTTCCAATGTTGTAAATAAAAAAATTTTACAATTAGGTATGCATTCAATTAACACACAAGGCAACCAAATAAATTCTGTCATCAACATTAGCATAATGTGTATTTCCCGTCACTGCACTAACATTAAACTAAACTTCAAACCACAAAAACATTGTGACTAACATTAAAAAGGCAAGCTGTAAGATACTCAAAGCTTATAAAGGACAAATTGCACATGGTTAAGATGGGACATCATTTGACAAGGGCTGGTGTTGTGCATATGGCTGCTTTTTTTTATAAGAAGGCCACCGGCAAACAGGGCAACAATGTCGGCCCCCAGCCAACCACATCACAATGCAATTCTGATGAAACACATGACCACAAGGCAACCCCATTAGCAAACATCCATTTTCAAAATTCTCTAGGCAAACAACACATTCAGTACAGTGCAGCATATCAGCAGGCCAAGTTAACCAATCAGGTTCCATATCTTCATTAGTGTTATATGATCCATATGACCTCCCCTTCCTTTCACATGGGCTGGTCTGACAATATTTATTGGCACATGAACAAGCCTCAGCATCACAGTGACTTGCTGTTCCTGGAGAATTGTGAAGTACGCTTTGCTTATCTTCAAATACTTCCTTCTCACTACTCAAAGTGTCTGTGTTCTCACTTTCCGAGTCATTTTCAGTATCTTGAGACCCCTCCGACATTTCCTCTTCAGACTGGACTCCAAGACATTTAAATCGCCACATTGGTAAGTTTTTAATATAATCAGTTGGTATCAGAGGGTGAAGCCAAAGGTCAGGGAAAGCTAAGCGCTCCAAGAATAAGTCAGGGTCTTCGTCCCAATCAGATTCTACAGGAAAGTTCTGAAAAGAAGCAATCGGGTGGAAGAGGTAGCTGGTGTACCAGTCCCACAGACTTGATAACCATTCTAAGTTATTGGCATTGACTTCATCATTGTTGTTGTTGCGCCTTCTCTTCTTCTCAAAGTAATCAATTAGTAAACCATGACCAAGGTATGTACTGAGAAACAGGGCTGGGTGTGAAGAGTAAAACATCCAGTCTGCCCTTACCCATGAAGCCAGTGTGGTTGTATTGGAATATCTCAACAATTTTAAGCTATATTCATAAAAGCTATCTAAGTAAGGTAGCTGTAAAAAGCCCAACACAGGTAGCCAGGAAATAATTAATAGAGAATTATATGTCCCTAAAGTGCTTATGAGAACCACAAATCGCTTTATGGTAGCTCCTTGTGTAATAAATAAGTCCATCCAAGCCATAAGATTAACTAGAACCAAGCTCAAAACAAACAGATCATTTACCTCGGGTTGTAATGAGCGCAAAAATGAATCCATGGCCTGAAGGGATATAAATTCGCCTGTGTGGTTTCCATACCTGTAAATTCCTTCAGGAGTTCTAAGTATGTATGATGGCATATTATATATGCCAATATCTGTCATATAACTCTTGTTGTCCCAATTTTCTACATTAACAAAAATAAACTCAACTCTTCCAGTAAACTTTATACTTAGTGCAGAGAAGAAAGCTGGGGGCTGGTCAAGGTTTGCAAATAGGTATATTTTTAACCAATACTGATCACTTTTATTCCATTCTTCTTTCAAGTGTTCAGCATTATAAATGGTTTTGATCCGAGAAGCTGCATGAGCAGTTATCCATTTAAAAATGTGCTCTACTTCAATCTTGCGTCCACTGTATTCTTTAAGCATGACTTTCCCTTTTGAAGTACTTGTTTGTGGAACAGACATAATGAGTGTGGATCGGACCCAGCCTCTTCTCCTGCAATATCTACAAGAGAGGAAACTGTAAATAAACAGCTAGGCTGTAATGCAAACAATTTATCTTCCCTGACAAATTTCTTTAGCACCTCACCCCAAAGCCAAATAATTTCCAAATAATCAAAAAGTGGTACCACTACTTGGCAGCTGTGAAAAACAAGCTCTGTTTTTCTAGTTTGTTTTGTATTTCTGTGTTTCTTTTTTTTTTATTAAATAAAGTGTATCTTGAAAAGCCTCTGAGTCAAAGGAATCAGCAAATACTTCAGCATCTCTCATGTACCTACAACTGCGTTATGTGCTAAGATCCAGAAGACAAGAAAATAATTCATGTTCAGAAGGAATTTAAAATCCTATTAATGAGACAAAATAGAGATAAAACTGTATATATTCTGTTGCTAAATAATGCAAAAGAAGTTCAAAGTTTGGGCTGGTGCAGATTTCATGAATGGTTTAGGAATTGAACTAGGTCTTGAAGGATGGTTAGAATCCAGATGGGTGGAGAAAAGAGAAGAAAACAGATTATCCTAAGGCTGAGTCACTGGTTTGGTGCAAGCTCCTTGAGGGTAGGAGTCATGCTTACCCATTTAATTAACAACTACCACAATGCCTGACTGCTACAAAGTAATCTGCACAAAAGCCAACCAAGAAAAGAGCAACAGCAAGCCCCATATATTTTTGTATTCTCTTATTTCTTCAGTGAAGATCATGAAGGGGAGTATTTAACAAGAGGAAACAAAAACAGGAAGTATTTAGATTAAGAGGTTCACTTCAAGAATGATCCCCATTTTACAGCAGATTATATTCAGAAGAATTTAACTAAAATTAAATCATTCATTTAGATTTATGCAGTAGGATCATGACTCTTCCTTTTGGAAACCTGTCTATTGACAGGTTCTTGCTAGGATATTTGTGATATCCATCTTCCCTTAAAAAAGTAGGTAATGAGAGAAAAGAAATATTAAAAACTGAAAACAGGCTGGGTGCAGTGGCTCACACCTGTAATCCCAGCACTTTGGGAGGCCAAGGTGGGCAGATCACAAAGTCAGGAGATTGAGACCATCCTGGCCAACATGGTGAAACCCCATCTCTACCAAAAATATAAAAATTAGCTGGGCATGGCAACGCGTGCCTGTAATCCCAGCTACTTGGGAGGCTGAGGCAGGAGAACCGCTTGAACCCGGGAGGCAGAGGGTGCAGTGAGCCGAGATCACGCCACTGCACTCCAGCCTGGGCGACAGAGCAAAACTTCGTCTCAAAAAAAAAAAAAAAAAAAAAAAAAGAAAGAACAATGAAAACAGCTGTTGTATCCCAGTAAAGAGACTGTAAGTGAAAATATTTTCCTTTTGTTTTTATTTTTTAATTTTTAGTTATTTTATTTTTATAATAAGAGATAGGGTCTTTCCCTGTCACCTAGGCTGGAGTGCACTGATGCAATCACAGTTCATTGCAGTCTTGAACTCCTGGGCTCAAGCGATTCTCCTGCCTCAGCCTCCTTGAGTAGCTAGGACCACATATGCACGCCACCATGCTAGGCTAAGTTTTAAAAGAATTTTTTGTAGAGTTGGGGTCTCACCATGTCGCCCAGGCTGCCTTTTGTTTTTGGTTTTAGTTAGTTTTTCATGTACCACACAGAAGAGTTAATCTTTTGTTTTTAAAAAGTATTTTTTTTTCCAAAACCTACCATGTGAAATTTTTAAGTAAAATTTACCTCAATAAAGTTGTAAAAAAGACAATCTACCACATGGAAACGTTTTATTTGTTACAGATTTGTATATGCATAGTAATAAATATCTGACTTCGCATTTTGCTACTCAGAATATTGATGTAAAAGTCATAGATGTTATGCTTTACTTAGCATGGATTATATTTTATTAAATAAACATATTACACATCATATGATCAGATGAAGAGAAGAGTCTTGACGTAGGTAGCATATGGCTGTATAATGATAATATGACTAATTTTATCTCAGGGATTCTGTGATATAGTTTAAGATAAATGAAGACAACACGCTATGTCTTAAGACAAGGTTAGTGATGACTCTGGAAAACTGTCTAGGTGACTCAAAATCACAGACTGTGACTCTTAGCTTCTTGTTGAGTTGATTCACTACCTTAATAAGACAGATTCCATTAATATCATTACTGTTTTAACTGAAATGGTCTGAAAAGTATATATTCCTACAAAATAAATATCTTCTACTCAATGCAAAATAATAATTCATTGATTGACATGAATTCTATTTTTACCGTATCCCAAAAAAGTAACAAGTCAAATGCATATGGACAACTGTCTTATTTATATCTTAAATATCTTCAAGTATCTTTAATGTTTTCATTGCACTTGATATTTGTGATGACACATTTCAACTCTTGGCCATCTATTTTATCTTCCTACTATGGCCTCTGATTTGTGTCATAAATTAAATGACAGCCTTTCTGACAGAAAACTTACTTTGTAAAATGAACAAGTTCTAAGTGCAGACATTTCTTCACATAAGAAAACAAACATATTATGTGCTTTCTTTTCAGCTCAGAGCTAAGTAATAATTTTATCATTCCAGATAGAATAAGGTTGTATTACCTTACATCAATATAAAAACTTTTATTGCCAATTCAAAAAAAATTTTTTTATGATCTGAACAAATTCAATGACAATACCATGAAAATATCCTCTAGTTTTTAAACTAAACCTTTTGAGTTCTCTTAGAGAATTTTAAGACTAAAAACGATAGGAAATATGCCTTGTGAGTTTTGGTCTTCCAGTTGCTGATGTGGCATGCTATATTTAAGAAGAAGCAGGGCTCAGTGGCTCACACCTGTAATCCCAGCACTTTGGGAGGCCAAGGTGGGTGGATCACTTGAGGCCAGGAGTTTGAGAACAGTCTGGCCAACATGGTGAAACGCTGTCTCTACTGAAAATACAAAAATTAGCTGGGCATGGTGGCACGCACCTGTAATCCCAGCTACTTGGGGGGCTGAGACACAAGAATCGCCTGAACCCAGTAGGCTGAGGTTGCAGTGAGTTGAGATCGTGCCACTGTACTCCAGCCTGGGCAATAGAGTGAGACTCCATCTCAAAAAAAAAAAAAAAAAAAAAAAAGGAAGAAAGGAAGAGAGAGAAACCTTAACATTTCTGTTTATATATGCTGTTTTTTCAGACAAGGTCATTGGCCTCCTTGGTTTTCCTCGCTCTCTCTGCAATCCCCCCTTCTCTTCTCCTTCCCCGTTTTTTCCACAGGCCACCATCCCTGACACTCTTGCCATAAGGCTTCCTGTTTACCACTCAGCTCCTGCAATTTCCATGTCCTCTATCTTCTCTTTACTAATCCCCATCTCCCCAACCCTCTCTACACATCATTACCACCTCATCTCCTACTTTGTCAAAAAAAGTACAGAGTATGAACCTCACAGGAAAAGCCCTCTGAAATCGATCTGCTGGTTAGGGAATGAGAAGAGGTAGAGCCAGGCAAGGCCACTCCTTCTGGGTACATAGGGAAAGAAATTAAAGCTGCTACAACTAGACAGTCAGAAGTTGCTCAGAAGTGGTAGTCCTAAATGTTCTTAAGGGAGCTACTCTGGTTTGGTTATGGTTTGTCTGTCCCCACCAAACCTCATGTTGACATTTTCTTCCCAGTGTGGCAGTGTTGAGAGGTGAGGCCTAGTGGGAGGTGTCTGGGTCATGGAGGTGGATCCCTCATGAACACTTAGTGCTGCTCTCAAGTTAGTGAGTTCTAGCTTTGGCAAGACTGAATTAGTTCTTGTGGAAATGGAGTAGTTTCCTCGAGAGTGGGCTGACATAAAGCCACATGCCCTTCACATGTGTCCACTTCCCCTTTGACCTTCTCTACCATGTTCTGGCAGCACAGAAGCCTCACCAGAAGCTGAGCAGATGCTGGCACCATGGTTCTTATACAGCCTGCAGAACAGTGAGCTAAATAAATCTATTTTCTTCATAAATTACTCAGCCTCAGGTATTTTTTTTTTTTTTTTTTGAGACAGAGTCTCGCTCTTGTCACCCAGGCTTGGAGTGCAGTGGTGCAATCTCGGCTCACTGCAACCTCCACCTCCTGGGTTCAGGTGATTCTCTTGCCTCAGTCTCCCGAGTAGCTGGGATTACAGGCACCCGCCACCACGCCTGGCTAATTTTTGTATTTTTAGTAGAGACAGGTTTCACCATGTTGGCCAGGCTGGTCTCCAACTCCTTACCTCCGGTGATCTACCTGCCTCAGCCTCCCAAAGTGCTGGGATTACAGGCGTGAGCCACCACTCAGCCTCAGGTATTCTTATACAGCAACACAAAACAGACTAAGGCAGGAGCTAAACAGGTCAGGAAAGTACAGCTGTACAGTGGGACCAGCACACTGAAGTCAGCTGCCCAGAGGCCACCCCAGAGAAGGGACTACAGTCAAAGAATGCAGCATAGACAGTGGGGCACAGAGTTTTGGTATTTTTAAAACTCCAAAATCAAGATGATGACTCAATTATTCAAAATATGTGATTAAAACACTTCCTGAATAACACTATTCTCTGCCCACTTACACCCTGCATTGAAATTCTGAACACTCTTCTCTATATCTCTAAATTTTGTTCTTCTATATCTCCATAGTCATCAAAAGAAAAGAAAAATGACCCTGACTAAGCATAGCTTCTATGGCAAGAACAATTCTTATTCCAGTTGGAGGACTTTCCAAATGAGGAGTCATGGGCACATTATTGGAACTGGTACAAGTCACTGTGCAACAAAATCATTTTCTGATGAAGCTGAGTAGAAGTACTTTTTTAAATAACAAAAACTATAGCTACAATCAACAAAAAAGCAAAAAGTTATCCAAAAAAACATTGCTTCAATTGTAAATAAGAGGTAGGATTATTTGAAGATGAAGGATTTAGAGGAAAACATCTGGAGCTAGCTTGTATGTATCTCTTCACCATTTCTCAGCTAATACAGAATCAGAGCTTTTCAAAAGAAGAGCTAAATAAATTTGCACTAAAATCCACTGGACTGAATTATGATACTTCTGATGCACTCTGATTTATAAGATTATAAGATTATGGTTTGTCTGCCCCCACCAAATCATTCTTTCAGTTTTTCACGTTTAACAGATTATTTTTATTTTGTTTTTGAATTCTTTATTATCTAATAACATTAGACTTTAATTAATGCATTCAACTTTATATATTTTTAAAATGTGTTTTTATTTGATGTTTTCTAATATATTTATAAACTATAATGTTTGAAATGTATTATTTAGTTCCACTGATTTTTAAAAAATACATTGGGTATTTTAAAAGAAAATAGTGATATGAATACTGACTTTTGGCATAACTAAAAAAATCAAAATATCAGCATTATCATTTGTTCTAGTATTGTAAAAATCAGTGAGGAAGAAAAAGACCTTTCACTTTGACTCTATTTGGAAATGATGGAATCAGATCAAATCCTAAGTCTTTGGTAAATGACGAATGGAGATCAGAATGATTTCCTTTTCAAAAGAACATTAAGACTTAAGCTATCTCAGACATTTCAACAAAAGACATTGGGATGTGACTAAGATTCTGTGGTTACCAGCCTGGGCAACATAGCAAGACTCCATCTCTACAAAAAAAAAAAAAAAATTAGCCAGGTGTGGTGATGCATGCATGTAGTCCCAGCTACTTGGAATGCTGAGGTGGGAAGATCACTTGAGCCCATCCATCAGCTGGAGGTTGCAGTGAGCTATGATCACACCACTGCACTACAGCCTGAGTCACAGAGCCAAATCCTGTCTCAAAAAAAAAAAAAATCAGAAAAAAAGACTTTGTGGTGAAGATGAGCATGACAGCTTTGCAGGTAGATAAGGAGACTAAATGTGAGTTAAGAGATACAGGAACTTCCCTCCTATTCCCAACTCTTAGAGGAACTCTACCATCCATCTCACCCTATATTACTAGTGGGCAAAACAAGGGTTCTAAGCAGAAGAGAAGTAAATGTAAGGCTAAGGAAAGGAGGTATAGTAATGGTTTAGGAGAGTTTTCTACAATCAATGAATGAGACTAAGTTATAACTTGGTAGCAAGAGAAATGGAAAAAAAGGCATTTCAAAGAAGAAATAATGGAATAATAAAACAAGAAATAATGTGACAGACTGAATACTGGAAATGATGACAAAAAAACAAAACATAAACAAAAACACCTCTGAGGATTCTTATTTGAGAAAATGGGGGGGAAAACCGGCGAAGGACAGAAAAAAGAAAGGTAGAAGGATACATGGATGATTAAAGAAAAAGAGGATGAATCTGATTTCAGATACTAGGTTTCAGGGAAAAGAATATATCTAGGGATAGTTGCAGAGCAAATGGAAATAAGCAAAGAAATGCAAACTAGAGGTCAGAATGATAGAAGATTTATATCAGCACAGAGGTGTCACCTAAAGCCATGAATGTGCTGAGATCTCTTTGGAAAAGAAAGGTGAAATGAAAAGGACTAAAGACACAATCTTAAGAGATATCTTCAATAGAAAAAACACAGAAGAGCCAGAGAAAGGGACGGGGAGAGAGAGGGAGATAGAGGAGACAGAGAGAGATCTTAGAGTGAAAGTCATTAGCTGCCAGTTTATCAAAAACCATTAATCAAGCACCTATGTAACTAAGAGTGTGCTACACATTATAATAAGCTTTCAGTTCAAGCAGGCTTCTAGTATCATTGCCCTTTTTAAATAAGAAAGATCCTGGTCAGGACTCAAATTCTAAGAATTGCCTAATCAACTTACCTGGGATCACTGGAACAGTTAAATGTGCCTGTACGTATTCCAAATCTTGACACCTTTTTAACCATTTTCTCCCAGTGAATTTTGCCCACCAAGGGACTTCTGTCATTTGCTATGACCTATTCCCAAAAATAGAGAAAAAGAAACTTGAATTACCTAAAATGGAGTCAAGCCAACCGTTTACATCAACAATATAATTTCACTTAAAAAAAAAGATATTCTGTTCCCAGTTCTTGTTTACTGTATCATCACATTATCATTACAATTCTTATAGAAGGAGCAACTATCCAATAGGAAAAAGACTTGAAACACTGAAACGTAAATTAAACTCTCCCACACTCTGTGGCAGTTACAAAGAGAGGGAGGGAGTCAAAACTGTATTAAAAGGCTAGCCACATTCTCCACCATGTGGCCTCTTCTCTCTAATTAAGTTACACAGGAAGAAAATGGCCCTTGGAATAATTTCTCTTTGCTCTGAAAAGAAAATTTTAAACAATAATCCAAATAGAGCTTACTAAAAATTATCACATGTAGGTTCAACAAGTTCAAATTTCACTTTTTAAAAAGTATAATTATGGAGCCAAGAGTCAAACACATGTTTTCTATTAAAGGGTGCTTTGACTAAATCAATAAATACTACTAGTTCTATGGCTTTTTGCTTAATCATGAACGGCTCTAACATACAATAAGAATTACCATTCTTCTTATTCATTCTTTAATGTAATGAATTTTACATTATTGAACTTGTACTTCAAATTTGCAAGAGCTTTCAAACACAATTAGGATTAGGAAAAGCAAAAGATTCTTAAGAAAAGAAAAAGAGGCCAGGTGTGGTGGCTCACGCCTGTAATCCCAACATGTTGGGAGGCCGAGGCAGATGCATCACTTGAGTCGAAGAGTTCAAGACCAGCCTGGCCAACATGGCAAAACCCCGTCTCTACTAGAAATACAAAAATTAGCCAGGCATGGTGGCAGGCACCTATAGTCCCAGCTGCTCAGAAGGCTGAAGCATGAGAATCACTTGAACCTGTGAGGTGGAGGTTGCAGTGAGTAGAGGTTGCACCACTGCAATCCAGCCTGGGTGACAGAGCAAGACCTTCAAAATATGTCAAGACTTCTCTTATAAGTGTCAGCCTTTCTAATCATTACCACCTTTTCCCTTTATCTCCTAATCTTCCTGCCTTTAATGAAGGCAGAATTTCAATGCAGATACCAGTAAAAACCAAAAAACATTAAAAACAAGACCATAAAAATAACTAAATGGGAAGTTAAAGGAAAGCCAAAAATGTCTAAAGTCATCATGAAACCATCTGTTTAAGTCCAGGGTATATAGGCCAAGTTTATTTTCATAAATGTTATATTTCTGATACTATACAATTCAAAATTACAACATAATACTCTGGGGGCCTCTACTCTTTCTGGGAGGAAGGACCATTTTCACACTCACAAAGCCTCCAGGAAGTGAAGTTGCAGGTGGGTGTGTAAAATGAGTGCTGACAGTCAACTCCTTGGGAGACGCAAGAGGTGGTGCAGCCACCTCATCTGTGGCCTCTGTGCTAGAACGTCTAACAAATGTCAGAGGGCAGCAGAAGAAACAGCACATTGTGATGACAAGTGACTTGAAGTTCACTTTATGTGCCAAATAACCTCTGTGACACTCCACTACCATCCTCATACTTACCGAGACACACGTGCATACATAACATCTTATCACATAAGTTTGAAGCTTAATGAATACATATACACAATTTAGGGCATTAAGCAAATGGTTTTGATATTACATTTTTTTTTAAGGGACAGGGTCTCACTCTGTTCCCCAGGCTGAAGTGCAATGGCTCAATCATGGCTCACTGCAGCCTCAAATACCTGGCCTCAGGGTTCCTTCTGCCTCGGCCTCCCAAGTGTTGGAATTACAGGCATGAACCACTGCACCCAACCATGGTTTTGATAGTACTTTTTAATGAAAATAAGTGGTCTTATTGAGGCAGATACAATTTATTCAAATACTCAGACAGCTGAAGTAACCAGGAAGAAGGCAATCTGGGGACATGCACTTAATAGGTGAAAGCTCTTTTGAAGGATGCTCACACGTTTCCCTACCCAGTAAGTCCCTAGCTTTACATTTTTCTCTGGTCCAAAAGTACTTTATAAGTTTTACCTAGAAGGCCAGGTACAGTGGCTCATGCCTTTAATCCCAGCACTTTTGGAGGCTGAGGCTGGTGGATCATTTGAGGTCAGGAGTTCAAGACCAGCCTGGCCAACATGGCGAAACCCCGCCTCTATTAAAAAAAACAAAAATTTGCCGGGCGTGGTGGTGCACACCTGTAATCCTAGCTACTTGGGAGGCTGAGGCAGCAGAATCGCTTGAACCTGGGAAGCAGAGGTTGCAGTGAGCCGAGATTATGCCACTGCACTCCAGCCTGGGTAACAGAGCAAGACTCCATCTCAAAAAAAAGAGAGAAAAAAAAGTTGTACCTAGAAAATTAGGAAGATCAAGCAAAGCAGGCGCCTATTGCCTCTTGTTCTTTATTTTATTTTATTTTTATTGCTACCACTCAAGAGTCAATCTGGTAGTTCTTTTGGTCAAATAATCAAAGACAAGTTTAACTTATTTTTCAGATTCCTTAGGAAGATTAAGAAGTATCTGTGCAATCATACTACCATACTCTCTACTCTTTGCCCTCTTTTAAAAATAACTCACTTTTCAGGCATTATCCCATTTCTTGATCAAGGTTGCAAATAACCCAAACATTTCAGGTCTGTGTGCAGAATGACACTGCTCCAAGGAGTTTAGAGGTTGCCTCGCCAGTGTAAATATTTAGTTCCTAAGTCTGGAGGCATCTTTCAGTGAAGATCTTGTTCACTGCACAGGTATCTTTGAGACATGTGATAAGAGCTCCAATGTTAGGAAAAGAAGGAGGAATGAGAGGGGTTCTTCCCAGGTACCTCTTGGTTATAGCAGAGATAGTAGAAGTGAGTGAAAAGAGTTGGGAACATACCTGGGGCAGGTACAAGACAATGTTCAATGCCAGGGCCTTATTTATTCAGCAACGTGTTCTAGCATTTGGTTTTGAAGAGTTTAAGGATCCCTGACTGACAGAGCTACACAAAAATGAAAAATCTTGTAGGCATTGCATGAAAGCATTTTATATTACTTTATAGTTATATTTATGCAATTAAAAATGTGTCCAATGTCCTACATAGTTATATAATTCAACTGAAGGTTTAGCATAAATTAAATTTGGTGGAGTTTAAATTAACCAACCACTATAAAAATGCTAATATTTTCACAAAATAACTCATCTGGTTGAGTCACACAGCACAACAAAATATTCTCAGCCTAATATATATATATACATATGCCTTATATATATATATATATAATATATATACACACACACACTATGTCATACCAGTAAGAGTCCCCAATTTATAGCTCATATCCTAGAAGGATGCATGATGATTCTGAGTGGCATTCATATGGCTGGTCTCATTAAAAGGGGAGACATTTTCCTCAGCAGCTCAGGAAGGAACACTGTATGTGGGGAACATTTTTAAAGACTACAAAAAAACTGGACAAAGTACAGCTTGAGTTCCAGGTGTGGAACAGACCTGGCAATACAGGCTAGAAGTGAAGCAATCTTTCCATTCCCTTTCCCAGGGTATCTGCCTCTGGCATCCCCACACTTGCTCACCACTGTAGTCCCTGCAGCTAATACAGTGCCCAACTCATATGGGTGCTCAATAAGTATTTATGTCAAACCAAACAATTTCAGCTTCTTACAGTTTAATAACTCATTCTTCTAGTTCTGATTACACAGAGTCTCTAAAGGAAACTCTTAAGCTTTTGATTTCTGTTATAATCAAAGTCCCTTCCCCAGCAACCTGTACCAAGATGTTTTCTGGACAAACAGTGGCATAAATGGTACCCTGCTAAGCAACTGCATATTAATGTTCTTGACCTCAGTCAGACATAAAGATGTTTAATTCAGTGCATTTTAAAATGCCCATTATTTAGAGGTGAGGTTTATTACTGATCAAACCATGTGGCATACCCCTTTTAATACTGTTAATCTCCATACAACGACATCCAGGTTTAGTTAAGTAACATAACTCCCTGGAACAATGAGAGTATTGTGCTATGATATTTTCTGCATTCTCAGTATTTCATTATAATAGGGAGTCTCTACTTTCAAAATCATAAGCCAACCTAGTATATACATGCAAACTATATAAAACCATTAAGAGTAAGGACAAGTGATTGACAAAAAACAGTGGTCTTTTAATTTTTTTGTATTCTTACATAGAATTTATAAAATTTTTTACCAATACAAAATATAAGATAAAGTGGCTTGCTATGTGCTTCACCTCCATAGCAGTATCAAGAAAGAAATACGTAATTTAGAATCTCCTCGAACAAAACTTTTGTCTAGGAGCAAAGATAAACAAGTTTAAAATCAGCTATTAACTCTTGTCAGCCAAACAGGAAATATATTGATGTAATACTTCAGTAAATATTGACCCAAAGCTTTATTTTAAATCATATGATGCTTCTCACTGCTACCTCAATTCCAGTGACTTTAAATTCCATATGATGTAACACAGCCAGTAGGGAACAAATATGTCCTTCTTTGAACTATGACAAAAGTCAAAACGGAGAAACAGAAATGTTAGGAGGAGGATAAATCCATAAAACCCATAAATTATGCTAACTTCTCCACTTCAGAAGCCTATCCACTGTGCCATCTGCCTCTCTGACCAAGGGTCTTTTGAAAGAAAAGTAACCATCTTCTATTTGTAATGCTATGAAGACTGGGGCCAAAGAATCCACAAAACTGTTAAATGAATAGCTAATGAAAGATATGAGCTTGGGTTAGGGACAAAGGAGAAAAACAATGTTAGGAATAACTTAGAAAAAAGAGCACTTGGTTCTACATGTATTTCATAGTGTGTCATTGGTAAAGATGTCATATGTATGTTGCTACCTTGAAAACTAAAATAAATTCTGTTCACATTACAGAGACTATACGTAACATGGACCTGGAAAAGCTTAAAAATATGAAGAGGATTGAACTGGCTGCCATCTGTGCATCTTCATTTATGAAAACACTCCTCATAGACTTAAAACAAATGACAGAGAACAAATTAGTCAGCTTCTTCTAAAATACAGTGGTCTCCCCTTACCCTCAGTTTCACTTTCTGCAGTCAACTGCAGTCCGAAAATACTACATACAATTAGATATTCGGAGAGAGAGACACCACATTTACATAAATGTTATTTCAGTATACTGTTATAATTGTTCTATTTTTATTAGTTGTTGTTGTTACTGTGCCTAACTTACACATTAAACTTTATCACAGGTATGTATGTATAGGAAAAAACATAGACTATATAGGATTTGGTACTATCCACGGTTTCAGGCATCCACTGGGGGTCTTGGAACGCATCCCCCTCAGATAAGGGGGGACTACTGTAAACAGAAAATAACAACAATTCAAATTGTTAAAAACAATTCTTGAAAGTTATCCTTTACAATAGATTAATATATATGATCTGAGCTGAAAGAATGGCAAGCAATGGAGACAATATTTCTCTTCTGTTTCTAGTAGATATTTTCAATTTTAAGCATAGTTTTAAAAAGTACAACCCTCTTTTAAGGGCTTAAACCAAGGTGGCTGTGCTGATTGGCTTAGCTGGCTAGTTCACAGTGCCAAGGACAGGGTTTCAATCTCATTCTTCTCAGTTGTCCTGCCAGAGATTGTTCTTTCAGACCAGGCCAGCCATTTGACAGATGTAAGCCACTGGCCTCAAGGAACACAAGCCAGACAGTGGTGGTCAATGCAAACCTTGAGCATCACTGGAAAAATTAAGCAGGTGTCCTACTGCATTATTTCCATACATAGAAAAACCACAGAAATACATTCTATTTTTAAAGAGTTGTTTTTCAACTATTAATACCTATAAGGTTTAAAAATATTTTCAGAGAAAAAAAATTTAGCAACTAGAATTTATAATGCTACCATTTACTATCATTATTTGTCCTTCACTTCATTTGTCACCTTACCAGAGAATTCCTTGCCACTCTCATCTCCTTAATCTGCTTATTTTTCTTCTTACTACTTTCCACTAACTGATGTTATATTAAATATTTATTTATTTGGTGTCTGCCTCTCCCAACTAGAATGTGAGCTGCCTGACAGAGCAAGGCCTTAGCTTGGTGTGTGTTTCTGGTATATCTTCAGGGCCCAGAACAGGGCCTGGCACACCCACAACTGAATAAACTTTTGATGAATTCTGTCACATATTTATTACAGGAGCTTAATTCATGGATATCTTTAACAGGACATCAAAAACAGTAGATCATTTACAAGCCAAGAACATACTGCTAACTATTGAACCAGAATGTATTTGTTGTCTATAGGCAGCAGCCTATATAGCAAAAGAACTCAAGACTTTTGACATAGCCCTTCCAAGTTTCAAAGGTGTGCAACATCTTCACCATTTATTTCCATGGGATCATTCAATGTGGGTGACATTTAGACACTGAAAGCAGGGCAGTGGGACTGGCTATTCAATTCATCCTCAGTAATAAAATCTAAAATTATCAAAACCAGTGTCTTTCTCAATCAGACTATTAGAAATAAGTACCAGAGAAAAGAAACAGAATAACAATATACTTATACATTAAAGCTTTAAAAAAGCTCCACCTTATTTTTCAACTCCAACTGACACAGAAATAAACTAAAATTTAAATAGATAATGTATAGACTACACTCATACTCTCACATTCTCTCCCATTGCTGAACTTAAAAATTACTGAATTAGATTATCCGGAAGGTAAAAGGACAAATGCAATAGGAAGGATACAATAAAGAAAGGCCATGGATGAACAATGTAAATCTCTGGAAGAATTCCCAAACCTCAACCCTTTAGCACAGTGGACTACAGTACCATTTTATCCTTTTTAGATGTATATGTATTTATTTGAGGCCACGTGCAACAGAAAAATATACCTATTTACAATCATACTGCTAGTCAGTGACAGTACCAGACCTGTAACAGCGACAGTACCAGACCTGCAACTAATGTCTCTGAACTCATAGCTTTTCCTACCATATTTTGCAGTCTTTACTCTCAGAAAGAAATATGAAGAAACTGTTTTAATTTTCATGCCCTGAATCAAACTTTGCCCACTCCAGTGTGAAATGATAAGAGTACCAGTCAAGAAATCAGAAGACCTGGGTTTCATCCTGGTTCAATACTACCAACTAGTTCCATGACCTTGGGCAAGCTACTTCACCTCTCAGAGTCTCAGAAAGGGTTAGTCTGATATAATTTCCAAGCTTCAGCCATTCACAGACTACATTAATAATTTTAGCCACATTCACGCTGTTAATTTACTTGATATGTCACTTTGAATGTACAGTTTTAAAATGTAAATAACTTTAGTCCTGTCCTAAGCAAAATTTATGAAATTTATGTTAATATAATTTTTCTAATTTACATTAAAATATGTAAATGATAATGCATGCCCACTCACCATAAATTACATCTTGGAAAGCATAAAATATTTTTAAGGTCCATCATAGCTCTAAAATTCTAATATGCTAATTAAGTCTCACAGTTTTGCTATCATAAAAACAAGGGTTAAAAATTATAATCTCATCATCCTGAGTTACGTAATGAGCACCCCCACCATTTTCCACAACAGCTCCTCTATAGTCACAAAGTTGGCTATTTCCCTAATACAATGATTCCTTTACTTTTACTTTAGGGTTCTTACTTATATATAAAAATTACTCAGGCCACTGAATTAAAAACTGGAGATAATAAAAACTAAGAGAAACAGTGCAAATCACTAAATAAAAGGGATATATATGTGTATTTCTCAATTCAACAAAGGTCCAATAACTAAAATAGATTTGCTTCTGGGGATTCTAAACAAAAAGTTGACCCCCATCCCCCATCTTTCTCTTTCCCACTACTCAATTTTCATCTTCCTCAGTCTCCAAAACCTTTTTAAGAAGATACTGGAGCCTCCCTAAGAGAACTGAGTTATGTGTGAGAAACAAGACACAAGGACACGGAAGTGTCACTGGCTGGTACATACTATTTTGGTAAAAATAATTTTTTTAGGGCTCTCGAATTATCAAATTATTACTGCTTTTCATACCTGAACCAGCCAGATGCCATCTTTTGTGTCTTCCACAAGCTCATAGAAGTGCATTTCACCACTGAAATTGGTACTAGAAACCGATTCGGATGCTTCTTCTTCCTTGAGAGCAGAATAGAGCTCACCCTCCATCAAGTCACCTGAAGAAAGGAAAAGAATAACACTAATAAGGTTGCAAGAATCCTAGATTCCCAATTTCAGTAATTCTATTTTTTACACTGTTAAGAATCATGATATTGTACTTTCATTGTATTTTATAGACAAGAACTACTAGAAGAACCTGGATATACCCACTTAGGAGTCATACATTCAATAAATATGTAGTAAGAACTTCCTATGCATCAGGGAAAAGTGAACAAAATAGACAAAAATCCATCTCTTATAGAACAGGGCTTATATTTTAGTGGGGTTATCACATAATTATTAGGAACTTACCAAATTTGTACCACTCCAAAAAGGCACAACTTTCTTAATTATTTAGTTTTATGAATGACACATACAGGCTTCATATACATTTTTAAACAGTATGGCTTATATGCTTCTTACTTAAAAGATGTAGAATTGGGTTCACAGAATTTGCCATCAGCCCTGCTTAAAAGAGCAACAGGGTTTGTATGACTTGGAGGTTAGAACTTTACCTGTTAGACAGAACAAACTCCATATTCATATACAAATTTATATTATAAATTTAGAGCTTGTATCATTAAACAAAAAGGAAAGGAAAACACTAAAATCAAATTATTTTAACTTTCGCCTTAAATATTAAACAGTGAGAAACCAAGTACTGCACCATGATAGCAGCAAAACCATTCACAATAAACACTTAAATTTTAAACTGCTATACCATGACTTTTCTGCCATAAAACGTGTGATTTGAGTCATACTGGGCTGTGCGTCTTAAAGTTAAATGTGGACTTCTAGTACATTCAATGTGCCAAGTATTTTTAGGCCCAAAAGAAGGCAATAATAAATAACAGTCAAAAGAAAAAAAAATGTGTGACCAAATTATTTTCCATAAAAAAATGATGGCTTTGGCAGTTGAGACACTTCTCATCTCTAAACCAAGAGAGTTTATTTATTAGAGATCTTTTACCCTAGTTACTCCACTTCTTCCCCCTATGGTAGAAATAAGAATCGCCATAAACCAGTCAGCAAACAAGGGGCAAGAATAATATACGATTTTATATTTTCTCTAAAGAAACATTTATCACTTCTGCAGAGTGTGTTCCTCTCCTCTACCCTAATAGTGAGATATGAGTTTTATAACCCGCAACCTACAAATATCCAAGTGTTAAACTGCTAGCGAGCTCATACTCTTGTCTATCACGCTACATGTCTATAAGGTACTAAAGAAGGAAAAGATTTGTCTTGTAAAAGATACAGCTGACAAAAATACTTGAAACAACAAAAAAGATAACCATCAGTTTCAGCTGCTTCCCACAGCAACGCAGAAAGCCTTTCTCAAATTACATTCCACTTTCAGGAAGTATATCCAAAGATATACTTTGTGCAGCAGTGAAAAAAATTAACCATATTTCTCACCCAATCCTACCAAAACCAACAATTACTAAAAACACATTCTTTAAGACATTGAATATTCTCTCAGCACTATTTCACGTATATTTCTCAACCCATTAAACAATGCAAGGGTACCTGTGACACAGAAGACAAAAAAAATTTTTCTTTTACACATCCAAGATGCAAATTTTTAAAAATCCTAACAGAAATATAATATAAACTCGAACATGGCAGGCATTTATACAAAATGCTCGCCTTATTTTCACCAAACTTAAAGTCTGAAAAGCTAATACTGTACGGTGTATACTGTCTATATTCAAACTCATGATTTAACATTTAAATCCTAGGCCCAAGTGCCTCTGATAGTAAGTATTCCAAAGATGTGTCCCCACTCTGGGTATCTTATTATTACTATCGTGACAAATATTGCTATTGACAGACAACGTTTTGGAGTTTTTCTTACGTTTTTATGAACTTCAACTGACAAATAATGCTTTCCAGTTTGTAACTAGTTGATATTCCAGAATTTTGAGAAAATCACTCAACTTAGTAAACAACGCTAAGAAGCCACACTTTAAACTGTCATTTTACGATAACCTTAAAAGGATACACCAACACTCCTCCAAATAATTTCAGACTCCTCCTCAAAGCTGGGATCCGCATACTTGATTGTAGGAAGCTTGGACGAAGAAACCTGGGCAGCTTTAACGCTTCCAGGAAAGGCCTCACTCTGGGGGAACAGCCAGGTACCAGGAGGTACAGGTCGTCCCCTCTCCCAGGTGGAGGGGACCCTAGGGGAAGCCCGATACTCGCCTGACTTTTCCACCAGCTCCCGGACATCCTTCTTCTCGGGCAACCCTGAGTAGCCCAACCCCCGGCACTCCAAAATGGTCTTCAGCTTCTTGAAGCTCAGCGCCACCGGATCCACCAGCTGGGTGGCAAAGATGCCAGTTTCATACCACACAATGGCCTCAAAAAACCTGGCCAGGACGAACAGGACCAGGAAATAGAGGAGCAAGAAAAAAAGCTTCAGCCACATCTTCCCTGGAGTTTCCTCTCTTTCCAGAGAGCTCGGAATACGGGAGAGAGAAGGGTCGAGGGCGGGGGCCGCGGCTCGGTGGCAGCTTGGGCGAGGGCCCCGTGTCCACGCGCGGGCCACCCGGCGCCGTCACTGGCCGGCCATCCCCGGCGGGGAAGCAGGTGACGGGATCCGCGCGGGCGCGAGGCGGCGACGAGGGACGCAGAGACGCAGAGCCTCGCGCCGGGCCTCCCAGTCAAGAGCCGACAAAAATAAAGGGGAAAAACTCAAAACCCCCATCCATTAAGCACAGAAAGGAGAGGGGCGCGGGGAGAGCTCGCGGGGAAGAACAAAACGAGGGACGCTTCCCCCGGGGCGGGCACTGACCCAGGTGGCGGGGTCGGCCCTCCGGTGCCGCGATCTCAAGGGGGAGGGGGAGACCAAAAAATAACTCAGATCCGCCCAGGAGGCGGGGATCCGGGCGGCAGGCCGGGGCCCGAGGGGCCGTGGGGGCCGGACTCCCGCGGCCGCGGGTCAGGAGGGCGCGGCGCTCGGCCGGGCCAGGCCCGGGGCCCAGCGTGTTCTGCGCGGGGAGGAGCGGCCGCCGCAACGCCGCGCCCGAAGCCCAGGCCCCAGGCCCCGCCGACCGCCCAGGCTCCGCGAGAAGAGCGGCGGGCACGGCGGCGGCTCCAGGTTCGCTCGGGCCGGCTGGCGGGCGGCGCCTCTCAGGCGGGCGGGCACTGCGGCCCGGCCCAGGATGGGGCGTCGCGGTCTCTGCAGATGGAATCGGTCTCGGAGGGAAAAAACCAATAATAGGCCCCGAGACTGCTCCTCCAGGCGGCTACCCGGCTGCCTCCCGGCCACTCAGCGCCCGTCCCGCTCGGATGGGCAGTGCCGGTCGCAGCACCCGTCCCCAACACCCCCGCCACCTCCGGAGACCGCGGCCGTACCCTCCACAACCGTGTATCAGCGGCGGCCGCGGCCGGAGCCGAGACATAACAACTGACGTCGCGATGAGGCGGGGCCGGGGCGGGGCCTGCAGGGTGCGCCCGCAGGGGCCGAGGGCGGGGAATTCGGGGAGCCGCGGGGCTACCGGACTACCGAACGAGGGGCGGGAGGAGAGGCGGAGCCGCAGCGTGGTCGGGGCCTTCCCGCGGTGCCGAAAGTTGCCTCTCCGTGCTTTTGCGGCGTGGTCTCCCCTTTTGCCCCTCCAATGTTTAGCAATTGATTTTGTCTGAGGATTAGTCTTTAGATTGTATCACTTTGTGTATTTTTTGTAAAAATAGAGCAGTTAATTATTCTCTTAAAATCGGTGAAAATAGAAATGTACGTTTTTTGATGAATCCTGGTGAACAGGGAAATTTTTGGCACAGTTGGTTTGAGATGGTAGAAGGTTAAACCCAGAAAGCAAATGTTTTGCCCCCTCTTCATGAGAATGTGGCTTTGCACATGTGTGTTGGAGGAGGTTTGGCCAAAACTGGAGTTCGCGTTATACTAGGCCCAGTTGTCGCTGCCAGTTACAGCCTTTTCCCTCCTTCAGTCTCAAGGGTGTTAAAAGCCTGGTGTGGACTCCCTGAGTTCCTAGGACAAAGATTGTCGAGTGTAGATAAGTCCAGGTGCAAAGTTCCGGGTGCTTTATTTTGTACATGGGCCTGGCACAGTGGCTCACGCCTGTAATCCCAGCACTTTGGGAGGCCGAGGCGGGCAGATCACGAGGTCAGGAGTTCGAGACCATCCTGGTTAACACGGTGAAACCCTGCCTCTATTAAAAATACAAAAAATTAGGCCGGCGTGGTGGTGGGCCCCTGTAGTCCCAGCTACTCGGGAGGCTAAGGCAGGAGAATGGCGTGAACCCGGGAGGCGGAGCTTGTAGGGAGCTGAGATCGCGCCACTGCACTCCATCCAGCCTGGGTGACATAGCAAGACTCCGTCTCAAAAAAAAAAAAAAAAAAAAAAAAAAAAAAAGAAAGAAAGAAAAGAAAAAAAAGAGTCACATGGACAAGCATGCGATACCTGGTTCTGTGCTTATAAATTTAACCGGGCCGAGCGTACTCTTTACGTCAATCTCTGTGTCAGTCTTGAGGGAGGAAGGAGTTGGGTTCATAAACTGAACAAGGTTGGCTTTGACCAGCCCCTTTTGATAAGGAAGGAAAAAAAAAACAGTAATTACGGGGAAATGTTACTATTTGTGCAAAACTGTCAACTATCTGAAACTAGGGGTGAAAGTTTTAGGAAGAAAGGGATCATGATCCCAGGTCATGGAGCAAGGGAGGAACGGGAAGCAAAGAATGGACTGTGAGAATGTAGCCTCCGAATGGTGCCCATTTAAAATAAAGTGAACAAGGGCATTTCAGTGCCGGGCTAGTGGGGGAGGAGTTGGAAGGGGATGGGCCCAGGGAGCATTGAGAATCAGAGGAGGAGGTGTAGGAATGTCCAGCCAGCAACTGGACACTGCCCCTGTGTCTTTAGCTTCCATGTGGCTTTGTTCTCGTGGCTGGCAGATCAGTGTGGGAGACTGTGTTAAACAACTGATTCTAACAAGCCTGGTTCTGAAATTTCAGAATTCTTGGGCATGTCTTGGTGACCCTTTGATGATATTGTCCAAACCTTGACACTGAAGGTGATGTCCCTCACCTCAAAGGAATGTATGTACTCGCTAGTGAGGAGAGACTGACCCAATCTCAAAAATACAGAATAGGCATGGGCAGGGAAAGTTGGTGTGTGAGCTGAGGGTGGAACCAGTCAGGCCAGAGTTCCAAATTGGAAAAAAACATTAGAGTGTGGGAGGGACTAGAAAGAAGGAATTAAAGAACTCTTTTTAAATTTCTTGTTTGTTTCAACTGCCTCCCATCCCAACCCCCTTGCTTTGTTTCATTCATGGTTAACCCACAGGAGGGATAAAAGCATTGATAAGAGAACACATTGGGTCATCTGAATAAGAGAGTATGGACAAGCACATTCTATGTTGGTGGGGTATACAATGTGGGTTAGAAGCCCCCCATAAAATACAAGCTCTTTGGCACAGTAATCTCTCTTCAGGAAATTTATCTTGAGGAATAATTGGACATGGGCACAAAGATGTGTGTATAGAATTTCGTCGTTGTTGCAGAGTTAATGCTGGAAAGAAAAAAGGAAGAACCCAAATATCTAGTGACAGAGGATTGATCAAATACAGTAATTCAAATGATGAACCATGAGGCAGCCACTAAAAAGAAAAATGTAGACACACGGTTATGGACATGGAACCATGTCCAAAATATAGTGTTTGGTGAAAAAAACCAGGTGACTGAGAAGTTTGCGTCATATGATCCTATTTTTGTATCTGTATTACAAAAAGACAGAGATGTATCCACTAAATTGTTAGGTGTATTCACCTCTAAGTGATGGGATTTAGAATATTTTTTCTTTTATGCTATATCTCTGTTTTATTATATTTTCTGAAATAATCATGTATTACTTTGTAATCTAAAAAAAAAACAACAACAACAAAACAAAACAAAAAAACCCACTAGGACTGTTTTCCTGGTCCGGAGGTTTAGCGGCAGCGGTTCATCCTCTGGGACTCCAAAGATGACAGGGGTTGGAGGTGTGGGCTGTCTTCCCATGAGATTGATTTCAGTTTCCACTAAGCCTAGCTGGGCAGACTAATTAGAATTTATTTTCAAAAACAGAAGAATGTATGAATTATTCATTTTCATAATCTGTTTTTCTAATAGGCTATTAATCTGGGTTATTGGTTTTATATCTCAGATTCTGTTCATATGTAGGATGGCTTAAATGCTTTATCATTTGATATTGTGGCAAGAGTGTGCAAACTGCAATTAAAGGGCCTGGTCCAGTGGACTAGTGTCACCTTGGTAGACAATCAGAAGACCTCCCTAACCTCTTTTTTTTTTTTTTTTTTTTTTTTTGGGAGTTTTCCTCTGTTGTCAGGCTGGAGTTCAGTAGCACGATCTCAGTTCACTGCAACCTCCGCCTCCTGGGTTCAAGCAATTCCCCTGCCTCAGCCTCCCAGGTAGCTGGGACTACAGGCACGTGCCACCACGCCGGGCTAATTTTTTGTATTTTAGTAGAGATGGGGTTTCACCGTGTTGGCCAGGATGGTCTCAATCTCCTGACCTTGTGACCTGCCTGCCTTAGCCTCCCAAAGTGCTGGGATTACAGGCATGAGCCACTGCGCCCGGCCCCTCATTTTTATTATCTATAAAATGGGATAGGATGCTTACCCTATGAAGCTGTCGTAAGGATTAAATGAGTGAGTGATTGTAAAAGTGCTTTGAAGTACACATTGCTTGTAATTAATTTAAAATGAAGAATTAGTTTTTGGATACATTCTAATGTACAGAGGGTAAAAATTGAAAAAAAAAAAACCAAGAATCGGTTTTTGGAAAAAAGAAAATTAAAGTCTTTGACTGAGCTTGATGAACCAGAGTTATTTTATTTAAGGTCCAAAGAGCCTTCTCTTTTTATTTCACTGTTATCAAAATATCATGCACACATAGTTTAAAAAATGAAGTAGCATTTCAGGGCTACATACAAAACTGGGACAACTTTGGGAGTAAAAGGGGCAATGGTAATGAAATTATACCAGACTAGGGAGGAAAAACTGAGAATGTCCCTGACAAACCCTGCTTATAAAAAAACACATTGGCCAGAAGAGGTGGCTCACCTGTAATTGTAGCATTTTGGGAAGCCAAGGCAGGAGGATCACTTGAGCCCAGGAGTTCCAGACCATCCTGGGCAGCATAGTGAGACCCTGTCTCTACAAAAAAATACAAAAAATAAAAATAAACTGGGCATGGTGGGCACCCTCCTGTAGTTCCAGCTACTCAGGAGGCTGAGGCGGAAGGATTGCTTGAGCCCAGGAGTTTGAGGCTGCTGCAGTGAGATGTGATCCCGCCACGGTACTGCAGCCTGGGTGAGAGAGTGAGACCCTGTCTCAACAAAACAAAACAAAACAAAAGACCACATCCCCTGCTTTTCCCTACCATCTCTGATTCCCATTCCTCAGAGACACTGCCTTCAATTATTTTAGCAATTTTTTCATGTTTACCTCTATATTTTCAAAGAATAGGTTTTTACTGCTTTTCTTGCTTTTTCCATTTTATACATTATCTATTGATTTCTTACTATGGACGATGAGGAATTCTGTCTTTTATGCCCTGTATTCATACACCATTTCCCTCCCCTCATTCCCAACATGATTATATTATATATTCATCTTTATATTAATATGCCCATATAAATCTTGTTCATAGCTGAACCATGTAAGAAACCTTTCTTGTGCAATTGTTCATTGCCTCTGGAGTTAATAATTAACTCAAATTTTGGTTTGTTCTATTTTCTATGGCCCCAGCCACTTATTCATCCCCAAACTCTCTGAACTCTAAGATTACTCAAACAGCTAATCTATTAGTTTCATATTTTATTGGAAATAAACCTTCTGTCCTCAGTCCTCCCACTCCAGGTCAGCCTGGCTCCTGTCCAGAGCCACCCACAGCTGTTGTCTCAGGACTTCCCGTCTCTTCTCTTTTGTGCTGGATTCTCTGTTTTCTTGATCCCATGGTTGCACTTTAGTTCTTTCATTTTCTTGTTTGCATGAACACCTCCACGTCTACAGTGGCTTAGTAAGAAAGTGGGCACGGAGATAAACTTTGGATGCCCTACATGTCTAAAAATTCCTTTATTTTACCCCCATTAGTTGTATGGGTTTTTTTTTTTATCAAACTTGGAGAAGACTTAACTTGCAAGAATATTACAAAAAGTGTCCTTACCAATTCACCAATTGTTAACCTTTTGCCCTATTTGTTGAATTACATCTTTTCTCTAGATTATAAGCGCATACTTTTTTTTTTTTTGTGAACCGTTTGAGAGTTAGTTGCAGTTATCCTCATGTTGGATGATAGTTTGGCCAAATATAGAATTCTAAGCTGGACATCATTTTCCCTCAGAAGTTTGAAAGCACTGATCTATTAGCCTTTGGCTTCTATTGTTGCTGTTGGAAGGCTAGCATCGTTCTGACTCCTGCCCTTTAAAAGTGACTTGTTTGTTCTATCTGTATGTTTTTTGAACTTCCTTTCATCTTTGGTGTTCTGAACTTTTATGATATACCTTAATCCAAGTTTCCTTCCCTTCATTATGTTGAGTACTTTTCAATATAGCAACTCATGACGTTCAGTTCTGGGAATTTCTTTGATAATTTCCTCTGTCCATTTTCATTAGCAAGATGTTGGAACTCCTAAATTGATCCTATAATTGTATTCTCTTTTTTCTCCAGTTTTTCTTTCTTTGCCATTCATTTCACTTTCTAAGAGATGTCTTCGCCTTTATCTTTTGCTCCTTCTACTAAATTCTTTTTTTTTAGAGACAGGGTTTTGCTCTGCCACCCAGGCTTCAGTGCAGTGGTGCAATCATAGCTCACTGCAGCCTTGAACTCCCGGGTTCAAGTGATCCTCCTGGCTCATCCTCCGAAGTAGGTGGGACCATAGGCATGCACCATTGTGCCCAGCCAATTTTAAAATTTTTCTCTTGTTGAGATGGAGTCTTTCTATGCTGCCTAGGCTGGTCTCGAACCCTTGGCCACAAGGGATCCTCCCATCTCAGCCTTCCAAAGTACTGGCATCACAAGCGTGAGCCACCATAACTGCCTAAATTTCTAATTTTGTCTATACTCCTTTTTCATTTTCAAAAGCTCTTTCTTGTTACTGGGATGTGCCTTTTCTGTGGCATCCTATTCTTTTTATGTATGCAATATGTTTATTCTCCTATCTTTCTGAAGATATTAAGTATAGTGGTCCCCCCTGAGGTTTCTTTTGCCCTTTGCAGTGCCTCTGGATTCATTTTCTATTTGTTTGCTTTTGACTTTGCCTTTCACATTAGAGGCTCCCTTTAATTGCTCAGTAATTCTTGGGTCTGTATTCACAGGTCCATAAACTTGAGGCACTGAAAAGCTCATTAGAAATTCTTTGAGAGTGAATGGGGCTCACTGTAGGTGAAAGAGAAGAGCCCTACCCATTTCACTGGGAGGATCTATCTATAAGTCCTTTCTCCACGCTGTTCTCTTTCTTAAGAGAGGAATCCTGCCTAGAGAGTTCAAGTATGGCTGCCAGCATTCTGGGACTGAGTGGGAAAAGGAGCTGGGGTTATCAAGTCTTAGCCGTTAGGCTTGTGCCTAATCCCATGGTTTTCAGTAGGGTGTCTCATCTCTTCTCCCTTGCTTAGCTCTGAGCTAGGAGAGCCAATCCATTCACTTCAGAGGATAAACCTCCCACCTTCCACTGGGCTAGGAGAGGGGCAAGTGCCTGGCTGCACAGGGCCCAACTGTACTTTATGAGACTTTGGGCAAATCCTCGGTTTTGTGCCTCACCCTCCACCCTGGGCTTCTAAAGCGCTGTGCTTCCCATTTCTGACTTTTCCTGGGTTCTGTGGCACTAACTGGTTAGTGTGGCAGAGGTCATGCCACGGATCCAGCATGTCATTGTGTCTTCCCAGGAGTCTAAACGGACCATACCTTATGGCCTTTCTTGCAGTTAGGTTGGGTAAGTGACTGAATTGTAATTAGTGGGAGTGATGCCCACCCCTTTCAGACCTGACCCTAAAAAACAGCCTCTAGCCCTTTCCAGACTGTGTGGCCAGGGAGTGGGGTGGGCCCAGAGCACAGCCCTGAGACCTTTGCTCTATAGCAGGCCCTTTAAACTAGGGATGAAAGAGTTGGGCCCTGGGGCCCCTGGGATTTGTTCTCATCTTTAGCTGAGATATACATATCGCTCCCTCACACACATGTACACATACATACATACATATATATTTGCTATAGAGCCGTCTGCATCCAAGACGCAGTCAATTCCAGAGTACCAGGGGAGTAAGGCCCGGGCTCCCAGGAACCTGAGAATTGGGAGCATAGGAAAAATAATCCTTCACTACCTTGCTTTCTGTTGGGGCAAGGAGAGTGGCAGACAGAGGCAAAGGAAAAGACTCTATTGTCTTTACTTCGCTCCCTAACTGCATTATTAAGAACACATTTTGGTTTAAAAAAAGTGTAAAAATGGCTAGAAATGGTAAAAAAAAAAAAAAGGCTAGAAATCTGCATCTTACTTAGATAGATGGGATGGGTCGGTTTATTATCTTAGATCTGGCTGATAAACACAGCTAGGCACAGATTTTAGGCAGGTAAGCAAGTGACTTTAAGTCTGTCTCCTGGCCGGGCATGGTGGCTCATGCCTGTAATCCCAGTACTTTGGGAGGCTGAGGCGGGCGGATCACAAGGTCAGGAGATCGAGACCATCCTGGCTAACATGGTGAAACCCCATCTCTACTAAAAATACAAAAAAATTAGCTGAGCGTGGTGGTGGGTGCCTGTAGTCCCAGCTACTCTGGAGGCTGAGGCAGGAGAATGGCGTGAACCCAGGAGGTGGAGCTTGCAGTGAGCCAAGATCATGCCACTGCGGTCCAGCCTGGGCAACAGAGCGAGACTCCGTCTCAAAAAGAAAAAAAAAAAGTCTGTCTCCAGCATGTAGACATATTCGATATTTCATTTGGGGACATAAATATTAATTTCATTAGCGACTAATAATAAACAGTATGATATGGGTTTCCCTTGACCTAGGAAAGTTCACCCTTCAGCAGTTCGCCCTGGGGGCTCTTTGCCAGTTCCACAACTGTTACAAGGTGAAGCCAGGAGGTGCACACACACACACCCTGCCACCTACAGTCCCCCTGGATTCTTCCCTCTCAGCCCAAGCTCCTCTTCCCTTTTCTAGCCCTTTCCTCCCACATTTCCCACACTTACACAAGCCCACTTCCGGGGAGTCCCCTAAACAGTTAAACAAAGATCATTGAAAATACTTATAATCGATTTCTGTATTCCCAGACTGATTTACATTTTGAAAGCTTACCACTGGGCAGTATGTAATTGTATCATTTATAGTTGATTTAAATATGGCATTTATGGTCAATAAAAAAGGAGAGTTAAGATTAAGCCGTCAGCACGCACCTACCTACTGTATCGGTGCTGTGAGAAAATCCAACTTGCCACAGAATACCTTCTCCAGGCCCAGCCCCTGCTGCGATTGTGAGCCTCTTTCCTGTCCTTCCTGTGTGGAGATGACCCTGTTGACTGACTCACCACAGCATTGGTCCCAAGCTGCTTTTCCCAATGCATTAAGGCCATTATCTGCAGGAATGAGCAATGCCAAGTGCTTTATTCCGAGCTCTATCTGGCACTCGAGCTGGTGTCTTCAAAAGAAGGACTGCCTTTTCACCAGAGAGATACCTGTAGAAACTGGCTTTCAATAAAGCTGAAAGGAATGCACCCTGGGGCAGCTCGCTTTGTACATTGCCATCCCGATAATAAACAGCTCTTCTACTCTGGCCAGCCAGCCTGCCAGTCAGCTTTTTGAGTGATTTCCTTGAAGATGAGGTTGCCAAAATGAGGAATACACAGCGTCAAAACAGAACATTACAGGACTGCAGTTATGGGAGGTGATGGTTAGTCACACAGTTTAATAATCTCAAATTCCTGATTTCTCATTTCCCTTTTTTCCACCACCTTTTCCCATGCACAGTCAAAAAATTATATCAGGGCTGGGCACGGTGGCTCACGCCTATGATCCCAGCACTTTGGGAGGTCAAGGTGGGCGGATCACTTGAGGTCAGGAGTTTGAGACCAGCCTGGCCAACATGGTGAAACCCCTTCTCTACCAAAAATAAAAAAATTAGCCAGGCATGGTGGTGCATGCCAGTAGTAATCCCAGTTATTAGGGAGGCTGAGGCACAAGAATCGCTTGAACCCGGGAGGCAGAGGTTGCAGTGACCCAAGATCGTGCCACTGCACTCTAGCCTGGGCAACAGAACAAAACTCTGTCTCAAAAAAAAAAAGAAAAAAGAAAAAAGAAAAGAAGAAATTATATCAACGGTTGGCAGCTTCCTCTGCAGAAAACAGTCACCAGTGCTATCTTCTGCCAACACCAGTAACAGCAGGCAGTAGGACTCCCTGAATAAACATTTTGAAGGCAAAGGTAAAGAAGGGTGGAATAAGCAAATAAGAAGTCACCATTCCTCCTGGAGTAAACCATTCCCTCCTCTGATTGCCTGAAGCTAACCATGAGACAGCAGGACTGGCTACATAATTTTCCAGCCTAGTACAAAATGAAAATGCAGGCCCTTGTTCAAAAGGCTAGGAAGAAAAAGTGCCATTAAAAGTGCTGAAATACAAAGCTTTTCCTTTCTTTCACCATCTATCTTGACCTGTCGGTCATGATGTGCTTTTAAAATTTGCTCTTTAATATAGTTCGCCTTTGGGCAGGGGATACTCCCAGGGCAAGTGTGAGTCCTCACAGGCTCCGGGGTCCCCCTCCCTCCAGCCACAGGCCAATGCTTGGTGCCGGGCCAACCTGCAGCAGATGGTTGGCCCTGAAGGGATTGAAACCTCAGTGCCAGGACAAGCTCAGTGCCTGGATTGGGGGTGGGGCAGAGGCGAGTTGCCCCCTAACAGTTGTGGTGCTGCCAGGCCCTGCTGCAAAGAGACCCTGGATGCCCAGCCTCAAGTCTCCCCGGGTGCAACTCCAGGTCCCTATTGAAAGCAGAGGATGACAGCAGAATGTTACCCCCCAACCCCCACCTCTGCCAGACACAACATAGTTGCCATCCCAGTTAAAGGCAGGCAGGGGCCACAGTGGGGAGAGCAGATGTGGAGAGGGGGTGGCTGGGCAGGGTCCCAGGAACCAGGCAATGGAGAACAGGCTGCCAAGGACCTATTCTCAGGGAGGTGGGGAGCTGGCAGCAGGCAGAACCGCATGTAAGCTAATGGCACGTGCTTCAATGTCCATTGGACTTCACTTGCAAAACACAAATTCAAAGATTAAATTATTAAGAATTCAAGACACAAATTCAAAGATTAAATTATTAAGAATATCAAGCAACTGCAGAGCATTAAACTCCAAGCATGCAGGGCTCTTCTGAACCTGGGGCCATGTGCAGCTGCACTGTTCCCATACCCATGAAATCCGTCCTCTGCAACCAAATTATTGAAATCAGTGAAGGTCCAGAAAATGTGTGTTCAGAAACGTATTTGTAGCATTTCTCATATGCTGCCTTGTACATAGTCTTATTTCTATACTACCCTCTTTCCTTCCTGCATGCCA
This sequence comes from Homo sapiens, assembly GCF_000001405.40. Classification (NCBI taxonomy): domain Eukaryota; kingdom Metazoa; phylum Chordata; class Mammalia; order Primates; family Hominidae; genus Homo; species Homo sapiens. Next base: position 86,634,007 of record NC_000002.12, read on the forward strand.
TCTGCATGGCCTAGCTCCTGTGCTTTCAGGCTAATCTCTAGCATGTTAGAGCTCCCCTCTCTAACCCTGATCTGTAAAATGGAAACAATAATGATGATCTCATAAAAGTGTTGTGAGGACCAAATGAAGTAAAGCTTAGAAGCCATTTAGCCCAGAGCCTGGCACATGTTTGTTTGTTTGTTTTTGTTTTTGAGATGGAGTCTCGCTTTGTCACCCAGGCTGGAGTGCAGTGGCGTGATCTCAACTCACTACAACCTCCGCCTCCCGAGTTCAAGCTATTCTCCTACCTCAGCCTCCTGAGTAGCTGGGACTACAGACGTGCCCCACCATGCCCAGCTAATTTTTCTATTTTTAGTAGAGATGGGGTTTCACCATGTTGGTCAGGCTGGTCTCAAACTCCTGACCTTGTGATCTGCCTGCCTCGGCCTCCCAAAGTGCTGGGATTATAGCGTAAGCCACCGCGCCCGTCCAAGGCATATGTTTTATACATGCAAACACACACACACACACACACACACACACACACACGTGCCCACATACACTGATAGGAATGCATCTCTGCTATGACACATAGGGACAGTACCAGAGTACACAGAAGACACTTAATAAGTCTATTTTTAGACAAAAGAACACAGGGTGAACATGTTTTAAGTGTCAATCTGGCTAATGTATATTTTAAATGAAATGTAGTGCAAATGGAAGTCTGTTAAGTTACAGAGAGACTAGAAAAGGATTTTTCAAAAATTAAAGTCATTATGGTAGAGTAATTCTGAAAGTAAGCTCAATTTAATTAAGCACATGGCAAAAATAAAGTCTTAAAAAGCTTGATAAATATAATTTTAGTATGAAAATTAGGTCTTCTAAGGAAAGATGAAGAAAATTGGAATTGGTTAGCATGAAGAAAAGAAAGAGAAAGAGAACTTCAAGATAGCGAAATTGCTCTCAATTAAAAGGGGGAGATTAAAGTGTACATTTTGTGGACTGGGGTGGTGGCTAACGCCTGTAATCCCAGCACTTTGGGAGGCCGAGGAGGATTACTTGAGCCCAGGAGTTTGAAACCAGCCTAGCCAACATGATGAAACCCTGTCTCTACTAACAACACAAAAATTAGCCCGGTGTGGTAGTGCACACCTGTAGTCCCAGCTACTAGGGAGGCTGAGACATGAGAATCGCTTGAACCCTGGAGGTGGAGGTCGCAGTGAGCCGAGACTGTGCCACTGCACTCCAGCCTAGGCGACACAGCAAGGCTCTGTCTTAAAAAAATAATAAACAGTAGATTCTGAAACAGCTTTCCTTGCATGTCTAAAATAAAAGTATTGCATGTAAAAAAATAAATAAAATAAAGTGTACATTTTGTTACAAAAGTAATTCATATTTATTATAGAAGCATTAAAAAATACACATAAGCAAAAAGAAGAAAATGTAAAATAGGCATAATCCCACCACTCTCATATAGCAAACAAGTTCATATAAACTGAATATCCTACTGTAAATATAGGTTTGATAACCTCAATAGTTCTGGGCATTTTCATTTTTAAAAATATTTGCCAGTTTTGCAGCTGAAATGGTATCTCATTGCTATTTTAACTTAAATTACTTCTTAGAATAATAAATTACTTATTTCCTCATATGTTTATTGTTTACACATATTTTTCTTTCATGAATTGCCCATGTCCTCTTAGACCTTTGTTTTTGTTTTGTTTTGTTTTGTTTTGTTTTTAAGACAGGGTCTTATTCTGTCACCCAGGCTGGAGTGCAGTGGTGCAATCGTAGCTCACTGCAGTCTTGATCTCCTGGGCTCGAGAGATCCTCCCACCTCAGCCTTCCGAGTAGCTGGGACTACAGTTATATGCCACCACGCCCAGCACTTTTTTAGTTTTATTTATGTATTTATTTATTTTTGCAGAGACAGGGTCTTGCTATGTTGCCCAGACTAGTGTCAAACTCCTCACCTCACACAATTTTCTTGCCTTGGCCTCCAAAAATGCTGGTATTACAGGTGTGAGCCACCGCACCTGGCTTAGACCATTTTTTATATCCTAAATGGATATAACAAACATCCTAGTTTGTTTTTCTCTTAAAAAGTTATCAACATTTAAAAGAACATATAAAAAGTACAGAAAGTAACACAGCAGGCACAGTGTTTCTATGTGTGTTTCAGAAAAAGGGGCCTGCTAGGGGTGGGAGAGGGACTATATTAACACAATCGGCCATGTGGCTAGAAAAATAAGCAAAATGTCTTTTTTCCATGCTGACGTGCAAGAATGTTTTTGTACATTAAAGATGCTAACCCTTTCACATGCTATGAAGCTTTGGCCTGGATATTTCTGATCAATTCATCAGGGTGACTACTAAGAACAGAACAAAAGGAAATTTATTTAAATAAAAATAAACATTTTTAAGCAAAGCACAGTGGCACATGCTTGCAGTCCCAGCTACTTGGAAGGCTGAGGTGGGAGGATCCCTTGAGCCCAGGAGTTCAAGGCCAACCTGGGCAGAAAAGCAAGACCTTGTCTCTAAAAAGTAAAATAAATAAATTAAAAAAAAATTTAGTTGGATATGAAAAATAATTTCTTGACCACGAAGAGAATCAATTCAGGAAAAATTAATTTATCATTATGGAGTCATTCTCTGATCCACCATCCCCTGTCTATAATTTACATTAAACTTCATGGGCCAGAAGACAGGGGCTAGACCAAATGGTTGTTCATCCTTTCTTCTAGTTTAGTTTCTTTCTACGTTTATTTTCTTATATTCCAAGAAGTAGTAATTTCTAAAAGATTTGGGTTACCTGGTTAATCTTATTTAACTTTTGATCCTCCCCATCACAAGCAAAACAAGATCAATCTTTGCAGAAGTTTTGAGTCAGGGCTGCTAAGTCTAATGTTATTTGGTGGTTCTGCAAATGAATGTCAATTCTATTATGTAACAATTGGAACAAGTGCTTTATTTATTAAGAAACAGGGCCAGGTGCTGTGGCTCACGCCTGTAATCCTAGCGCTTTGGGAGGCCAAGGCGAGTAGATTGCTTGAGCTCAGGATTTTGAAACCAGCCTGAGCAACATGGTGAAACCCCGTCTCTACCAAAAATTAGCCAGGTGTAGTGGTGTGTAACTGTGGTCTCAGCTACTTGGGAGACTGATATGGGAGGATTGCTTGAGCCTGGGAGGCAGCGGTTGCAGTGAGCTGAGATTGCACCACTGCACTCCAACCTGGGTGACAGAGTGAGACCCCATCTCAAAAAGAAGGGAAGAGAAGAGAAGAGAGGAGGGGAGGGGAGGGGAGGGGAGGGGAGGGGAGGGGAGGGGAGGGGAGGGGAGGGAAGGGAAGGGAAGGGAAGGGGAGAACACCATGCTTACTGCAGAGTGTGGTAGTCATTAGTACTATATACAAATATTCAACTATTCTTCCAAACATGTGGTGAGAATGTACTCTCCGGCCTCCCTGGAGTTAGGTGTGGACATTTGGACTTTGACTGGCCAATGAAACATGAGAAGAAGTGACATTTTTCACTTCTGGGCTGAAGTTAAAAAAAAAAACACTTTATTTCTAAATGTGCACTTTATTGTACGTCAATTATATCTCAATAAAAATAGATATATGTGTATATATATATACACACACGCTAAAGTTTACACATAAATTTTATATTCAGATACATAAGCTTTATATATATAAACTTTACAGTAAACTACATGTTTAAAGTCTACAATTTTCTTTTTTTTTTTTTGAGATGGAGTTTCGCTCTTGTCACCCAGGCTGGAGTGCAATGGCGCAATCTCGGCTCACTGCAACCTCTGCCTCCCGGGTTCAAGTGATTCTCTTGTCTCAGCCTCCTGAGTAGCTGAGATTACAGGTGACTGCTACCATGCCTGGCTAATTTTTTGTATTTTTGGTAGAGACGGGGTTTCACCACGTTGGCTAGGCTGGTCTCGAACTCCTGACCTCAGCTGATCTGCCCACCTCAGCCTCCCAAAGTGCTGGGATTACAGGCGTGAGCCACTGTGCTCGGCCCAAGTCTACAATTTTTACATGTGTATACACGCATGAAATCCTCACTGCAGTTGAGACAGTGAACATACCTATCACCCCCAAAAGTTTTCTCATAAGCCATTGTAATCCCTCCCTCCCACACCATCTCATCTCCCATCTCTAAGCAGACACTGATCTGCTTTATGTCACTATGGATTGTTTGCATTTTCTAGTTTTATATACATTTAATCATATAGTATGTACTCTTTTTTTTAAGCAGGCTTCTTTCACTCAGTATGATAATTTTAAGATTCATCCATATGTTGTATATAGCAATCACTATTTTTATGGCTGAGTAGTATTCCATTTTACAGGTATGCCATAGTTTATCCATTCACCTCTTGATGGACAGTGGCGCTATTTCCAGCTTTTGGCTATTACAAGTAAAGCTTTTATGAATATTTGTATAAAAGTGTTTATATGGTTATATATTGAATTTCCTCTTGAGTAAATATCCAGGAGAGGAATGGGTGGATCATGCTGTCATGATCCATGAACATTATATGTTCAACTTCTTAAGAAACTGCCTAATTGTTTTCCAAAGTGGTTCTACCATTTACATTATCACAAAAATTCACAAGAGTGCAGTTCCTCCACATCTTCATAATGCTTGGCATGTCAATCTTTTAAATTTTAGCCATTCTAATAGGTGTGTAGTGTTATCTCATTGTGGATTTAATTTGCATTTTCCTAATGGCTAATAATGTTGAACACTTTAGTATGTGCTTCTGCAGAAGAGATATTTGCCTAATCTGAGGTCACAAAGACTTTCTCCTATGTTTTCTTCTAGAAATTGTATAGATTTATGTTTCTAAATTTAGGTCTATGATCCATTTTGGGTTAATCTTTGCATGTGGTGTGAGCTTGGTTCTAAGTTCATTTTTTCCCACGTGCTTATGCAATTGCTCCAGCATGATTTGTTGAGAAGGCTATCCTTTCTCTACTTCATTACCTTTGCACCTCAGTCAAAAATCAGTTGCCTATATTTGTGTGGATTTATTTATGTACTTTTCATTCTGTTCTGTTGAGTTATTTTTTAAACTTTATATCAATTTCATACTGTATTCATTAATGCTGCATTATAATAATTCTTGAAATCAGGTTGTGTCATCCCAACCTTGTCTTTTTCAGAGTTGTTTGGTTATTCTAGGTTCTTCGTATTTCCATAAAAATTTCAGATCCAGCTTGTCAATTCTGGAAAAAAAAAACCCTTCTGGGACTTTGAGTAGGATTGTATAGGATCCATAGATCAATTTGAGAGCAACTGATATCTTTATAACACTGAGTCTTCTGATCTATGAGCAGGGCATATCTCTCCATTTGTTTAGGTCTTCTTTAATTTCTTTCAGCAATATTTTGTAGTTTTAGTGTATAGGTAGTTTGCTAATTTTGTGAAGTTTATCTCTAAGTATTTCATTTTTGTATTTTCATAAGTGATATTTTTAAACATTTCAATTTCCAATTATTTGTTGCTAGTATAGAAAAATATATTTGATTTTTTATATTTTGTTCTATTCTAGAATCATGCTAGTCTCAATTATTAGTTCTAATTGATTTCTTTGTAGATTCTATGATATTTCCTACACAGTCATGTCACCTGCAATAAAAATAGTTCTATTTCTTCCTTTTCAATCTTGATGACTTTTATTTCTTTTTCTTGCCCAATCACACTGGCTAAAACCATTGGTACAATGTTGAATTTAAGTGCTAATAGCAGACATTCCTGACTTGTTCCTGGTGTTAGGGGGGAAGTATTTAGGCTTTCATCATTAACTATGATGGTTGCTATAGGTTTCTTAGCTGCCTGTTTTCAGGTTGAAGAAGTTTCCTTTTAATTTGAGTTTTCTGAGAGTGTTTATCAGGAATGAATGTTTAACTTTGTTAAATGTTTTCTCAACATCTATTGAGATAATCATATAATTTTTTTTAGTTTGTTAATATGTTGAATTATATTGATTAACTTTCAAATGTTAAGCCCTGCATTCCAGAGATAAATCTCACTTGGCCATATGATATATTGTCCTTTTAATAATTGTTGAATTCAGTTTGTTACCATTTTGTATATGGCTTATTTATGAGAGATATTGGTCTATAGTGTTCTCTTCCTGTAATGTTTTTGTCTGATTTTGTTTTAAGGGTAATCCTGCCCTTGGAGAAAGAATTGGGAACTATTCCCCTATTTTAAATATTTTTGAAGAACTTTGTGTAGAATTAGTATTACTTGTTTTCCGTAAGTGTTTGGTAGAATTCACCCATGATGTCTTCTGGGCCTGGAGTTTTCTTTGTGGTAGGTTTTTGAACTATGTCATTTTCTCTAATAAGCATAGGGCTATTTAGACTATTTATTTCTTTTTGAGTGAGTTCTGGTAATTTGTGACATTCAAGGAAATTATTAATTTCATCTAAATTGTCATATTTATTGGCTTAAATTGTTCATAATATTCCCTTATTATCCTTATAATATCTGTAGCATCTGAAATGATGTCACCTCTCTTATTCCTCTCATTGTCATTTGTTTATTCGTTTTCCACTAATATGTCTAGCAACATTTCTTATCAATTTTATTGATTTTCTCAAAGAACCACCTTTCGATTTCATTGATTTTATCTATTCTTTTTCTATTTTCTTTTTTTGAGATAGAGTTTCACTCACCACCCAGGTGGGAGTGCAATGGCGCAATCTCGGCTCACTGCAACCTCCACCTTCAGCAATTCTCCTGCCTCAGCCTCCTGAGTAGCTGGGATTACAGGCACCCGCCACCACACCCAACTAATTTTTGTATTTTTAGTAGAAACAGTTTCACTATGTTGGCCAGGCTGGTCTCGAACTCCTCACCTCAGATGATCCACCCGCTTCAACCTCACAAAGTGCTGGGGTGAAGACGTGAGCCACCATGCCTGGCCTGTTTTTCTATTTTCTGTTTCATTAATTTTGCCTTGATCTTATTTTTTGTTTTCTTCTGCTTAGTTTTGATTTAATTGTCTCTGCTTTTTCCAGTGCCTTAAAGAGGAAGTTGAGGTTATTTATTTGAAAACTTTCTTTTACTGTAAGTGTTTGGTGCTATAAATTTCCCTCTAAAAAATGCCCTAGCAACATCTCAAAAGTTCTGATTTGTTATGTTTTTCTTTTTAAAAATTTTTCAGCTGAATTTAAAATTTGTTTTTTTTTATTTTTACCCATTCAAAATAATTTTAATCACTTTTTAATTTATTCTACCTATATGTTATTTAGAAGTATATCATTTAGTTTCCAAATATTTGGGGATTTATCTAAAAATATATGTTATTAATATCTAATGTTACTCCATTATGGTCAAAGAACATACTTTGCACGGCTTGAATCTTTTTGAATGTATTGAGACTTGTTTTATGACCAGAATATGATCTATTTTGGTGAATGTTCCATACACACTTGAGAACAATATGTATTTGACTGTTATTGGTGTTTGATAAGTGACAATCAAGTCAAGTTGGTTAATATTATTTACATCTGCTTTATCCTTGCTGAATTTCTGCAAACGGTATTGAAATCTCCAATTCAACTTGTGGATTTGTCTACTTGACACTATCAATTTTTGTTTCATGTATTTTGAAGCTCTGTCACTAAGTGCATCATTTTGATTATCATTATGAAATGAACCATTATCCACAGTGATATCCTTTGTTTTGAGATCTACTTAGTCTGAAACTAGTGCAGGTATTTTAGCTTTCTTATGGTGCATCTTTTTCTCTTCTTTTACTTTGAACTTAGATCACTTGGTTAACATGGTGTCTGTCAGGTTTTTTAAATGAAAAGTTGTTACTGTTCTCTTTGTAATTAGTAAGTATCTGTGGAGAGATACTTAAAAACTATCCTGTTTCTCTTTTTTATTTATTTTTTGTGTGTGTGTGAGACAGAGTCTTGCTTTGTCACACAGGCTGCAGTGCAGTGGCTCGATCTCTGCTCACTGCAACCCCTGCCTCCCTGGTTCAAATGATTCTTGTGCCTCAGCCTCCTGAGTAGCTGGGATTACAAGTGTGTGCCACAAGGTTCGGCTAATTTTGTTTGTATTTTTAGTAGAGATAGGGTTTTGCTACATTGGTCAGGCTGATCTCAAACTCCTGGACTCAAGTGATCCATCCACCTGGGCCTCCCAAAGTGCTAGGATTACATGTGTGAGCCACCTGCCTGCCCCTCCCCCACTTTTTTTTTTTTTTAAGACCAGGTCTCACTATGTTGCCTAGGCTGGACTCAAACTCCTAGCCTGAAGTGATCCTCCCATCTCAGCCTCCTGAGTAGCTGGGACTACATGTGCCTGCCACCACACCCTCATTATACTTTGTCCATGAATTTTAGCATTCTTTGCTAAAATGATGCTTGCCTGCAACAGTTACTATTGTGGTATTTGCCAAATGGTGATTTTCTGTCTTCATCTTTCTATCTACATTTGTTAATTGGAATTCTCCTTCAAGGAAAAGCTGTCTATTCTCCTCCAATTATTTACTTATTCAATTTTTATATTAGTATGTACTCAAGGGTATTTATTTTATTCTATGATTTACAATCCATTACTATTCTTATTTTTATTGGTCACATTGTCCCAGATTTGGCCACTGGGAGCACCTTCACATTGACTCATCTATGTTTTTCAATATTCCCCTGGGATTTTTTAGCATTTTCTTACTTTCTTTTTCCAGAAGATGTTCTAGGCTTTTGTAACTTTTTGCCCTAACTTTGGAAAAAGACATTTCTCTGAGAAGCCCTGGTTTCCTTTAATGGAGAATGGAATTTTGAAACCAAGATCTCGATTCTAGGTGTGCTCATTGCTTCTAGGGTGTCATTGCTTCTAGACTCAACAGAGAGAACTAAGAAATGTATGTATGTTTGCACATACATATGCACACATCTACATTTATTTCTGTACTTATCTATTTGCATATATGTTGGAAACCAACAGTCCACTCTGAAACCTTCACTGCCAATCCAACACTATCAAGTTCATTCTAAACTCCCTGTTTCCTTTTTCCCTCTTCTGACAGTGAGAAACCTGGCTGTCATTATCCATAATACATTTATTTATTTTTGTAGTCCTAGAATACCCATAAAGTAGTTTTAGAATTGTTCATCTGTTTCTCTGTGAAAAACAAATTTATTAATTAGAATGCAATATTTGTGTTCCTTTTACTGTCAGCCTTGCAGTAGCCAGTCAAAATACTCTTTCCCAGTTACTTAGGTTAGTTCTTTTCTTTCCTACCACCTTCAGTACTGTTATTCATATGTATTACAGCTAGGTTGATTTGTTATCATTTGTATCTACTTGCATTTCCTCTGACACTTGTGGCTGATTTTATTTACGTATTTAGTTTAAAAGTTAAGATACAATTCACATTCCATAAAATTCACCATTTTAAAGTATACAATTCAGTGGTTATTAGTATGTTCACAAAGTTAGTCAATCACTATCATTTTCTAATTCCAGAGCATTTCATCCCTTAAAAAGAAACTGATATGGTTTGGATCTGTGTCCCCACCCAAACTTCATGTTGAATTGTAATCCCCAGTGTTCGATGTGGGGCCTGGTGGGAGGTGACTGGATCATGGGGGAGGTTTCTAATGAATGGTTTAGCACCATCCTCTTGATGCTGTCCTTGCAATACTGAGTGAGTTCTGTGAGATCTGGTTGTTTGAAAGTGTGTACCACCTCCCCAGCCCTTGCTCCTGCTCCGGCCATGTGAATATCTGCTCCCCCTTTGCCTTCCATCATGACTGTAAGTTTCCTGAGGCCTCCCCAGAAGCCACCAGATGCCAGCATCATGCTTCCTGTACAGCCTGTGGAATCATGAGACAATTAAATTTATTTTCTGATAAATTACCCAGTCTCAGGTATTTCTTTCTTTCTTTTCTTTTCTTTCTTTTTTTTTTTCTTTTTGAGACTCAGGGTGGAGTGCAGTGGTGCCATCTCAGCACACTGCAACCTCTGTCTCCTGGGTTCAAGTGATTCTCCTACCTCAGCCTCCTGAGTAGCTGGGATTACAGGCTTGTGCCATCACGCCCGGCTAATTTTTGTATTTTTAGTAGAGACGGGGTTTCACCGTGTTGGCCAGGATGGTCTCGATCTCTTGACCTCATGATCTGCCCGCCTCGGCCTCCCAAAGTGTTGGGGTTACAGGCATGAGCCACCACGCCCAGCCAAGTCTCAACTATTTCTTTATAGCAATGTGAGAATGGACTAATACAGAAACCCAGTACCCATTTGCAGTCGTTCCATATTACCCTTCTCAACCCCCCACCCCTAACACAGCTTCTGGTTACCACTAATCTGCTTTCTGTCTCTGGATTTGTCTGTCTGGATATGTTATATATTCTTCATCTAGCATAATGTTTTCAAGATTCTCCATCCTATAGAATGCATCAGTACTTCATTTCTTATTACATTCTTATTATATTTCTTGAATAATATCCCATTGTATGAATATACCAAATTTCATTTAGTCTATTTATTTTTTAGTTTGTGGAATCTCAACATGGTTCTAAAAGTTAGAACTATACAAAAAGGTATAATCAGAGAAGTGTAACTTCCCCTCAATCCTTTATCCTGTTCTTCCTCCTCCATTCTTCCCATCCTGGTCCCATCCGCTCTCTGCAGTTAGTTTCTGATGCATCCTTACTTTATTTCTTTTTGCAAAAATAAGATCATGTATACTTTCTTATAAACCTTTCTTTTTCACATGAAAGGTAGCATACACTCAACACTTTTCTTGAACTTTAGAAAGCAAAATTTTAAAATTTGTGAGTTGTGATAGGAAAATTATAACTTGGTGTTAACTGGTTACTGTCTTATTCCTCAGAAGCCCTCACAGCCAACCAAAGCTGTTGTCATGGTCTAGTTCCCAGTTTAATTCAAGTTGACAAGTGTTGGTTGAACACTGATTACAAATGCTCAAGCCCTCGCTTCTGAATGGATTACAAAAATAAGGAAAGCAAAGTGCCTGCTTTCAAGGAATTTACAATCTAAACATGAACTACTAAAACTAGGAAAGACATGGTAAATTCAAAAAGGGGATTAAACAAAGAGCAATGGGCATTCAAAAAAGGGAAAAATTAGGAAAGGTATCACCTAGGAGGTGGCACTTGAGAAGGGTCTTGACAAAAACAGCTCAATTTTGACAGATGGAGATAGTAGGGGCAGTCCTCCAGAGTCCTCCAGAGGAAACAGCATAGGCTCTGAGACAGGAAAACACAGTGTATGCTTGGGGAACATCATTTTGACTGGAGTTTTGGGAAGTAGTGAGAGATAAGGCTGTAAGGATAGCTTGGAGAATATTTATAAGACCCTGAAGTCTTTATACTTAGTTGGATAGGCATTTGCATGCCATTGACATTTTTTAGAGCAAAAGAATCTTTTCTTTTCGCCTCCTACCTTCAGGCCCTGGTGGGGCTACATCTACCATCAAGGTCTGGAAAATTTCAAGTGGTTGGATTACATCACTAACTCCCTTGCTTAAAACCCTTTACTGGTTCCCACTGCACTTAGGATAATCAAAATTTCTTTCCAGGCTCTGCATGGTTTGCCTTCTAACTATCTTATTTCCTATCTTTCTTTCCCCCCACTTTGTTCAGTACATTCTGCTTCCATCAGCCTCCTCTCACTTCCTCAAACACAACCAGGGTCTCTTTGCTCTAGACCTTCCCTCTGCCCTGAACATTCTTTCCCAGCACTTTGCATCCATGGTACAATAGGCAGTTTCTAAGATGGCCCCACTCACCCCTGCCTCCTGGTATTCACACCTTTGTAGAATCCCCACCCCTTGAGTACGGGTTGGATTTAGTGACTCGCTTATAGTGAATAGAATGCAGTGAAAATGATGGGTTACTCGAAGAAGGCAGCTCCCATTCAGGCTGCCCTCTCTCTCTCACCTTGCTGGCTTGCTCTGAGGGAAGTGCCTCCTACCTATTGTCAGCTGCCGAATGGACAGGCCCATATGACAAAGAACTGATGTTTCTGGCCAACAGCCAGTGAGAACCCAGAGCCTGCCAATAGTCATGTGGGTGCAATTGGAAGCCCATTCTCCTGCAGGACAGCCTTGGGCTGACTGGAGATCCAGCTAATACCCAGAATTTAGCCTCATGAGAAAGAAACCCTGAGCCAGACAAACCCAGGCAAGCCATGCTCTGATCACTGACCCACAGAAACTGTGAGATAACAAATGCTTGTAATTTTAAGCTGCTACATTGTGGGATAAGTTGTTATGCAGCAATAGGTAACAAACATACATGGCCGGCTTGCTCTCATCCTTCACCACTCAGCTCAAGCATCACCTTCTCAACAGCCTTTCCTAACCACCCTGGCTAAAGCAACTTTCTCCCTGTCTTGCTTCTTCCCCAAGTTACTTCCTAATATGGTGCCCGGTTTTCTTTCTTTCATAGCACTTATTACCATCTTTAATTCCTTTACTGTGTATTATCTGACATCCCACAACTGGAATGTAAACTCCTAAAGGGTAGGGCACTGGACTGGCTAGTTCACTGCTCTAACCCCAATACCTAGAACAATACCTGGCTCAAGTACTTGGCGAGTACATGGAAGGGAGTAATGTTTCTGAATTACTTTCTCCAGAAATTTCCTGGTGTTCAGAAAAGCCAAATCCGATGAGGCGAGCATAATCTATGCTTTGATAAGAACCTTGACAGCCAACAAGTCCTGGGGCTGTTTTCAGGTTTTAGCACAAGGCCTGCTTTTATTTTTTGGATCAGGAAAGTTACTTGCCAGAGCCACAGAGCTAGCAAGTGTCACAGCTGGGATTCAAACCAAGGTCTACCTGAGTTCAACGCCCAGATTGCCACAAAAAGAATATAAATAAATAAAATAAAAATACTTAAAGCAAAATAGAAGAAAGGAGACAATAATCAAGGAGATGGGGGAGGAGATGAAAACCACATACTGGTCCATGGACAATAGAAGTGGAAAAAACCTGGGACCTTGGGCTTGTTTAGAAGCCTCCTGGGTATGAGAAGGATCACATAGGGAGCAGCCTAACTGTGAGTGAGATGTGTCATGGTAGAAGCATTCACACTACCTTGGTGCCTGTTACCAACCCCTGTAATACTGGAAATATTTGCATCTCTTTCACATGCAAGTGTCAAGTAATAATCCATAGATAACTTGCAAGCACTGCATGAATTCCACCTACGGCCATTGTTTGTCACACTATATCATAATACATATTTATCACAATATAGAACATCCTTATTCTATTTCTCCAGCTTTCAGCTGGACATTTATGTTTACAATTATTCTTCTAGAAGCAAATAAAAGAGAGAAGAAACTAAAGGTGCTCCACATAGATAATTGTTACTGATGAAGACAATGACAAAAATGTTGGGGACATTTTTTCCTCAAATTTAATATAAATAGATTGAATTCAAACAGAATTTATTTAAAGATCACATGTGCATGCTACTCTGAGATGACCCATGTAGGGGAAAATTCTCAATTGTGGTATAAGGCTGATGTTTGGAATTATTATTATTATTATTGAGACAGAGTTTTGCTCTTGTTGCCCAGGCTGGAATACAATCGCGTGATCTCAGCTCACTGCAACCTCCACCTCCCGAGTTCAAGCAATTCTCCTGCCCTAGCCTCCCGAGTAGCTGGGATTACAGGCACCTGCCACCACGCCTGGCTAATTTTTGTATTTTAAGTAGAGACAGCGTTTCACCATATTGGTCAGGCTGGTCTCGAACTCCTGGCCTCAGGTGATCCGCCCGCCTCGGCCTTCCAAAGTTCTGGGATTACAGGCATGAGCCACTGCGCCCGGCTGATGTTTGGAATTATTTTAAGGTGTAGGTTTGTTTGCCAGCTCTTGGTAAGTTGAATGTGCCCCATCCATACTAGGCCTACTCTTTGCTCAGCCACCATGGTGTCTTGAACTGGATGTGTCTTGAACTGGATAGCCATGGAGAACTATGGTGTCTTGAACTGGATAGCCACGGAGAACTACCTCAAAGACTTTCCCAGGCATGCACAAAATTCTGAATATCAGAATCACCACTGCCTTTTCATTCTTCATAGGCCATATCAAACCCAACACTTCATCCCACAGAGTTTTCCGTGGAAATGTCTCCCACACATGACCTTGCCTTTCCATTGACCTTTTACTTTGTCACACTTTAGCATGCCTCCAAACCATTTCCTCGGAATACCTTTCTGTTGCTCTCCATTTGTCCATATCAGAACCATTCTTAAATTTGCAGGGTTTTTTTCTTTCTTTTCTTTTCACATGACAGTTTTTATTATTTTTATGCTGGAACTTGTATAATCAAGAGTTGTGCTCTTGAAGATAGTCAATCATCTTGGTTGAATTTACATGACTTTCTTTTTTTGAGAAGTTGTTTCAGAACATGCCTTTATTGTATTATTTCACACACCTTCAGCAGAACCTCATCTTGCTTCTTTTAGGGCAGCTTTGATTTCTCGAAATAGCCAAAATTCATCTGAAATGAAATCTACCAGGTAGAACTGGTAAACCAAAGAGATACCTAGATTTTTTATGCTGATGGAGATGTGGCTTTGAAATGATAACACTGATTTTGTATTTGGATTTTGAACTGGCCTTAATGACTGCGAGATAAACATAATGGCAGACTTATTGGTTTATATGATTTATAGGTTTATAATTCCTGAGGTTGCTTTTTCTTTTCTTTCTCCCTCTCTTCTCCCTGAAGCTACTCAGGTCCTTCTCTTGCTGCTTCTCCTGCCTCTGGCATCTCAGCTAATGATATTACCCACCAGGAGACAACCTCTTCTGAAGGAAGATATTCTTCTTCCTTTGAGACCAGCCAAAAGACATAGTTATCCATTGAGTCACTAGCAGCTGCCTCAGCCCGTGCTATCAATTCTTTTTCTGAATCCCCATCCTAGCTAAGTCCATACCTCAGAATGACTTACATGTCCTTAAACGTTTAGTTTACCAATTGTGTGTATATGGGCTATTCCTTGCACTATGCTTGTCCCAGATTGCTGTGTGAAGAAAATTTGAAGGCCATGACATAGGGAGGTAGAGCTGATGCAGGGACTAGCAGTCTCCCTAAGTTGAGGAAATGAAGCTCAGAATATGTGAAGACCAAGGGGGCTAGAGTTTGCCAGACAGAGTACCAAAGAGAGAATTTCACAGAGAGACTACTCCAGAAATTTTCAAAGGGTTCTCCTAAAGCATTTAGCTGAGCATTGATCAGCACATGCATGTGAAGGAACTGCCCAAGGTTGGGTAATGAACCATTTGAAAGGATTAGAGGTAACAGTGACTGCCATTCATACAGGGCTGGGAGTAGTCCCTCTTACCACCAGCCAGACTGAAAAAGTTTATGATTTACAGAGCATTGGCTCACATACAGGGAAGGATGTTGTCTCAATAGTGGAATAATTAGCTACGAACTGAGCACTGGTCCAGTTCCACCTAACAAATCATGATAGCAAGGTCCAAAGTATTAAACTGTTGCCAAGTAACTTAGCTACATGCCAGAACAAAGCTCAAGAATATTTATAGAAATCAAAAATATCCATCTCCCAACAAGGTGAAATTTACAATGTCTGGCATCCAATCAAAGATTGCCAGACATGGAAAGAAGCAGGAAAATATGTCTCATAGGAGGATTTTAAAAAAATCAATCAGAAATGAACCAGAACTGACACAACTTTTAGAATCAGCAGTTGATAACATTACAACAGTTACTATAACTGCTTTCTATAGGCTCAAAGTTAACTAGAGACATGAAGATATAAAACCACCCAAGTTGAATTTATAGAGATGAAAACTATAATGTCTGAGATTAAAAATACACTGGATGCTATTAATGGCAGATTAGACATTGCTGGAAAAAAAGATTAGTGAACTGAAAACCTAGCACTAAAAACTATCCAATGGAATACAGAGGGAAAAGTGAATTTATTAAAGAGAAAAGAAAATAAAAAGAACATTAGTAAGCTGTGGGACAACTTAAAGGCTAATATACATTTAATTGGCATCTCTAGAGGAGGTGGGAAAGAAATTAGAAAGCTGAAAAAATTTGAAGATATAATGGCCAAAATTTTCTTATATTTTATGAAAACTATAAACCCACAGATCCAAGATGCTCAGTAACTGCCCAAAACAAGAAATATGAAAAAAACTGCACTAGGTCACATCATAATCAAATTGCTAAAAAAAAATTGATAAAAAAAGTCTTAAAAGCAGCTAGAGGGAAAAGACACATTACAGAGGAATATTTATTAGAATAACAGCAGATCTTATTGAAAATAAGATGAAATGACAATTAAAAAAATCTTTAAAGAATTATAAGGAAAGAACTGTCAACCTAGAATTCTTTACCCAGCAAAAGTATCTTTCAAACATGAAGGACTTAGAGATAGAAAATAGATGAGTGTGACAAGATCTGTGGGGAGGGGAGAATGGGCAGTGGCTATCAATGAGTATAGGGTTTTGGGGGGATAAATGTCCTGGAATTAGATAGTGATGATAGTAGTGCAACCTTGTGAACATACTAAAAGCCACTGAATTATACACTTTAAAAATGGTAAATTTTATGATATGAGTTATATTTCAATTTTTAAAAACTAAAAATGAAAAAAATAATAAAGACTTTTCCAGACATACAAAAGATGAAAGAATTTATCATGAACCAACCTGCATTGCAAGAAATGTTAAAGAAAATACTTCAAGCAGAGGAAAATGATACCAGATAGAAATATAGATCTATACAAAGGAAGGGAGTACATTAGAGACATTATACAGTAAATATATAACTTTTTATTATAATTTAAATATCTTTAAAAGACAACTTTTTAAATGAAAATAATGAAATAATAAAAATGCACGATGGGGTTTATACCACATGTATTAGTAAAATGTATGACGACAATAGCATGGAGCAAGAAGTGACATCACTACATATTTTACAGATATTAAAAAATAATAAGGGAAGTTTATAAACTTCTTTATGCCAATAAAGTCAACAACTTAGAAGAAATAGTCGAATTCCTTGAGTGACACAAACTATCAAAGTTTACTCAAGAAGAAATAAATGATGCAAATAGCTCTATTTAAAAAATTGAGTTTGGGCCAGATGTAGCTCATACCTGTAATCCCAGCACTTTAGGAGGCTGAGGTGGGATGATTGCTTGAGCCCAGGAGTTCAAGACCAGCCTAGGCAACATAGTAAGACCCCCATCTCTACAAAAAAAATACAGAAAAAAATATTAGCTGGGTGTCGTGTCATGCACCTGTGGTCCCAGCTACTTGCGAGGCTGAGGTGGAAGGATCAGTTGCGCCTAGGAGGTCAAGGCTGCAGTGAGTTGAGATTGCACCACTGCACTCCAGCCTGGGCAACAGAGTGAGACTCTGTCTCAAAAATAACAATAACTAATTATTAAAAATAGAATTTATAGTTAAAAACCTTCCCAAAATGAAGACTCCAGGCCCTGTAACTTCACTGAATTCTACCAAATATGTAAGAAGTAAATAATATTGGGATTATACAAACTCATCCCTGATATCAAAACCAGAAAAAGACTTTACAGGAGAAGAAAACTGCAGAACAATATCCTTTATGAACATATACGCAAAATTTCTAAACAAAATCTTAGCAAATCAAATCCAACAATAAATAAAAAGGGTAATATTGAGAGGCTGAGGCTCACTTCAGGCCAGGAGTCTGGGGCCAGCTTGGGAAACATAGCAAGACCTGGTCTCTACAAAGTATAAAAAAATTAGCTGTGCATGGTGGTATGTGACTGTAGTCCCAGCTAGTTAGGAGTTTGAGGCAGGAGGATTGCTTGAGCTCAGGAGTTCAAGGTGGCAGTGAGCTATGATTGTGCTATGATCAGGCCACTGCACTCCAGTCTGGAGTGAGACTCTTAAAAAAAAAAAAAGGGTAATACATTGTGAGCAAATGGGGTTTAGTTTATGCCAGGGATGCAGGTTGATGTAACATTTGAAAAATCAGTCAATGTTATTTGTCATATTAACAAACTAATAAAGAAAAGCCATATGATCATCTCAATAGACACAGGAGAAGCATTTGTGATAAAAACTCTCAGCAAAGGAGAAATTGATGGGAATTTCCACAACCTGATAAAGGGCATCCAGAAAACCTACAGCTACCATCACACTTAATGGTGAAAGACTGCTTTCCACTCTGTTCCTCACTATGCTAGAGGTTCTAGCCAGTGCAATAAGCAAGTAAAACAAATAAATGGCATCCAGATTGGTCAGGAAGAGGTAAAATTGTCTTTGAGATGACATCATAGTCTACATAGGGAATCCAATTCTATTGTGGGTTTAGAAAAAGTAAGCTTAGTTAGTCATAAGATGCAAGATCAATTTTTTTAAAATCTTATATATCCTGTAGTAAACAATGGGAAATTGATATAAAAGTTACCATTTACAATAATATTTTAAAAAATCAAATAGAGATATATCTGACAAAAGATACGAAACACCAGTACACTGAATACTATAAAACATTACTGAGAGAAATTTAAAAAATTTTAAAATATAGAGATATACTGTGTTGATGGGTCAGAAGACTCAATATTGTTAAGATGTTATTTCTCCTAAAATTGGTCTATAGGTTTAATGCAATCTTAATAAAAATCAAAGCAAGTTTTTTAATGATAAAAATTGACAAGCTGATTCTTTTTTTTTGAGATGGAGTTTCGCTCTTGTTGCCCAGGCTAGAGTGCAATGGTGCGATCTTGGCTCACTGCAACCTCCGCCTCCCGAGTTCAAGTGATTCTCCTGCCTCAGCCTTCTGAGTAGCTGGGATTACAGGCGCACACCACCACGCCTGGATAATTTTTTGTATTTTTAGTAGAGATGGGGTTTCACCATGGCCAGGCTGGTCTTGAACTCCTGACCTCAGGTGATCCGCCTGCCTTGGCCTCCCAGAGTGCTGGGATTACAGGTGTGAGCCACCACACCCGGCTGACAAGCTGATTCTAAAATTCATATGGAAATACAAAGGATCTGAAATAGTTAAAACATTTGAAAAAGTAGGACAAAGTTAGAGAACTAACACTACCTGATTTCAAAAATTATTATAAAACTATAGTAATCAGGACAGTGTAGTATTGGCACAAAATCTGAAAAATAGATTAGTAAAACAGAATAGAGATACTAGCAATAAACCCAGGCATATATGGACAACTGATTTTTTACAAAGGTACAGGCAATTTAGTGGAGAAAGGAAAGTCTTGTCATCGAATGGTGCTAAAACAATTGGAGATATTCACATGCAAAAACAAAACAAAACAAAAACCACTTCAATCCATACCTGTATCATATATAAAAATTTACTCAAAATAGACTTAGATCTAAAACTATAAAATTTCCAGAAAAAAACAAAGTAGATAATCTTTGTGATCTTGGCTTATATAAACATTTCTTAGGTATATTATCAAAAGTAGAATTCATTTTTTTAAAAAACCCAAATTAATAAATTGGACTTAAAATTAAACACTTCTACTCTTTGGAAGACAATGTTGAGAGAATGAAAAGAGAAGCTACAGATCGAGAGAAAATATTTTAAAATCATGTATCTGGGCCAGGCACACTGGCTCATGCCTGTAATCCCAGCACTTTGGGAGGCTGAGGTGGGCAGATCACTTGAGGCCAGGAGTTTGAGACTAGCCTGGCTAACATGGCGAAACCCTATCTCTACTAAAAATACAAAAATTAGCCAGGTGTGGTGATGCATGCCTGTAGTCCCAGCTACTTGGGAGGTAAGGCATGAGAATCACTTGAACCTGTGAGGTGGAGGTTGCAGTGAGCTGAGATCTATACTACACTCCAGCCTGGGTGACAGAGTAAGACTCCATCTCAAAAATAAATAAATAAATAAATAAATAAAATATATGTCTGATATAAAAAGTTGTGGATCCAGAATGTATAAAATCTTTCAAAACTCAGTAATAAGCAAACCAACAACCCATGTAAAAGTCAGAAAACTATTTTAATAGACCCTTAGTTAAAGAAGACACATGGTGGGCAAATATACATCTAATAAGGTTTTCAACATCATTAGCCATTAGGAAAATACAGATTAAAACCATAATGAGATACCATTACGTGCTCACTAGAATGGCTAAGATAAAAAAAACTCACTGTTCCTAGTGTTAGAACTCTCACACACTGCTGGTGGAACTATAAAATGAATATCCACTTTGGAAAAACCATTTGGCAGGTTTTATTTATTTTTTATTTTTAAAGTTAAACCTATCCCTACTGTGTGACCCAGCCATTCCCTTCCTGGGTATTTTCCCAAGAGAAAATAAAGCATATATCCAAACAAAGACTTGTATATGAATGTGCATAGCAGCTTTTTTTTTTTTTTATGTTTTAATTATTTTAATGGTACTTTTTCCCTGCATTTTGAACAAGGAGAATCCCATTTTCATTTTGCACTGGGCTCTGCAAATTATATAGCCAGAGAAAATGCCCTTTGTTTTTTGGCTACATGGCTGCAGCTGCTATTTGGTTAATCTGCCCCTTATATTTGTAGGCTACTCAAGTTTTCTTTTCTCAAAAAGCAATCCAATAAACCAATTTTGTATTTCTGCTAGAATATTTTCCAACTTCCTCCAGAGGTGAAGTGATGTTTGAAGCTAGGTCAGGTGCTTTTTTCCTTTTAACCCAGGTTTGCCCCATTTGAGTTAGCTTATGGAAATCCTTTTTACAGACCAATTAATTAGGTTAATAGAATAAGCTTTTTACTCAGCTGGATCTGAATGTGAATTCTGACTCCACTCTCTATTTACAATGTCATCTTGAGCAAGTTACCTATCCTCCTTAAATCTGTTTGCCAAGCTCTACCCTCAGAGACTCTGAGGCAGTCTGACTTTATAATCAATTGACTAAGTGCTTATATGTAGATAGTATGCATACTGCTACTTGGGATTTCCTGGATAGGATAATTTTTAATTTGCCTTTTTATCCTTTGAGTTCATGATTCTATGAAGTACACAAGCTCCTCAGGTCCTTGCTGTGTATATGCCTTAGAATGAGGTATTTTCTGTTTCCTATAAAAAGAGCCAAATTCCTCATTAAGATGGGATCCTCAACAGCATGGTATGCAGGACAAAGCAAGTCTTTCTTAATCTGATCCAAATATCAGACAAAATGTGATATTATTATAAGGTTATAGATTTTCTTTTTTTTTTTTTTAAATTTTTTTTTTTTATTATACTCTAAGTTTTAGGGTACATGTGCACATTGTGCAGGTTAGTTACATATGTATACATGTGCCATGCTGGTGCGCTGCACCCACTAACTCATCATCTAGCCTTAGGTATATCTCCCAATGCTATCCCTCCCCCCTCCCCCGACCCCACCACAGTCCCCAGAGTGTGATATTCCCCTTCCTGTGTCCATGTGATCTCATTGTTCAATTCCCACCTATGAGTGAGAATATGCGGTGTTTGGTTTTTTGTTCTTGCGATAGTTTACTGAGAATGATGGTTTCCAATTTCATCCATGTCCCTACAAAGGACATGAACTCATCATTTTTTATGGCTGCATAGTATTCCATGGTGTATATGTGCCACATTTTCTTAATCCAGTCTATCATTGTTGGACATTTGGGTTGGTTCCAAGTCTTTGCTATTGTGAATAGTGCCTCAATAAACATACGTGTGCATGTGTCTTTATAGCAGCATGATTTATAGTCCTTTGGGTATATACCCAGTAATGGGATGGCTGGGTCAAATGGTATTTCTAGTTCTAGATCCCTGAGGAATCGCCACACTGACTTCCACAATGGTTGAACTAGTTTACAGTCCCACCAACAGTGTGAAAGTGTTCCTATTTCTCCACATCCTCTCCAGCACCTGTTGTTTCCTGACTTTTTAATGATTGCCATTCTAACTGGTGTGAGATGATATCTCATAGTGGTTTTGATTTGCATTTCTCTGATGGCCAGTGATGATGAGCATTTCTTCATGTGTTTTTTGGCTGCATAAATGTCTTCTTTTGAGAAGTGTCTGTTCATGTCCTTCGCCCACTTTTTGATGGGGTTGTTTGTTTTTTTCTTGTAAATTTGTTTGAGTTCATTGTAGATTCTGGATATTAGCCCTTTGTCAGATGAGTAGGTTGCGAAAATTTTCTCCCATGTTGTAGGTTGCCTGTTCACTCTGATGGTAGTTTCTTTTGCTGTGCAGAAGCTCTTGAGTTTAATTAGATCCCATTTGTCAATTTTGGCTTTTGTTGCCATTGCTTTTGGTGTTTTGGACATGAAGTCCTTGCCCACGCCTATGTCCTGAATGGTAATGCCTAGGTTTTCTTCTAGGGTTTTTATGGTTTTAGGTCTAACGTTTAAATCTTTAATCCATCTTGAATTGATTTTTGTATAAGGTGTAAGGAAGGGATCCAGTTTCAGCTTTCTACATATGGCTAGCCAGTTTTCCCAGCACCATTTATTAAACAGGGAATCCTTTCCCCATTGCTTGTTTTTCTCAGGTTTGTCAAAGATCAGATAGTTGTAGATATGCGGCATTATTTCTGAGGGCTCTGTTCTGTTCCATTGATCTATATCTCTGTTTTGGTACCAGTACCATGCTGTTTTGGTTACTGTAGCCTTGTAGTATAGTTTGAAGTCAGGTAGTGTGATGCCTCCAGCTTTGTTCTTTTGGCTTAGGATTGACTTGGCGATGCGGGCTCTTTTTTGGTTCCATATGAACTTTAAAGTAGTTTTTTCCAATTCTGTGAAGAAAGTCATTGGTAGCTTGATGGGGATGGCATTGAATCTGTAAATTACCTTGGGCAGTATGGCCATTTTCACGATATTGATTCTTCCTACCCACGAGCATGGAATGTTCTTCCATTTGTTTGTGTCCTCTTTTATTTCCTTGAGCAGTGGTTTGTAGTTCTCCTTGAAGAGGTCCTTCACATCCCTTGTAAGTTGGATTCCTAGGTATTTTATTCTCTTTGAAGCAATTGTGAATGGGAGTTCACTCATGATTTGGCTCTCTGTTTGTCTGTTGTTGGTGTATAAGAATGCTTGTGATTTTTGTACATTGATTTTGTATCCTGAGACTTTGCTGAAGTTGCTTATCAGCTTAAGGAGATTTTGGGCTGAGACGATGGGGTTTTCTAGATAAACAATCATGTCGTCTGCAAACAGGGACAATTTGACTTCCTCTTTTCCTAATTGAATACCCTTTATTTCCTTCTCCTGCCTGATTGCCCTGGCCAGAACTTCCAACACTATGTTGAATAGGAGCGGTGAGAGAGGGCATCCCTGTCTTGTGCCAGTTTTCAAAGGGAATGCTTCCAGTTTTTGCCCATTCAGTATGATATTGGCTGTGGGTTTGTCATAGATAGCTCTTATTATTTTGAAATACGTCCCATCAATACCTAATTTATTGAGAGTTTTTAGCATGAAGGGTTGTTGAATTTTGTCAAAGGCTTTTTCTGCATCTATTGAGATAATCATGTGGTTTTTGTCTTTGGCTCTGTTTATATGCTGGATTACATTTATTGATTTGCGTATATTGAACCAGCCTTGCATCCCAGGGATGAAGCCCACTTGATCATGGTGGATAAGCTTTTTGATGTGCTGCTGGATTCGGTTTGCCAGTATTTTATTGAGGATTTTTGCATCAATGTTCATCAAGGATATTGGTCTAAAATTCTCTTTTTTGGTTGTGTCTCTGCCCGGCTTTGGTATCAGAATGATGCTGGCCTCATAAAATGAGTTAGGGAGGATTCCCTCTTTTTCTATTGATTGGAATCGTTTCAGAAGGAATGGTACCAGTTCCTCCTTGTACCTCTGGTAGAATTCGGCTGTGAATCCATCTGGTCCTGGACTCTTTTTGGTTGGTAAACTATTGATTATTGCCACAATTTCAGAGCCTGTTATTGGTCTATTCAGAGATTCAACTTCTTCCTGGTTTAGTCTTGGGAGAGTGTATGTGTCGAGGAATGTATCCATTTCTTCTAGATTTTCTAGTTTATTTGCGTAGAGGTGTTTGTAGTATTCTCTGATGGTAGTTTGTATTTCTGTGGGATCGGTGGTGATATCCCCTTTATCATTTTTTATTGTGTCTATTTGATTCTTCTCTCTTTTTTTCTTTATTAGTCTTGCTAGCGGTCTATCAATTTTGTTGATCCTTTCAAAAAACCAGCTCCTGGATTCATTGATTTTTTGAAGGGTTTTTTGTGTCTCTATTTCCT
Organism: Homo sapiens; assembly: GCF_000001405.40. Lineage (NCBI taxonomy): Eukaryota > Metazoa > Chordata > Mammalia > Primates > Hominidae > Homo > Homo sapiens. Next base: position 86,658,242 of record NC_000002.12, read on the forward strand.
TCAGTTCTGCTCTGATTTTAGTTATTTCTTGCCTTCTGCTAGCTTTTGAATGTGTTTGCTCTTGCTTTTCTAGTTCTTTTAATTGTGATGTTAGGGTGTCAATTTTGGATCTTTCCTGCTTTCTCTTGTAGGCATTTAGTGCTATAAATTTCCCTCTACACACTGCTTTGAATGCGTCCCAGAGATTCTGGTATGTGGTATCTTTGTTCTCGTTGGTTTCAAAGAACATCTTTATTTCTGCCTTCATTTCGTTATGTACCCAGTAGTCATTCAGGAGCAGGTTGTTCAGTTTCCATGTAGTTGAGCGGCTTTGAGTGAGATTCTTAATCCTGAGTTCTAGTTTGATTGCACTGTGGTCTGAGAGATAGTTTGTTATAATTTCTGTTCTTTTACATTTGCTGAGGAGAGCTTTACTTCCAACTATGTGGTCAATTTTGGAATAGGTGTGGTGTGGTGCTGAAAAAAATGTATATTCTGCTGATTTGGGGTGGAGAGTTCTGTAGATGTCTATTAGGTCTGCTTGGTGCAGAGCTGAGTTCAATTCCTGGGTATCCTTGTTGACTTTCTGTCTCGTTGATCTGTCTAATGTTGACAGTGGGGTGTTAAAGTCTCCCATTATTAATGTGTGGGAGTCTAAGTCTCTTTGTAGGTCACTCAGGACTTGCTTTATGAATCTGGGTGCTCCTGTATTGGGTGCATACATATTTAGGATAGTTAGCTCCTCTTGTTGAATTGATCCCTTTACCATTATGTAATGGCCTTCTTTGTCTCTTTTGATCTTTGTTGGTTTAAAGTCTGTTTTATCAGAGACTAGGATTGCAACCCCTGCCTTTTTTTGTTTTCCATTGGCTTGGTAGATCTTCCTCCATCCTTTTATTTTGAGCCTATGTGTGTCTCTGCACATGAGATGGGTTTCCTGAATACAGCACACTGATGGGTCTTGACTCTTTATCCAACTTGCCAGTCTGTGTCTTTTAATTGCAGAATTTAGTCCATTTATATTTAAAGTTAATATTGTTATGTGTGAATTTGATCCTGTCATTATGATGTTAGCTGGTGATTTTGCTCATTAGTTGATGCAGTTTCTTCCTAGTCTCGATGGTCTTTACATTTTGGCATGATTTTGCAGCGGCTGGTACCGGTTGTTCCTTTCCATGTTTAGCGCTTCCTTCAGGAGCTCTTTTAGGGCAGGCCTGGTGGTGACAAAATCTCTCAGCATTTGCTTGTCTATAAAGTATTTTATTTCTCCTTCACTTATGAAGCTTAGTTTGGCTGGATATGAAATTCTGGGTTGAAAATTCTTTTCTTTAAGAATGTTGAATATTGGCCCCCACTCTCTTCTGGCTTGTAGGGTTTCTGCCGAGAGATCCGCTGTTAGTCTGATGGGCTTTCCTTTGAGGGTAACCTGACCTTTCTCTCTGGCTGCCCTTAACATTTTTTCCTTCATTTCAACTTTGGTGAATCTGACAATTATGTGTCTTGGAGTTGCTCTTCTCGAGGAGTATCTTTGTGGCATTCTCTGTATTTCCTGAATCTGAACGTTGGCCTGCCTTGCTAGATTGGGGAAGTTCTCCTGGATAATATCCTGCAGAGTGTTTTCCAACTTGGTTCCATTCTCCACATCACTTTCAGGTACACCAATCAGACGTAGATTTGGTCTTTTCACATAGTCCCATATTTCTTGGAGGCTTTGCTCATTTCTTTTTATTCTTTTTTCTCTAAACTTCCCTTCTTGCTTCATTTCATTCATTTCATCTTCCATTGCTGATACCCTTTCTTCCAGTTGATCGCATCGGCTCCTGAGGCTTCTGCATTCTTCACATAGTTCTCGAGCCTTGGTTTTCAGCTCCATCAGCTCCTTTAAGCACTTCTCTGTATTGGTTATTCTAGTTATACATTCTTCTAAATTTTTTTCAAAGTTTTCAACTTCTTTGCCTTTGGTTTGAATGTCCTCCCGTAGCTCAGAGTAATTTGATCGTCTGAAGCCTTCTTCTCTCAGCTCGTCAAAATCATTCTCCATCCAGCTTTGTTCTGTTGCTGGTGAGGAACTGCGTTCCTTTGGAGGAGGAGAGGCACTCTGCGTTTTAGAGTTTCCAGTTTTTCTGTTCTGTTTTTTCCCCATCTTTGTGGTTTTATCTACTTTTGGTCTTTGATGATGGTGATGTACAGATGGGTTTTCGGTGTAGATGTCCTTTCTGGTTGTTAGTTTTCCTTCTAACAGACAGGACCCTCAGCTGCAGGTCTGTTGGAATACCCTGCTGTGTGAGGTGTCAGTGTGCCCCTGCTGGGGGGTGCCTCCCAGTTAGGCTGCTTGGGGGTCAGGGGTCAGGGACCCACTTGAGGAGGCAGTCTGCCCGTTCTCAGATCTCCAGCTGCGTGCTGGGAGAACCACTGCTCTCTTCAAAGCTGTCAGACAGGGACACTTAAGTCTGCAGAGGTTACTGCTGTCTTTTTGTTTGTCTGTGCCCTGCCCCCAGAGGTGGAGCCTACAGAGGCAGGCAGGCCTCCTTGAGCTGTGGTGGGCTCCACCCAGTTCGAGCTTCCCAGCTGCTTTGTTTACCTAAGCAAGCCTGGGCAATGGCGGGCGCCCCTCCCCCAGCCTCGTTGCCACCTTGCAGTTTGATCTCAGACTGCTGTGCTAGCAATCAGCTCGATTCCGTGGGCGTAGGACCCTCTGAGCCAGGTGTGGGATATAGTCTCGTGGTGCGCCGTTTCTTAAGCCGGTCTGAAAAGCGCAATATTCGGGTGGGAGTGACCCGATTTTCCAGGTGCGTCCGTCACCCCTTTCTTTGACTCGGAAAGGGAACTCCCTGACCCCTTGCGCTTCCCAGGTGAGGCAATGCCTCGCCCTGCTTCGGCTCACGCACAGTGCGCACACACACTGGCCTGCGCCCACTGTCTGGCACTCCCTAGTGAGATGAACCTGGTACCTCAGATGGAAATGCAGAAATCACCCGTCTTCTGCGTCGCTCACGCTGGGAGCTGTAGACCGGAGCTGTTCCTATTTGGCCATCTTGGCTCCTCCCCGCATAGCAGCTTTATTTGTGATAGCTATTGTCAGTTTTGAACCCCAGCTGAGGCCCAAGGGGAATGGGTGGACGGGGGGCAGGGAGCTGGAAGAATACTCAAGAGACAGCAGGTAGATGGGACATGGCTTCATTCAGCCCCACTCTCACAGTATCAGTGCTGCATTTATATGCCTCACAGACAACAGTGGCTCAGAGCCAGGTGATGAGCTTTCTTATCTTATGGCTACATAGCTGTGATTATATAATGTATGAAATTGTGCGCCTGTGCTCCAATCCTGCTGAGTCATGCAGGATGTTTGCCTCTGCCTATGCCTGCCTGGCTGCAGCACAGCCATGTTCCTTACAGCCATGTATTCACTTATCTAAAATTCACAACCATCCTATAAGTAAGTACCCTCCATATCCTTATTTTCCAGAATATTGTTAGGAAGTGGGGAAGTGTTGCGTTAGCCACTTAACACTTGTTCGCCAACTGGGCTAATAACAGCACCTGCTTCAAAATAGGTTGGGAACTTCAAATTGAATAATACATATAGAGTACCCAGTCCAGTGCTTAGCACATTGTGTATTCTCAATAATATAATTGATGATGATGCTGAAAATGATTATTTTATAGCAGGGCAATGATAGTCCAAATCCATGTAGTCAGATGCTAGAATTAAGAGGATCTAAGATATATGGGATTCTTTGCCATATTTTACTATATATCTTAGAGAAGTTAAAAATAAAGAGCTTGTTTTGTAAGGAAACAGTAACAAATTTTAATAAAATACTATTGAATTCTGGAGGCAGGCAGGAAGGTATGCAGATTTCATTCCTTTAGGAAACAGGCAAATCTACTGAATTAGGACCAAACTGTCTGCATCAGGGCCTCCAGATGAGAAGCCTCTAGTTCCTCACACCTTTACAGTTGTATGAGCAGAGGTGGTCAGGGTATAACATTAGAAGATCTGTTTTCTGAAGACATATTTCCTTGTGTCAGAAGGGCAGGCCCACAGTGCAACACTCTTTAGTGGCCTGGGAGAAGCAGGTAACTACTTATCTGGATAGGCAGGACTGTTAACTCTTCACTTAAGGTATTTTCCTTCCAGCCATCAAGACATTTTTTATTGTTGTCATTTGACTACACAAGTAATTTGTGATCTTCCAAGGAAAACAGAAAAATGTGATCAAACAAGATGAGAGTATAGAAGCCTTACGACCCCACCTATCTATTAATGCCTTCATGGATATCTTTCCAGAACTTTTTCTAAGCAGTTTTAAAAAGAAACAAAAATGGGATAATGGCACACATACATATTGTTTGTAAATTGATTTTTTTCACCTGACAATAGATTCTGAATTTTTTTTCATTTCAGTTGATGCATTTCTGTAACATCGTTAATCTTTGTATAGGTATATCATCATCTATTTAACTAATCCCCTAATTGTGGACATTTCCAATTATTTGATATTCTAACAGGGCTTTTCTGACCATTTTTAATCCTACCATATGATTCAACAAATTATCATGACTGATAATTTTCTTAGTGGAAACTGTCTAAAAGAGAAATTGCCTAGTGAAAGGGTAGGAACATTTTAAAGATTTTTTGATGCATTTCCAATTTCCCATCAATGAAGGTGTGCAACTCTCACTGTCAGTGCACATAATGTTACTTTAAGATAAACTCCATAAGGGAGAGAGTGTAATAAATTCATGTATTACTAGTGTATACCTTTTTATCTGTAAGCAGTCAAATAGTATGCAAATGGGGTCACTTTGTACATCTAAATTGGGATTAGGGTAGGCAGCTCAGGGTAATCAGGTCAAGGCAGATGGATTTATCCCAAGCTGAGGAGCATGAAACATTAACCAAAAGATAAAAATAGAAGAAATAGAAGTGAAAAGCCTACTCAAGGAAAGATGAAGCAATCAATAGTGTATTTTTTTGCTGTTGATCTTGTAAAATTGCTCCTATCTATCTATCTATCTATCTATCTATCTATCTATCTACCTATCTGTTGATCAAGATGGTGTCCTGCTATGTTGTCCAGGCTAGAATCAAACTCCTGGGCTCAAGGGAGCCTACTGTTTCCACCTCTCAAGTAGCTGGGACTACAGGTGCTCACTACTGTGCCCAGCGATATATGTATCAGAGTATGTTACACAGGCAGGAATGCAGTGGCGTGATCTCAGTTCACTGCAACCTCTGCCTCCCAGGTTCAAGCGATCCTCTTGCCTCAACCCCCCAAGTAGCTGGGATTACAGGCATGCGCCACCATGCCCGGCTAATTTTTGCATTTTTGATAGAGATGGGGTTTCGCCATGTTGGCCAGGTTGGTCTTGAACTCCTGACCTCAGGTGATCCAACTGCTTTGGCCTCCCAAAGTGCTGGGATTACAGGCATATATAGTTCTAAAAGAACAAAGGGGGATTCCATTCCAAGATGGCCCAATAGGAACAGCTCCGGTCTGCAGCTCCCAGTGTGATTGATGCAGAAGACGGTGATTTCTGCATTTCTAATTGAAGTACCTGGTTCATCTCACTGGGACTGGCTGGACAGTGGGTGCAGCCCACAGAGGGTGGGCTGAAGCAGGGTGGGGCATCGCCTTACCCGGAAAGCACAAGGGGTCAGGGGATTTCCCTTTCCTAGCCAAGGGAAGCCATGACAGACTGTACCTGGAAAATCAGGACACTTCCGCCCAAATACTGCGCTTTTCCAATGGTCTTAGCAAATGGCACACCAGAAGATTATATCCCACGCCTGGTTCGGTGGGTCCTATGCCCATGGAGCCTTGCTCACTGCTAGAGCAGCAGTCTGAGATTGACCTGCAAGGCAGCAGTCTGGCAGGGGGAGTGGTGTCCACCATTGCTGAGGCTTGAGTAGGTAAACAAAGCAACTGGGGAATCTCAAACTGGGCGGAGCCCATCGCAGCTGTGCAAGGCCTGCTGCTTCTGTAGACCCCACCTCTGGGGGCAGGGCATAGCTGAACAAAAGGCAGCAGAAACTTTTGCAGACTTAAACATCCCTGTCTGATAGCTCTGAAGAGAGCAGTGGTTCTCCCAGCATGGTGTTTGAGCTCTAAGAATAGACAGACTGCCTCCTGAAGTGGGTCCCTGACCCCCATGTAGCCTAACTGGGAGATACCTCCCAATAGGGGCCGACTGACACCTCACACAGACAGGTGCCCCTCTGGGACGAAGCTTCCAGAGGAAGGATCAGGCAGCAATATTTGCTGTTCTGCAATATTTGCTGTCCTGCAGCCTCCGCTGGTGATACCCAGGAAACAGGGTCTGGAGTGGACCTCCAGCAAACTCCAACAGAACTGCAGCTAAGGGACCTGATTGTTAAAAGGAAAACTAAAAAACAGAAAGGAATAGCATCAACATCAACATAAAGGACATGCACACCAAAACCCCATCTGTAGGTCACCAGCATCAAAACCAAAGGTAGATAGAACCACAAAGATGGGGAGAAACCAGAGCAGAAAAGCTGAAAATTCTAAAAACCAGAGCACCTCTTCTCCTCCAAAGGATCACAGCTCCTCACCAGCAAAGGAACAAAGCTGGATGGAGAATCACTTTGATGAGCTGACAAAAGTAGTCTTCGGAAAGTTGGTAATAACAAACTTCTCCAAGCTAAAGGAGGATGTTTGAACCCATTGCAAAGAAGCTAAAAACCTTGAAAAAAGATTAGACAAATGGCTGACTAGAATAAACAGTGTAGAGAAGACCTTAAGTGACCTGATGGAGCTGAAAACCATGGCATGAGAACTACATGACACATGCACAAGCTTCAATAGCTGATTTGATCAAGTGGAAGAAAGAGTATCAGTGATTGAAGATCAAATTAGTGAAATAAGGTGAGAAGAGAAGTTTAGAGAAAAAAACAGTAAAAAGAAACAAACAAAGCCTCCAAGAAATATGGGACTATGTGAAAAGATCAAATCTACATTTGATTGGTGTACCTGAAAGTGACGGGGAGAATGGAACCAAATTGGAAAACACTTTTCAGGATATTATCCAGGAGAACTTCCCCAACCTAGCAAGGCAGACCAACATTCAAATTCAGGAAATACAGAGAACACCACAAAGATACTCCTCAAGAAGAGCAACCCCAAGACACATAATTGTCAGATTCACCAAGGTTGAAATGAAGGAAAAAATGTTAAGGGCAGCCAGAGAGAAAGGTCGGGTTACCCACAAAGGGAAGCCCATCAGACTAACAGCGGATCTCTCGGCAGAAACTCTACAAGCCAGAAGAGAGTGGGGGCCAATATTCCATTCTTAAAGAAAAGAATTTTCAACCCAGAATTTCATATCCAGCCAAACTAAGCTTCATAAGTGAAGGAGAAATAAAATCCTTTACAGACAAGCAAATGCTGAGAGATTTTGTCACCACCAGGCCTACCTTACAAGAGCTCCTGAAGGAAGCACTAAACATGGGAAGGAACAACCAGTACCAGTCACTGCAAAAACATGCTAAATTGTAAAGACCATCGATGCTAGGAAGAAACTACATCAACTAACGGGCAAAATAACCAGCTAACATCAGAATGACAGGATCAAATTCACACATAACAATATTAACCTTAAATGTAAATGGGCTAAATGCCCCAATTAAAAGACCCAGACTGGCAAATTGGATAAAGAGTCAAGACCCATCAGTGTGCTGTATTCATGAGACCCATCTCATGTGCAGAGAGACACATAGGCTCAAAATAAAGAGATGGAGGAAGATCTACCAAGCAAATGGAAAGCAAAAAAAAAAAAAAAAAAAAAAGCAGGGGTTGCAATCCTAGTCTCTTATAAAACACACTTTAAACCAACAAAGATCAAAAGAGACAAAGAAGGTCATTACATAATGGTAAAGGGATCAATTCAACAAGAAGAACTAACTATCCTAAATATATATGCACCCAATACAGGAGCACCCAGATTCATAAAGCAAATCCTTAGAGACCTACAAAGAGACTTAGACTCCCACACAATAATAATGGGAGATTTTAACACCCCACTGTCAATATTAGACAGATCAACGAGACAGAAGTTTAACAAGGGTGTCCAGGACTTGAACTCAGCTCTGCACCAAACGGACCTAATAGACATCTACAGAACTCTCCACCCCAAATCAACAGAATATACATTCTTCTCAGCACCACATTGCACTTATTCCAAAATAGTTGCAAGTAAAGCACTCCTCAGAAAATGTAAATGAACAGAAATCACAACAAACTGTCTCTCAGACCACAGTGCAATCAAATTAGAACTCAGGATTAAGAAACTCACTCAAAACTGCAAAACTACATGGAAACTGAACAACCTGCTCCTGAATGACTACTGCGTAAATAATGAAATGAAGGCAGAAATAAAGATGTTCTTTGAAACCAATGAGAACAAAGACACAATGTACCAGAGTCTCTGGGACACATTTAAAGCAGTGTGTAGAGGGAAATTTATAGCACCAAATGCCCACAAGAGAAACCAGGAAAGATCTAAAATCGACACCCTAACATCACAATTAAAAGAACTAGAGAAGCAAGAGCAAACAAATTCAAAAGCTAGCAGAAGACAAGAAATAACTAATATCAGAGCAGAACTGAAGGAGATAGAGACACAAAAAACCCTTCAAAAAATCAATGAATCCAGGAGCTGGTTTTTTGAAAGGAGTGACAAAATTGATCGACCATTAGCAAGACTAATAAAGAAGAAAAGAGAGAAGACTCAAGTAGATGCAATAAAAAATGATAAAGGGGATATCACCACTGATCCTACAGAAATACAAACTACCATCAGAGAATACTACAAACACCTCTATGCAAATAAACTAGAAAATCTAGAAGAAATGGATAAATTCATGGACACATACCCCCTTCCAAGACTAAACCAGGAAGAAGTTGAATCTCTGAATAGACCAATAACAGGATCTGAAATTGAGGCAATAATTAATAGCCTACCAACCAAAAAAAGTCCAGGACCAGATGGATTCACAGCTGAATTTTACCAGAGGTACAAAGAGAAGCTGGTGTCATTCCTTCTGAAACTATTCCAATCAATAGAAAAAGAGTGAATCCTCCCTAAATCATTTTATGAGACCAGCAACATCCTGATACCAAAGCCTGGCAGAGACACACTAAAAAAAGAGAATTTAAGACCAATATCTCTAATATGATGAACATAGATGCAAAAATCCTCAATAAAATACTGGCAAATCGAATCCAGCAGCACATCAAAAAGCTTATCCACCACGATCAAGTTGGCTTCATCCCTGGGATGCAAGGCTGGTTCAACATATGCAAATCAATAGACGTAATCCATCACATAAACAGAACCAACGAAAAAAAACACACGATTATCTCAGTAGATGTAGAAAAGGCCTCGGCAAAATTCAACAGCCTTCATGCTAAAAACTCTCTATAAACTAGATATTGATGGAATGTATCTCAAAATAATAACAGCTATTTATGACAAACCCACAGCCAATATCATACTGAATGGGAAAAACTGGAAGCATTCCCTTTGAAAACTGGCACAAGACAGGGATGCCCTCTCTCACCACTCCTATTCAACATAGTGTTGGAAGTTCTGGCCAGGGCAATCAGGCAAAAGAAAGGAATAAAGTGTATTCAATTAGGAAAAGAGGGAGTCAAATTGTCCGTCTTTGCAGATGACATGATTGTATATTTAGAAAACCCCATCATCTCAGCCCAAAATCTCCTCAAGCTGATAAGCAACTTCAGCAAAATCTCAGGATACAAAATCAATGTGCAAAAATCACAACCATTCCTATACACCAATAACAGACAGACAGAGAGCCAAATCATGAGTGAACTCCCATTCACAATTGCTTCAAAGAGAATAAAATACCTAGGAATCCACCAAGGGATGTGAAGGACCTCTTCAAGGACAGCTACAAACCACTGCTCAACAAAATAAAAGAGGACACAAACAAATGGAAGAACATTCCATGCTCATGGATATAAAGAATCAATATCGTGAAAATGGCCATATTGCCCAAGGTAATTTATAGATTCAATGCCATCCCCATCAAGCTACCAATGACTTTCTTCACAGGATTGGAAAAAACTACTTTAAAGTTCGTATGGAACCAAAAAAGAGCCCGCATTGCCAAGACAATCCTAAGCAAAAAGAACAAAGCTGGAGGCATCATGCTACCTGACTTCAAACTATACTACAAGGATACAGTAACCAAAACAGCATGGTACTGGTACCAAAACAGAGAGATAGACCAATGCAACAGAACAGAGGTCTAAGCAATAACACCACACATCTACAACCATCTGATCTTTGACAAACCTGACAAAAACAAGAAATGGGGAAAGGATACCCTATTTAATAAATTGTGCTGGGAAAACTGGGTAGCCATATGTAGAAAGCTGAAACTGGATCCCTTCCTTACACATTATACAAAAATTAATTCAAGATGGATTGAAGACTTAAATGTTCGATCTACAACCATAAAAACCCTAGAAGAAAACCTAGGCAATACCATTCAGGACACAGGCATGGGAAAGGACTTCATGACTAAAACACCAAAAGCAGTGGCAACAAAAGCCAAAATTGACAAATGGGATCTCATTAAACTAAAGAGCTTCTGCACAGCAAAAGAAACTACCATCAGAGTGAACAGGCAACCTACAGAATGGTAGAAAAATTTTGCAATCTACCCATCTGACAAAGGGCTAATATCCAGAATCTACAAAGAAGTTAATCAAATTTACAAGAAAAAAACAACCCCATCAAAAAGTGGGCAAAGGATATGAACAGACACTTCTCAAAAGAAGACATTTATGCAGCCAACAGACACATGAAAAAATGCTCATCGTCACTGGTCATCAGATAAATGCAAATCAAAACCACAATGAGATACCATCTCACACCAGTTAGAATGGCGATCATTAAAAAGTCAGGAAACAACAGATGCTGGAGAGGATGTGGAGAAATAGGAATGCTTTTACACTGTTGTTGGGAGTGTAAACTAGTTCAACCATTGTGGAAGACAGTGTGGTGATTCCTGAAGGATCTGGAACTAGAAATACCAGTTGACCCAGCAATCCCATTACTGGGTATACACCCAAAGGATTATAAATCATGCTACTATAAAGACACATGCACACGTATGTTTATTGCGGCACTATTCACAATAGCAAAAACTTGGAACAAACCCAAATGTCCATCAATGATAGGCTGGATTAAGAAAATGTGGCACATATACACCATGGAATACTATGCAGCCATAAAAAAGGATGAGTAAATGTCCTTTGTAGTGACGTGGATGAAGGTGGAAACCATCATTCTGATCAAACCATCACAAGGACAGAAAACCAATCACCGCATATCCTCACTCATAGGTGGCAACTGAACAATGAGAACACTTGGAAACAGGGCGGGGAACATCACACATGGGGGCCTGTCATGGGGTGGGGGCAGGGGGAGGTATAGCATTAGGAGAAATACCTAATGTAAATGACAAGTTAATGGGTGCAGCAAACCAACATGGCACATATATCCCTATGTATCAAACCCGCACATCGTGAACATGTGCCCTAGAACTTGAAGTATAATAATAATAAAATTAAAAAAAATTCAAGAATAAAATAGATTCAGATTCTGCAATATCCATTGCTATCTGAACTTTCTCTTCAAACTATGTGAACTCAAGAACTAAATAGATTTGAATAAGAAGTGGAGAAAAAAAATAAAAAGAACAAAGCGTCTTCAGGGAGGTCATTCCAAGGCTGGAGGATGAAGGCATTAGGAGGGGGCTTGCAGGATCAAAAGCCAGTGGAAAAGAGTACCTTAGGAGGTCTGAATGGAAAATCTAATGATGAATTGTTAGTAACTTATGCTTATATAGCACTTTACAGTTTACACAGTCCTTTTAATGGTGCAAAGGAAGGCAACAGGAGCTGGTGGTGAATGGTGCTGGGGTTTTCAGCACTAGAGCTGTACAAACCATTCCTGACTTCTTGTAACTTGAGGGATATAAACCACTCGCTTTGTTTAACCACCATAGCCAACTATCTCTTACATGCAGGCAAATGCAATTCTAACTTACACAAATGATTAAATAATTTATAAAATTCCTAAGGGGGAGAGTGTTGTAAGATTTTATAGAACTGTGACAGAGTAAACAAAAGCATAGGGTCAGAAAAAGTCACAAAGCAAAGGAAATGCTGGCATATATGCTGGTGATAGGGCCGTGGAGAGTGGTCATTGTCACAGGGAGAATGTGAATAGTGAGGAAGAGAAAAGGGCCAAGGCAAAAACCCAAGGAAAGCTGAATCTTGGAGGTGGGTAGGGCCAGGGAAGAGCGGGCAGAGGAGGAAAAGAAGGAATGGCAAGACACCCAGGAAGAAACCAGCAGTAGGGTCACTGGCTGGAGAAGGAAGGCCACATATGCTGTGTTAACATATTTGAAGTTTCCTTATGGAAAAGGGATTAAACTTGTTTTTTGTTTGTTTGTTTGTTTGTTGTTTTTTGAGACGGAGTTTTGCTCTTGTTGCCCAGACTGGAGTGCAATGGCGCGATCTCGGCTCACCGCAACCTCCACCTCCCAGGTTCAAGCAATTCTCCTGCCTCAGCCTCCTGTGTAGCTGGGATTACATAAACTTGTTTTATATAAAAAGTAGGTAACAAGTATTTATCTAATATGAAAGGTAAAACAAAGCACAGTGGGTGAAGATGCAGGTAGGGGAATCTATTTCAATTCAATGTAGAAGTAGTAGTTCTTGTCTGTCAGGATGCCTTCACCTTTCCAGCTTCTTCTGTTAACAACCTGGTACTTGGTTATAGGAATGGGCAAGAGGCTGGGTGCGGGTGGCTCACGCCTGTAATCCCAGCATTTTGGGAGGCAGAGACAGGTGGATCACTTAAGGTCAGGAGTTTGGGACCAGCCTGGCAACATGGTGAAACCTGGTCTCTACTCAAAATACAAAAATTATCTGGGCATGGTGGCGCATGCCTGTAATCCCAGCTATTGGGAGGCTGAGGCATGAGAATCACTTGAATCTGGGAGGTAGAGGCTGCAGTGAGCCAAGATCATGCAACTGCACTCTAGCCTGGGCGAGAGAGTAAGATTCTGTCTCAAAACAACAACAACAAAAAAAATGGGCAAGGTCCCAGGTTGAATGAATAATATTATTCCATCCATCTGGCCACAGTGGCTGGTCCACGGATGGACATATGGCCCCAGCCAGGACAATCAGGATCCTTAGCCAAATACTTTCTAACTGGACTAGTCTTTTCTTCTCTTTTGGTTGCTGAATTTTTTGGCTATGGGCCCAGAACAGTTTGAGGGCATGCTCCCTGCTGCACAGGGAAAGTTCATCTGCAGAAGGCCTTCAACACAAGTGTTCATAGCATGAATTGGTTATGAGGTGATTGATCGATTAGAAAACATGATCTGTGTGATATTCCAACTGCTATTATTATACCCTCATCTAAAACTAGCAAGTAGAGCAGGAAAAACATAGTTGGAAACAACACCAGCTGCAATGTCTGAGTGACCTCATGCTTTGTTTATCAAAGCACTGGGTGATAACGTTGATAAGAATGTGTACGAGTTGTTCTAATGATAAGGGTGGTGGAGATGGTAAAAGAAGGGTCATCACTCTTGAGAAAGAGCCATATATAATGTAGAAATGGAAGACAATTAAAAGCCTAGAAACCCTTAGATTCAGACTAGGTTAATATTAAATGGTGAGAAGTGTTGGAATAATAAAATACAGATCACTATATAATAAACTTCTCTATGAGAAAAGGAGGAATCCTAAGGAAGACTAAAGAGGTCAGGGAAGGGCCTTATTTAAATTGAAATCGATTAGATAACTCATACGAAATGACTTTTTTTTCTAGGTCATATCTGTCAAATGACAGCAATTTCATATGATTCTCTTTAATACATAGGCTCTGTCTTTTGTTATGTCAAATGAGAAGCAAGATAGTTTCTGAGATATTAAATGGCTAATTACAAAGTTCCTGTTTAATATCCCAGGAAGGTTTTTTTTTTTTTTTTTTTTTTTTTTTGAGACAGGGTGTTGGCCTGTTACCCAGGTTGAAGTGCGGTGATGCAATCATAGCTCACTGTAACCTCAAACTCCTGTGCTTAAGTGATCCTCCTGCCTCCTGTCCCCCAAAATGCTGGGATTACAGGTGTGAGCTGCCATGACCAGCCCTTGGAAGGTAATATTTAATTGCAACTACATAGTAGGATTTGGGAATGCTTCAAGAAGAGGTATTTGCAATGGGTATTGAAGGCTGTTTGAATTAATGATGGAGATGGAATAGAAAAATATTCCAGATCAAGGACAGTAGCATAAGAGAATGCATGAAGAATAGAAGAGAATGGGTATAGTATTCTACCATATATATAAGAAAGGAAAACAAAGTGCATATTATTTACTTGTATAAATTTTTTAAATTTCTGAATACTCACAAAAAAACTCGTATCAGTGGTTGACTGTTTGGAATGGTGTGGATTCCAGGTGGATAAGGACAGAGGTGGATGGAAGATTAACTACTGGAACTAGAGTTTAAGGTCGCAAAGAGGATTTAGTGGACAGCAGGACTAAGATCTTGTTAGATCAGCAGAATCTTGAATGCTTTCCTATGAGGTTTATAGTTTAGTTTCTTAGTAATGGAGAGCCACTACAGAACTCTAAACACAAGACGGACATAATAAAATCTTCATGGAAGGCTTCAGAGTTTGTTCTGCAACACTAAAGTGCAAGAAATGTTACATTCCTTTGTGTTCCAAAATCAAATCAAATTTGCTTCAGCCCCCATTTGCCAGAGTTGGCAAAAAATCCCAGTCTCATTGGACATGGCAGTGGTGAGGAGGCATTCTTCCCAACCCCTCAACTCTGTTAGAATCATATGAGTTCTGAGAGCTTACGGGTTTCCTAAAGAGGAATCTTTCAGCCTGTGGTCTGAACTTTGCTCTCTCTTCCCACCCTAGGATCAGGACCAGCTACATAATTTGCAGGGCTCAGTATGCAATGAAAACACAGCCCCTTGTTCAAAAATTACTAAGAATTTCAAAATGGTAACAAGTGAGCATTACACCAAACACAGGGCCCTTTGGAGTACAGGGCCCTGTGTGACAGCACAGATCATAGGCCCATGAAGCTGGCCCTGCCTTGAAGGCAGGTAACCTAGGGTGGGACACACTTCTTTGCCAAACTGAGGTCTAGGAGTCTCAGCTGTGTTTTCCCCAAACCTGGTGCTCATTGTGTAGGCCCTGAACTCTTACCTCGTTAACACCAGCTGTGATTCTGCCACCTCCAGAGCACTGCTGCCCTGCTTCTTCAGGCCCTCCTCAATTTTTTTAATCATCTAAGGCTGGGTTCCCTGGAAGGAGAACCTGAAACAAGGATTTGGATTTAATAGTTTATTTGGGAAGTTGACCCAGAAGAAAGAGTGAGAGATAGGGGCAGCCGATGAGGGAAAGAGTGCAAGGCAATGTATAGATATATAAGTGAGCTGGACGCTGCTGACCACTGCTACTAGCGATTACTGCTGGAGTCAGAGGTGAGGCCAAGGGGATTTAAAGCGTTGAAAGTGAGGCACAAAAGGTATCCCTTACAATGCTTCCCAGACTTCAGTGTGCACCAATCACATACGGATCTTGTTAAAATGCAGATTCTGATTCAGTAGGTCTGGGTGGCACCTGAGATTCTGCATTTCTACAAACTCCCAGGTGCTGCTGGTGCTGCTGGTCTGTAGGCCACATTTTGAGCAGCAGGGCATGACACCATTACCTAGATGCACCTCAGCCTCAGCCCTCAGCCTCTCCTCCTGTCTTTCCAAGGGCTCAGACTTGGTATCCAACCTATTAGCACACAGAGACCTGGCTGCCAAGGATGGGGAAGGAGGCAGAGTTCCCTTTCTGTCTACAAGCTAGAAGACACATGATACTTAATTTCCTCATCAGGTTACCGGGACAGGTCTGTTTTGTAAAGATAACACAGGTGGCACTATGAGGCATGAAAAAGAACCACAGAGAGAGAGAGAAGGGCAGTTATAATCAGACAAGCTGATGAAGGCTGAATTGGGGCCCTTTGGGGATTAGAATGGAAGCAACCAGAGAGACTTTCCAGGAGTTGATTCAGTTGGCTGAGAAAGCCAACTGGATGTTAGCAGGAAAGTGAGAAGGAACAAAGTTCCAGAGTTTTGACCCTGGGATGTGGTTGGAATGATGAGGGTGCTATTACCAGAAGCAGATGGAGAGCAGCAACAGCTTGTGGGAGGAAAGGAATTCAGTTTTAGCCACATTAGGTTTTAGGAGCTGTATATCCATATATCTAGGACAAGTCCTAGGCATCTATCTAGGCAAGAAGAAATCAAATCAAAATGGTAAAAGAAATACAATAATGGGCATCAAATGAGTTCAGATATGAAGTACAAAGGTTTTCTAGAAATAAGAATGTGAGGCCAGGCACAGTGGCTCACGCCTGTAATCCCAACACTTTGGGAGGCCGAGGCAGGTGGATCACCTGATGTCAGGAGTTCGAGACCAGCCTGACCAACATGGTGAAACCCTGTCGCTACTACAAATACAAAAATTAGCCGGGCGTGGTGGCAGGTGCCTGTAATCCCAGCTACTTGGGAGGCTGAGGCAGGAGAATTGCTTGAACCCAGGAGGCGGAGGATGCAGTGAGCTGAGATCGTGCCATTGCACTCCAGCCTGGGGGACTACAGCGAGACTTTGTCTCAAAAAAAAAAAAAAAAGAAAAGAAAGAAAGAAATAAGAATGTGAGGACAAATGTTCACTGAGTGGAAGAAAACTAAAATAATGTAGTGTGGAGAGAGCTGTTTCGGTGGCATAGGGTAATGCTACTCAGAAGTCTAGGGGAAATAAAAAAAAACCTTTGCTTATAAGCAGGTATGTAGCATTTTCTTCTATAACAACCCATGAAAAATCTTTTGGAAAATCTTTGTGCAAAGCTTCCAAGAAAGCCGATCTGGTCCTTGCCATTGTCTGCTTTGTTGTTAAATATAGAATCTGAGGCTCTGGACTTGCTCATCTGGTATCTTTTATGAGTACTGCTTGTACATAAAATATTCTTCTGTGTCCCATTTAGTGTAGTCAAATGAATATATTTAGGCATGCGAGGTTTTTTTCCCTTAGGGCTTTTTTTAAACTGACAATTTTATGAGGAAAAAATTCATACCTATAAAACAACCTGCTACAGCTTTTTTGGATGTTTCTCCAATCCTTATCAGTGTAAACATATATGATGTACATCTTCACTTTAAGATTGGCTGTGAATCATTGGTGTGTAGACTGTTTAATGACCACATATTCCTCCCATCCCTTTTCTTATCCCCCTTCACCCTAGCTTCACCTCAGCCTCAACCCTCAGCCTCTCCTGCTGTCTCTCCAAGGGCTCAGACTTGGTGCCCAACCTATTAGCACACAGAGCCCTGGCTGCCAAGGATGGGAAAGGAGGCAGAGTTTCCTTTCTGTCTGCAACCTAGAAGACACATGGTACTTAATTTCCTCATCAGGTTACCTGGACAGGTCTGTTTTGTAAAGATAATACAGGTGGTAGTATGAGGCATGCCACCTAGAGGTGAAGTTGATTGCGTCTCCTCTTGAATCTCTGTTGGTCTTATGAACGGCTTTGCCCAACAGATTGTAGTTTCTGCTCTTGCCCTCCTGCAATGCTGCTGTCGTCATGTGAAGGAGCTTGGAATAGCCTCCTTGCTATGACAGACCATGTGGAGACAGAAAGGCCCACTTTCAAACACCAGACATGTGAGCAAGGCCTTTTTATACCATCCAACTTGAGTTGAGCTACTAGATGACTATAGTCACAAGAGTAAACCCAGACCAGGCCAACCAAGAGACCATTTAGCTGAGCCCAGCCCAAATTGCTGACCCACAGAATTGTGGGTAAATAAAATGGTTCTTGTTTTAAGTCATTAACTTTTAGGTAGTTTGTACATAATAATAGATAACTGATATAATTTGGTATCTGATATTTGCATTCTGATTTTGGAATCAACATTAATTTTTATATAATTTTTCATGTATTGAATAAGTTGTAAGATAATTTAAAAAGACCATACACAGTTCTATTATATTATCTTACCATACTTTACTTAAACTTTTCGCAATAATTGGACTTTTGGTTTATATAGAGTTTTTCATTTTTATGGATAATATTGTTCTAAACGTATTTGTACAAATGGTTTGTAAATTCTTTCCTGTTGATTTCTTAGAAAAATTTCTTACCAAAAGTGAATTAGTAGAGGAAAGAATGCCAAGTGTTAACTCTCTTTACATATTACTTGACTGCTTTCCAAAAGATTTTTATCAATTTATAGGGCAGCCAGCTGTGTACCTGTCTCCCTGTGCCCCCTCAGCAATTTTTTTTAATTTAGCAATATTTTTTTACCGAGGGGGATGGAGTTTTGCTCTTGTTGCCCAAGCTGGAGTGCAATGGCATGATCTCAGCTCACTGCAACCTCTGCCTCCCGGGTTCAAGCAATTCTTCTGCCTCAGCCTCCCAAGTAGCTGGGATTACAGGCGTGCGCCACCACGCTCGGCTAATTTTTTGTATTGTTAGTAGAAACAGGGTTTCACCATGCTAGCCAGGATGTTCTCAATCTCCTGACCTCATGATCTGCCTGCCTCAGCCTCCCAAAGTTCTGGGATTACAGGCGTGAGCCACCACGCCCTGCCTAATTTAGCAATTTTTAAATTGAGATGTGCTATGATCTGAAAGTTTGTGTCCCCCCAAAATCTGTATATTGAAATCGTAATCCCCAAAATGATGGTATAGGAGGTGGGGGCCTTTGAGAGATGATTAGGTCATGAGGTTAGAGCCTTGTGAATGGGATTAGTGTCCTGATGAAAGTGGCCAGAGAGATACCCCTTGCTATTTCTGCCATGTGAGGTTACAGCCAGAAGATCGTTAACCCTGAGAAAGCAGGCCCCCACCAGACACTGACTCTGCCAGTGCCTTGATCTTGGACTTCCCAGCCTCCAGAATTATGAGAAATAAATTCCTATTGTTTATAATCCACCTAGTTTATGGCATTTTGTTATAGCAACTCAAACGGACTAAAACAGGGTGTAACATATATGTGGCAAAGCATACAAATCTTAATTATATGGCTTGATTAATATCTACAGATAGAGATGGATAGATAGATAAATATACAGGCTCTGTGTAATCACCACCCATATGAAGATTCAAAACATTTCCAGCTCTCCAGAAGTTTCTCTTGTGCCCCTTCCTAGTCAATACCAGCTGCAGAAGTAACCACATTCTGACTTCCACAACCATAGATTAATTTTGCCTAATCTTGAACTTCACATAAATGGAACCATACTCTTGTGTACTCTTGCATGCCTGCCTTCTTTTGCTCATCACTATATCTGTGAAATCCATCCATCTGGTTGTTGCATATGGCAGTGGGTCATTCTTTTCATTACTAAGTGTTACTCCACTAAGTGAGGATGCCACCTTTTCTTTACCCATTCTTCATTTGACGGGCATATGTGTAGTTTTTCTTTTGATGTTATTAAACAATGTTTTTAAAAACTTTTTTCAATTATTTTAATAGCTCAATAGATGTGTGTTGGTGCCTTAGAGGTGATTCATTATTAATATCCTCAATTAGTGTTGGAGTGTAGCAGAGGAGGGACCAGGGACTAGTTTGAATGAGTGGGTGGGGAGCAGATGATAAAGGCTTTGTGAGCCATGCTGAGGAACTTGGACTTTGCAGCATGGACAGAGGGGAGTCACTGAAGGATTTGAAGCAAGAGAGGGAATTTCTCAAATTTGCATTTTAGGGAAATAACTCTGGCAGTGGGAAGGAGAATAGATGATTTGAGGAAAAGCCTGAAGGAGGAAGATTCCTAGGCAGAAGGCTAGGCAATAGCACAGATGAGAGATAAGCTGGGCCTTAGCTAATGTAGTGGCAACAGAACTAGTATCTGATGGGACTTGGGAGATGAGAAGGCAGGAGGCAGTAACTAAGGGTTTCTGCTGGGTAACTACGGTGGTGATAGGGTGGTGATACAGGCATGGACTAAAATAAGAAGTGAGGTTGGGGAGCAGGAAGAGACAATACATTGAGAAAGATGCCAAGGTTATCTTGGATATGTTGAATTTAAGATATCTGTGGCATGTCCAGGTGGAGCTACATAACGGCTGGATATGTAGCTCCAGAATTTGGGAAAGCAGTCCTATTAGAGATAGAGATTTCATCAGCACATGGTAGAAAATCCTGGAAGGTTGATGAGGTTAGTTAGAAAATCACTGAGGGCAAGAAGGTAGGCAGTGAAAAGGGAAGCCAACGAAGGAGGTAACAGGAAAGAAGTGGGTCTTAGAAGTCCAGGGGAGAAAATTTTAAAAAGGAAGTACCCACAGAGTGGGAGCCAGATTGCAGGGAGTTGAGGAGATGGAAGCAAGTCATTAGATTTCCTTTTTCAGAAACTGAGCTGCAGATAAGAAGAAAAATGATGGTGTCACGGCCGAGATCAACATCTTCTTCTTTTTTTCTTTTTTTTTGACCCAGGGTCTGTGTTGCCCAGGCTGAAGTGCAGTAGTGGCACAATCACAGCTCACTGCAGCCTTGACCTCCTGGGCTCAGGTGATCCTCCCATCTCCCACCTCAGGCTCCCAAGTAGCCAGGACTATAGGCACACCACACCATGCCAGCTGATTTTTTACTTTTTGTAGAGATGGGGTCTCGCTATGCTGCCCAGCCTGCAAGATCAACTTTTTTGTTTGTTTATTTTTTAAGCAATAGAGATATGAACATGTTTATAGGATGTGGAGAATAAAAGACTGAACAAGTATGGAAGGGAGACAATAATTGATGGAATGAGATCCTGGAGTTGGGAGCAGGGGGTGGGGATTATGCATAGAGATAGAGGGATTGAATAGGTAGAAGAGGCCATTTTATCCTCTGAGATGGGGGAAACCCCCAATAGAAAATGAAAATCATCAATCTGTGGAAATACTACCCTACTCAGTGGTGTGGTTTGCCCCAGAAGCTTTCAGCAACTTGGGTATAGGGGATTGTCTGGTTCTGCTACTGTTGATCACTGAGATAGCTTCTAGTTCTTCAATATTTTAGTAATGGAAAAAATTTATTTTTCATCACTTCCTCTCTTTCCTAAAAAATATAACATTACTAATAGAATTGAACACCTGATCACATTTCTTTCCTCTTCTTTGAGGTAACCACTATTCTGAAGTAGCAATGGTGTTCTCTACAGCTAATGTTATATTTTCACTAAGCCTGTAGTACCCATAACTAATATAAAGCATTGTTTTATATGCTTTAAGACTGTAAAAAAAATTGGTATCCTACTATATTATTCTGCAACTTGCTTTTATTCATTATCATATTTTTTGAAAATTATCTATATTAACTCATGAGGATAAAATCAGCTCCAATGTATTTTAGCTGCTGTGTTTTTTATTTTCAAAAAATGCCAATTTATTTATCAGTTCTCCAATTTTGTTTCCAGTGTTTCATTATTACAAAAAATGAACATATACAAAGCTTTCTTTGTGATAATGATTTCTTTTCTTTCTTTCTTTCTTTCTTTGTTTCTTTTTTTTTTTTTTTTAAGATGGAGTCTCACTCTGTTGCCCAGGCTGGAGTGCAGTGGCCCAATCTTGGCTTACTACAACCTCCACCTCCCAGGTTCAAGCGATTCTCCTGCCTCAGCCTCCTGAGAAGCTAGGACTATAGGTGTGTGCCACCAGGCCTGGCTAATTTTTTGTATTTTTAGTACAAACGGGGTTTCACTGTGTTAGCCAGGATGGTCTCAATCTCCTGACCTTGTGATCCGCCTGCCTCAGCCTCCCAAAGTGCTGAGATTACAGGCGTGAACCACCACGCCCGGCCATGATGATGATTTTCACATTAAAAGAATGTGTATCCTTTTTTTTTAGGCAGTATTTTGTGTAAACATCAATGAAATCAAGTTGCTCAGTAGTGTTGCTGAAATCTCTTGCGTCTTTACTAACTTTGTCTGTTCTATCAATTACTGAGAGAAGGGTATTAAACTGTTCAAGCATGGTTGTGGGTTTGTCTGTTTCTCCCTTTAGTTCTGTAGGTTTTGCTTTATATACTTGAAACTTTATTACTATATGTATACACATGTATAAGATTATGTCTTATTGATGAATTGACTCTTTTATCATTAAAATGTCCTCCTTTTTTTAAACTTTAAACTCACAACTACACTTAGAATATGTCTTCTTATTTCTG
Source organism: Homo sapiens (assembly GCF_000001405.40). Taxonomy (NCBI): domain Eukaryota; kingdom Metazoa; phylum Chordata; class Mammalia; order Primates; family Hominidae; genus Homo; species Homo sapiens. The sequence continues at coordinate 86,680,517 of NC_000002.12, forward strand.
TTCATAATCCTTAACTTGAAGTCTATTTTGTCTAATATTAATATAGCCACTCCAGTATTCTTATGATAGTAAGTGTTTGCTTGGTACATTTTTGCTATCCCTTTACTTTCATCCTCCACCCTTCACAGGATGGAGAGCACAGCTGAGCAGGTGCAGGAGCTGGGGCGAGTACTTCTGGGTGTGGACAGGAGCAAAACTTTGTGTGGGCCCCGCAGCAGCATCTAGTAGGGAGTACCCATGACTCTTGAAACCCCAGAAGGAATGTTACAGGCAGCGCTCTTTTAGCTTTTCCATCCGCAGATGGCTTAAGTGTTTAACAGCTCAGTGGACCCTCTGCCTTTTCACAAGGGTAGTGGGTCACTGTTATAGGCTTCTGTATCCCAAGCTCTTGTCCAGAGTCAAGGAAAAATCAGATCGCATGGATGAATTGACGGATAGTAAATATAGGGGATTTTCTTGCTGATGGAAGTGGCTCTCAGTGGGAAAGGGAACTACAAAGGGGATGGAGCAGGAAGGTATTCTTCCCGGGATGTCCAGCTGTCTCTGGCCAGACTCTTCTCCTAAGTCCTGCTGTCAAGCTGTCCCTCTGAAGTCAAGAGACTTCTCTAACGTTCAGCTGCTTCTTCTCCCTTTCTCTGCTCTCTGCCAGTGGAGCCTGGGGTTTTCATAGGTACAGGATGTGGGGTGGAGTGGGCCAGGGGTGGTTTTGGAAAAGGTGACATTCAAGCGGGGAAAATGGGGATGGAAAGTTCTCATTCGGGGCTGTGGTTCCAGACTTCAGGGTGTGGCCCTCACCAGGGACCCCACTCTTTTCTGCCTAGAATTTCTCTGCCTCCTGTCCGAATCAATGATCACGCCACTGCACTCCAGCCTGGGTGACAAAGAAAGATCCTGATTTAAAATAAAAAGAAAGAAAAGAAAAAGAAAGCGAGAAAGGAAGGATTCTAAATAGCAAATAAATTTTCATCTTCCCTGATGACAATAAATTGTTCCTGTAAACTAATCAGAATATGTAATGTTTATGGATTTTTTTTTTTTTCCAAGACAGAATCTTGCTCTGTCATCCAGGCTGCAGTGCAGCGGCACGATCTCGGCTCACTGCAACCTTTGCCTCCAGGGTTCAAGCGATTCTCGTGTCTCAGCCTCCCAGGGAGCTGGGATTACAGGCACTTGCCACCACGCCTCGCCAAGTTTTGTATTTTAGTAGAGTCGGGGGTTTCACCATTTTGGCCAGGCTGGTCTCAAACTCCTGATGTCAAGTGATCTGCCCACCTCAGCCTCCCAAATTGCTGGGATCAGAGATGTGAGCCACCGCACCCAGCCTTAATGTTTATGTTTTAAATAAATATGTTCAAAATTCATTTAGAGTGCTCTGGAAAACCTCTAAGTAGGTTAGAAAATCCTGTTTAAAAGTTGTTTGCTTTTTATATTTAACTATGCAGATGGAGTTTTTAAAAATAATTTTTAAAGCAGTTTTAGTTTTACAATAATTGATAGGCTTAATTTTTTTTAAAGCAGTTTTAGTTTTACAGAAAAGCTGAGCAGAAAGTACAGGGAACTCTCATATTCTTCCCTTCTCTCTGCACCCACTTTGGTCCTCATTTCCCCTATTATTAATGCCTTACATTAGAAGTTTTATAGTTTTGCATTTTACATGTAGTTTTGCATTTTACATGAAGTTTTATAGTTTTGCATTTTACATAGTACATTTTACTATGATCCATTTTGAGTTAATTTTTGTGAAAGATGTAAGGCATGTGTCTACATTCATTTTTTTCCCATGTGAATGTCCAATTGTTTCAGTATCATTTGCTGAAGACTGTCCTTTCTTCGTTGAATTGCCTTTGCTTGTCTGTCAAAGATCAGTTGGCTATATTTGTGTGTTTCTTTCTGGCCTCTCTATTCTGTTCCATTAATCTATTTGTCTATTCTTTCACCAATACCACACTGTCTTGATTACTGTACAGTAAGTCTTGAAGTTTTGCAGCGTCAGTTCTCTGACTTTTTCTCGTCAATATTGTGTTGGCTATTCTGGGTCTTTTGCTTTTCCATATTAACCTTAGAATCTGTTAGTCAATATCTACAAAACGACTTGTAATTTTTATTGGTATTGCGTTAAATGTATAGATCATGTTGTAAAGAACTGACATTTTAACAATATTGAGTTTCCTATCCATGATTCTTTCATGACAGTTTAATAGTGTTCCTTATATAGCTCTTGTACATATTTTGCTAAATTTATACCTAAGTATTTCTCTTTTTCTTTCAGGGTGCTAATGTAAATGATGTTGTGTCTTTATTTTTATTTTTTATTTTCTTTCTTAAGCTAAGGACGCTACTGAAGATGTGTTATCAATTTCAAATTCCAATAGGTCATTGCTGGTATAGAGGAAAGCAACTGACTTTGTATATTAACCTTGTATCCTACAACTTTGCTATAAGTGCGTATCAGCTCCAGGAATTAGTTGCCTTTTTTGTTTGTTTTGTCAATTCTTTGGGATTTTCTACATAGAAAATCATCATCTGTAAACAAAGACAGTTTTATTTCTTCCTTCTTGATCTGTATATCTTTCGTTTTTTTTTGAGACGGAGTCTTACTCTGTTGCCCAGGCTGGAGTGCAGTGGGGTGATCTCGGCTCACTGCAACCTCTGCCTCCTGGGTTCAAGTGATTCTCCTGTCTCAGCCTCCCGAGTAGCTGGGATTATAGGCACACACCGTCATGCCCGGCTAATTTTTTTGTATTTCAGTAGAGACGGGGTTTCACCATGTTGCCCAGGCTGGTCTCGAACTCCTGAGCTCAGGCAATCCACCCACCTCAGCCTCCCAAAGTGTTGGGATTACAGGCGTGAGCCACCGCGACTGGCCAATCTGTATATCTTTTATTTCCTTGTCTTGTCTTATTGTGTTAGCCATGACTCTCAGAATGATGTTGAATAAGACTGGTGAAAGTATACTCTTTTGTGTAGCTCCTAATTTTAGGAAGAAAGCATCATCAGTACCTATGACATTAGCTGTAGGGGTTTTTGTAGATGTTCTTTATCAAACTGAGGAAGTCCCCCTCTACTCCTAGTTTGCTGAGAGTTTTTATGATGAATGGGTGATGGATTTTGTCAAATTCTCTTTCTGTATTTGATCATATGATTTATCTTCTTTAGTGTCTTGGTGTAATAACTTACATTAATTCATCTCTTCTCAGCCTTTTGGCTAAGATCAAATGTAGTCATATTAATTGATTTTGCATATTAGTCTTGTATACCTAAAATAAATCCCACTTGGTCATGGTGTATAATTCTTTTTAGATTTGTTGAATTTTATTTGTTAATATTTTGTTGAGGACTTTTGTATCTATATTCATGAGAGATATTGGTCTGTAGTTGTTTTTTCTTGTAATATCTTTGGTTTTAGTATTAGGGTAATGCTGTCCTCAAAGAATGTTAGAATGTATTCCCTCTGCTTCTATTTCCTGGAAGAGACTATAGAGAATTGTTATAATTTACTTCTTAAATATTTGGTAGAATTCACCAGTGAATCCATCTGAGCCTGGTACATTCTGTCTTGGAAAGTTATTAATTATTGATTCAATTTATTTAGTAGATACAGGCCTATTTATATCATCTATTTCTCCTTGTGAGAGTTTCGGTAGATTGTCTTTTAAGGAACTGGTCTACTTCATCTAGATTATCAAATTTGTGGGCATATAATTATTTATCACATTCTTTTATTACGCTTTTAATGTTCATAGTGATATGCCTTCTTTCATTTCTGATATTAGTAATTTGTGTCTCCTATTTTTATTCATTAGTTTGAGTAAAGATTTATAAATTTCACTGATCTTTGCAAAGAAACAGTTTTGGGTTGATTGATTCTTTTTCTATTGATTTCCTGTTTTCAATTTCGATGTTTTCTGCCCTGATTTTTATAATTTCTCTTTTTCTGCTTATGTTTAATTTAATTTACTCCTCCTTTTCTTCCTTCCTCCCTCCCTTCCTTCCTTTTTTTTTTTTTTTTTTTTTTTGGCATTTTGCTCTTGTTGCCCAGACTGTAGTGCAATGGTGCGATCTCAGCTCACCGCAACCTCTGCCTCCCAGGTTCAAGTGATTTTCCTGCCTCAGCCTCCCGAGTAGCTGGGATTACAGGCATGTGCCACCAAGCCTGGCTAATTTTTTTTTTTTGAGATGGATTCTTGCTCTGTTGCCCAGGCTAGAGTGCAGTGGCACGATCTCGGTTTACTGCAACCTCCACCTCCCAGGGTTCAAGCGATTCTCCTGTCTCAGCCTCCCGAGTAGCTGGGACTGCAGGTGCCTACCACTGTGCCCAGCTAATTTTTTTGTATTTTTAGTAGAGACAGGGTTTCACCATCTGGGCCAGGCTGGTCTCAAACTCCTGACCTTGTCATCCTCCTGCCTCGGCCTCCCAAAGTGCTGGGGTTACAGTGGTGAGCCACCGCGCTCTGCCTATTTTGTATTTTTTTTAGTAGAGACGGGGTTCCTCCATGTTGGTCAGGCTGGTCTCGAATTCCCGACCTCAGGTGATCCCCCAGCCTCAGCCTCCCAAAGTGCTAGGATTACAGGCATCAGCCATGACGCCTGGCCAATTTGCACCTCCTTTTCTAGTTTCCTGAGACAGAAACTTAAGTGATTAATTTTAGGTCTTTTTTATTTTCCTATATAAGCATTTAATGGTATAAATTTTCCTTTAAGCACTGCTTTCACTGCATCTGACAAATTTTGATAAGTCATAATTTCATTTTTATTGAGTTAAAATATTTTAAAATTTCACTTCTCTTGAGGCTTCTTCCTTGACCTACTGATTATTTAGAAATGTGTAGTTTAATTGCCAAATATTTTTGGATTTTCGAGCTATCTTTCTGTTATTATTTCTAGTTTAATCCCATTGTCAAGATTTGTTTTATCACCCAGAATGTGGTCTCTCTTGGTGAATGTTCCATGTGAGCTTGGGAAGAATGTGTATTTTGTTGCTGTTGGATGAAGTATTTTATAAATGTCAATTAGATTCAGTTGATTGATGGTGCTGTTTATGTTTAGTTCAACTATATAATTACTGATTTCATGCCTACTGGATCTGTCAACTACTAATAGAGGGGTGTTGAAGTCTCTAAGTATTATAGTGTATTCATCAATTTCTCCTTGCAGTTCTATCAGTTTCACTGCATGTATTTTGACACTCTTGTTAGGTATGTACACATTAAGGATTGTTATATTTTCTTGGAGATTTTTAAAATCTTGTACTGCTCCTCTGTATCCCTGAGAATTTCCCTTGTGCTAAATTCTTTGTCTGAAATTAATGTAGAACTCCGGTTTTCTTTTGACTAGTATTAGCATGGCATAATTCTTTAAGTTTTTATTTTTATTCTATTTGCATCTTTATATTTAAAATGGGTTTCTTTTAAACAAAATTTAGTTAGGCCTTTTTTTTTCTAATTTTTTCATCTTGTGGGGACTTGTTTTTTTTAACCACTCTGACAGTCTTTTTTAATTGGTGTACTTAGGCCATTCACATTTAAAGTGAATATTGATATCATTGGATTAATACCTACTGTATTTTAAACTTTTCTATTCATTGCTTTTGTTCTGTTTCTTTTTTTATCTTCCACTCTTTTTCTGCCTTCTCTGTTTTTGTTTTTGTTTTTGTTTTTTTGCCTTCTCTGGTTTTAATTGTGCATTTTAAGATTCCATTTTCTCTTCTCTCATATCAATTATATTTCTTTTTAGTGGTTTCCCTAAAATTTTTAATATACATGTATAACTAATGCAAGCCCACTTTAAAGTAATAGTGTACTGCTTCACAGTACAAGTACCTTATAATGGTTTTCCCAGTGCCTCCCTCCCACGCCTTACAGCATGCGTCCATTCATTTCACTTATTCATAAGCAATGGTCACTGAAAGCATGGATTGTATAGGTTAGAACTAAATTGGTATAGCGAAAATTTCATTTATTTTGTAAATAATTTTTCCCGTGTGGCTGTTATTGTGCTCTACCATTTTATATTTTATTAGTGATCCAGTGATTTTTGAAGACAAGGTATGAGACAGAAGAAAATATTATAGGCCTAGATCCATGGACTCTTCTGATGGGGTTGATGAAGAGTTTTAACCGATATTTATTTATTTATTTATTTATTTATTTATTTATTTATTTATTTATTTTGGGGATAGGGTCTCACTCTGTCGCCCAGGCTAGAGTGCAGCGGTGTAATTATAGCTCACTGTAGCCTCAAACTCCTGGGCTCAAATGATCCTCCTGCCTTAGCCTTCAGAGTAGCTAGGACTACAGGCATGTGCCACCATGCCTTGTTATTTTCTTGTTGTTGTAGAGAAGAGATCTTGCTATGTTGCCCAGGTGTTTTCAAACTACTAGCCTCAACCAATCCTACCATGTTAGCCTCCCAAAGTGCTGGGATTACAGATGAGAGCCACCATGCCCAGTCAAGAATTTTAATCCTTTGAAGCATTTTACTACACCAGACAACAAGGAACTCTGGTAATCCAAATTGTTCCATTCCTTTGTGCATTGTCTGTGGTAAACAACTTACACATCCAGCAATGGCTCTGGCAAAACTGCAAAGACTCTTAACTCCAAAGCACAGACATTTGACAAGTAAAAGGGCAGATTATTTTCGGTGGTTACTGGAACATTGAAAGACAGTAAAGCTTTTGTTAAAAAACAAACAAACAAAAAAAAGTCGTAGTCAGTGAATAGCCTCAGGAAGCAAGCTATTTAGTAGCAGTTATTTAATGTCCAGAAAAGGAAAATGCACACAGTAATGAGAACCTAAATTAGAGTAAATAAAATGCTAGGGCCAGCTCGAGCCCAGGATTGAGTCCAGTTTGGGCAACATAACGAGATGCTGTCTCTAAAAACAAACAAACATAAAATACTAGGACAAGATGTAGCATGCGAAAATGAAAAGTTTTCTCTCTCAATACCATTAGTCAACGTATTGATGATACATGCCATAAACGGAAACAAATGGTTCTCTATGTAGGTTGATGAATCAACAGATTTTACCAATAAATGTCATATTATAACATTAGTGGTTGTTGTTTGAGATGGAATCTCGCTCTGTTGCCCAGGCTGGAGTGCAGTGGTGCGATCTCGTTCACTGCAACCTCAGCCTCCCAGGTCCAAGCGATTCTCCTGCCTCAGCCTCTCAAGTAGCTGGGACTACAGGCACAGGCCACCACACCTGGCTAATTAATATCATAACATTTGTAAGATTTTTAAACAAGGTGGTTTTCAAGACTTTTTTTTTTTCTGGTGCAAAGAGCTGTCCCAAACAAGCAAAATCCCGGATAAATTTTTTTTTTTTTTTTTTTTTTTTTTGAGACGGAGTCTCGCTCTGTCACCCAGGCCGGAGCGCAATGGCGCGATCTCGGCCCACTGCAACCTCCGCCTACCGGGTTCAAGTGATTGTCCTGCCTCAGCCTCCCAAGTAGCTGGGATTACAGGCATGCACCACGACGCCCAGCTAATTTTGTATTTTTAATAGAGACAGGTTTCTCCATTTTGGTCAGGCTGGTCTGAACTGCTGACCTCAGGTGATCCGCCCGCCTCGGCCTCCCAAAGTGCTGGAATTACAGGCGTGAGCCACAGTGCCCGGCCCCGGGTGCATTTAATGTTCTGTCGTTGTATCTGGAATGAAAAGGTCTGATCTGGAAGAAATATGTGGGCATCTATACTGACAGGACTCACCAGTGAACTCCAGGAGCGGCAAAGGGAACACAGGAAATTCTGACTTCGTTCACAACACACTCTTTTCTTCATAGAGAGGTGCTGGTGTCAAAGCCTGTCAAAGAAGAAATTTTAAAAGTCTGGATGATGTGACAAAAATAGTCAACTTTCTTAAATAGAGCTACAGTCTGATCATGTACTGAAGATGAGATTTACTCATCTATCTCTTGACAAACTGGATTTCTATGAAAAAATAGTTTTCTGATATTCACGGGAAAGCAACGAACACCTCGGTGGTTTTTAACTTCTTTTTTTTGAGATGGAGTTTTGCTCTTGTTGCCCAGGCTGGAGTGCAATGGCTCAATTTTGGCTTTTGGCAACCTCTGCCTCCCGGGTTCAAGCAATTCTCCTGCCTCAGCCTCCCGAGTAGCTGGGATTACAGTCATGCGCCACCATGCACGACTAATTTTGTATTTTTAGTAGAGACTTGGATTTCTCCATGTTGGTCAGGCTGGTCTCGAACTCCTGACCTTAGGTGATCCTCCCATCTCGGCATCCCAAAGTGCTGGGATTACAGGCGTGAGCCACCATGCCTTGTTGGTTTTTAACTTCTTAAACTTGTAAATAAACTTTTTCTTGTTTTTGTTTTTTGAGACAAGGTCTCATTCTGTTGCCCAGGCTGGTGCAGTGGCATGATCAGAGCTCACTGCAGCCTCAACTTCCCGGCCTCAGGCCATCCTCCCACCTCAGTCTCATGAGTAGCTCAGACAACACATGCATGCCATCACACCTGGCTATTTTTCTTTCTTTTTTTTTTGCGGAGGCAGGATCGCCTTATATTGCTCAGGCTGGTTTTTCTTCTTTAAGAAGCATTTGAAATTGTCATATTTATGTTGAAAATTGTGTATTTGACAAGCAAATACACAAGCACAAGTTTCAATTAAGGGGTAGAGTCCATTCTTTAGTTTTAGTTTAAAAAAAGTGTTTAATACACTTTTAATACTTTTATATAGACCAATTAAAGAGATCAAGAAAGTAATACATGTATATAATAATTTTGTAATTGCTAGGCCTACATGGGAGTGTGTTAGTCCATTTTGTGTTGCCATAAAGGAATACCTGAGGCTGGGTAATTTATAAAGAGGTTTATTTTGCTCACGGTTCTGCAGGCTATACAAGAAGCATGATGCCAACATCTGCTCCTGGCTAGGCCTTCAGGAAGCTTCCAATCATGGCTGAAGGTGAAGGGGGCCCAGAATGTCACAAAGTGAGAGAGGAAAAGGGAGAGAAGGTGGAGGGCAGTGTTTTCTTAAACAACTAATTCTCGTATAAACTAACAGAGCAAGAACTCATTCATTACCACCAGGACAGCCTCAAACCATTCATGAGGGATCTGCTCCCATGATCCAAACTCCTCCCATTAGGCCCCACCTCCAACTTTATCATATTTCAACATGAAATTTGGAGGGAACAAATATCCAAACCGTATCAGGCAGCCTGATCATGTCACTCAGTAAGGAAACGCTTTTAAACTGTCTTAAAACAGTCTTAGGCCATTTTTATTCATATTGTTTTCTTTGCAGTTTTACTAACTTTCTTTTAACATTTTCAATAAATTTTCATGTTGTAAATAACATTAATTAAAATCAATTTACAACCTTTATATAAATTAAATCAACTCCTTCTACCTTTAGAAAAATTTCATTTTGTCTTAAGCCTGTATAACAAAAATGTATTATTTTTACTATATGAGTTTTAAAATTTTATGAAAAGCCACTAGGGAGATTCATTTCAAGAAAGGTAAGCTAATCTTAACTATCTGATTTTATTTCAGGGACAGATGGTTAAAAAGACATAGCAACCACAGTAGAATCTCATTTAGTAGAAATTTGTGATAAGAGTTTGGGACCTACTTGGATAAGGTAAAAATTGAAGTAGACATAATGTCTTTTTTTGGGAGGAGGAACCACATAAAAAGATAGGCAAATAAGTAAGCCAAAATAAACAGATCTTCAGGAAAAGATATCATTCTCTACTCAAAAGAGCATTGGCAATTATTATTGGATTGTTATATCTACAACTTACTGATCATGCTAATGTACTATGGGCTTAGATAAAATAATTTTTATACAGAGGTCCCCTGAGACCTGGAAATTATTTCAAGAGCTCCTCCAGAGGAGAAAGACTATGCTGGTCAACCTGCCTGTGGGATAAAAAAAATTGCATAGTATCTCCTCATCTCAGTACAAAGTACTGTATAGAGTCTATCACTTAGAATTTTAAAAATATTAATCATGTTCATGACATCCTGTAGCAAATACACTGTAATTTGTAACAATATACAAAAAATAAAAAGTATATGATACTATCTATAAATATACTTTTCATTTTAATAATTATATATAATTTTAGCAAATTATATACATAATACATTAAATTATATATATATAAAATTTCAATAATTTCTTTTTTTTTGAGACAGAGTCTTGCTGTGTCATCAAAGCTGGAGCATAGTGGCATGATTGCAGCTCACTGCTGCCTCGACCTCCTGGACTTAAGAGATCTTCCTGGCTCAGGCTCTTGAGTAGCTGGGACTACAGGCATGTGCCACCATGCCCGGCTAATTCTTATTTTAAAATTTTTAAAATATTTTGTAGAGATAGGGTCTCACTATGTTGTCCAGGCTGGTCTTGAACTCTTGGGCTCAGTGATCTTCCCACTTTGGCCAACCAAAGTGCCAGGATTACAGATGTAAGACACCACACCTGGCCTAATTTTAATAATTTCTTTCTGTACCTCAATAAATCATTTTTCATACATTTAGGGATGCATACACCCACTTTGGAAGCTACTGTTCCAGTCATAGAATTTTATCATTAACACTACCAACTAACCTCATTTGATTAAGATTTATTGACCATTCCACCCCACAACAACAGAATGTAAATTCTTTTCAAGTGACAATGGGAATATTTATTAAAATATAGCATATTTTGGGCCATAAAGCAAGTGTCAATAAGCTAAAAAGAATTTAAGTCACGTATAGTATGTTCTCTGACAACGATGGAAATAAATTAGAAATCAATGACTGCTGAAAAATTGCTGGGTAGACCCCAAATATTAGGGAACTAAATAACAGACTTCTAAATAATCAGTGGGCCAAGAAGAAATCGAAAGAGAAATGAGAGTATTTTAAATGGAGTGAAAATGAAAATCCAATATATCAAAATGTCTGGGATGCCCTTGAAGCAGCACTTAAGGAAAATTTTACAACACAAAACACTTATGTTAGAATAGAAAAAAAGGTCTCAAATCAGTGACTTCAGCTTCCATGTTAAGACACCAGAAAAAGAAGATTAAACTCAACATGCACAGAAAAAAGAAAATAATAAAGATTACAGCAAAAATAATGAAATAAAAATCAGAAAAACAACAGCAAAAGTCTGTGAAACCAAAACTGCTTCTTTGAAAAAATAAATCAATAAAATTAATAGACCTCTAGCTAAGGTGATTAGGAAAAAAAGATAGAAGATGCAAATTAACAATATCAGTAATGTGGGATGCAACATCACTGCAAGTTATACAGATATTAAAAGATAATAATGGAATATTATGAATGACTCTACACCAACGAATTCAACAAGTTAGAGCAAATTCTTTGAAAGGAACAAAATACCAAAGCTCACTCAAGCGGAAATAGCCTAAATAGTCCTATACTTATTTTAAACATTTAATTTGTAGTTAAAGGCTTTGTCACAAAAGACTCCATATCCAGATGGCTTGCTGCTCTGATGAAGTCTACAAAATCACAAAAATAAAATAAGACTAATTCTACTGAAATTCTTTTAGAAAATTGAAAAGTAGGGAATATTGCAATGAATTCCATAAATGAAGGATTAACCTGATACCAAAAAGCAGACAAAGAAAAGCAAACTACAGACCAATATTCCTCATGAGCACAGATGCAAAAATTCTAAACAAAATATTAGCAAATTTAATTCAACAATATATAAAAAGGATAATGTGGCTGGGAAGGGTGGCTCACGCCTGTAATCCCAACACTTTTGGAGGCTGAGGTGGATGGATCATGAGGTCAGGAGTTCAAAACCAGCCTGGCCAATGTGGTGACACCCCATCTTTACCAAAAATACAAAAAAAATTAGCCGGACATGGTGGCTCACGCTTGTAGTCCCAGCTACTCGGGAGGCTGAGGCAGAAGAATTGCTTGAACCCACAAGGTGGAGGTTGCAGTGAGCCAAGATGGTGCCACAGCACTCCAGCCTGGGTCACAGAGTGAGACTCCATCTCAAAAAAAAAAAAAAAAAAAAAAAAAAAGGATAATGCATCATGACCAAAGTGGGGTTTATTCTAAGAATGCAAGGCTGGTTTGAAATCCAGAAGCCAATCAAGGCCAGGTGCAGTGGCTCATGCCTGTAATTCTAGCACTTTGGGAGGCCAAGACAGGGGGATCACTTCAGCCCAAGAGTTCAAGAACAGCCTGGGCAACATAATGAGCCCCTGTCTTGACCAAAAAATAAAATAAAATAAAAAAAAGCCAGCTGTGCTGGCACTTGCCTATAGTCCTAGGTACTTGGGAGGCTGAAGTGGGAGGATCACTTGAGCCAGGGAGGTCAAAAGTGCAGTAAGCCATGATTTCACTACTGCACTCCAGCTTGGGTGACAGTGAGAAGCTGTCTCTTAAAAACAAACAAACAAAAACCAAAAACCAATCAATGTAATTTCCTATATTAACAAGCCAAAAAGAAAAAACATATGATCTTCTCAATAGATGAAGAAAATTCATTTAGCAAAACTCAACAACAATTTCTGATAAAAACTCTAAGCAAATTACTATTAGAACATCCTGAACTTGATAAAGGGCATCTAAAAAAATTACAGTTACCATTATACCTACTAGCAAAAACCTAAATGCTTTCTTCCTAACATCAGGAACAGATAAGGATGTTTATTTTCACCACTGCTATTCAATATGGCACTGGAGATTACAACCAGTGCAATCAGACAAGAAAAAGAAGTAAAGGGCATCCAGACTGAAAAGGAAGAAGTAAAATTGTTATTATTTGAAGACAACATGATCATTACGGAAAATTCAAAGGAATTTGCAAAACAGGTAGATGTTAGAAGTGACAAGTGATTAGAAGTAGGTTTAACAAGGTTATAGGATACAAGGTCAAAATACAAAATTCAATTGTATTTCCATACACTATTGAAGAACAATTTGAAACTGAAAAAAATTTAAAAGCCACACATATGATTGCATAAAAAATTAAATACTTAATGATGACTGAAAACTACAAAATATTGCCAAAAGAAATTAAAGAAGACCTAAATGGAGAAACACACTTTGTTCATGGATTGGAAGACTCAACATTAAGATGTCAACTGTCCCCAAATTGATTTATATATTCAATGCAATCCCAATTAAAATCTCAATAGGCTTTTTGTAAAAATTGACAAATTGATTATTAAATTCAAATGGAAATACAAAGTACCTAGAATAGCCAAAACAACTTTTACAAAAGAAGAACAAAATTAAAGAACTTTCATTACATGATTCCAAGGCACTATAAAACTACAGTAATCGAGACAGTATGGAATTGGCATTAAGACAGACAAATAGATAAATGGAAAGATGGTGGATCCCAGAAATAAACCCACATATATGTAAACAACTGATGTTTTCATAAACTTTAAAGGCAATTCTATTTTTTTCAACAAATTTTACTGGAACAATTGGATAGCCATATCCCCCCCCAAAAAAAAAGAAAAAAAGAAAATGAACTTTGATCCATACCACACAGTACACAAAAAAATTAATTCAAACTGGATCACAAACCTAAATGTAAAATCTAAAAGTATAAATGTTCTAGAAGAAAACACAGGAGAAAGTCTTTGTGACCCTGGTTTGGTCAATGGTTTCTTAGAAACAATACCAAAATCACAATCCATCTATAATTTTTTTTTACTTTATCCAAATGAAGAACTTCTGCTCTTTGAAAAACACTGTTAAGAGAATGAAAAGACAAGAGACAAGTGTTGGAAAAATATTTGTAAATCACATATCTGATAAAGAACTGTGTCCTTTAATGTGCAAAGAATATATATATTTTCAAAACTAACTAATAAAAGTTTAAAAAATTAACAACCTGCCGGGCACAGTGGCTCAGGTCTGTAATGCCAGCACTTTGGGAGGCCAAGATGGGCAGATCATGAGGTCAGGAGATCGAGACCATCCCGGCCAACACGGTGAAACCCTGTCTTTACTAAAAAAATACAAAAAAATTAGCCGGGCATGGTGGTGGGTGCCTGTAGTCCCAGCTACTCAGGAGGCTGAGGCAGGAGAATGGCATGAACCTGGGAGGCGGAGCTTGCAGTGAGCCGAGATTGTGCTACTGCTCTCCAGCCTGAGCGACAGAGCAAGACTCTGTCTCAAAAAAAAAAAAAAGAAAAAAAAAACATTAACAACCCAACACAAAAATGGGCAAAATAAGACTTCATCAAAGAAGATACACAGACGGCAAATAAGAAAATGAAGAGATGTTCAAAAAATCATTAGCCATTAGATAAATACAAATTAAAAATCATGATGAGATTCTTCCACACCCCAATTGGAACATCTTAAATTTTGAAGACTGTCCATGCCAAGTGTTGTCAAGGATGTGGAGCAACTGTAACTCTTATATATAGCTGGTGGGAATGAAAAATGGTTAACCACTTTGAAAAACAGTTTGGCAGTTTCTTAAAATTTAAACATACACTTACCATATAACCCAGTTGTAGGATATAATAAATTCCTCTTCAAAGGTTTTAGCCTGTAAATTGTTAAGTACAATGAGTTCTGGTATCAGTAAGTTCAGCTCCCTGTTCTTTATTTTAAAGCTTAACTTCCTCGTTCTCTTCTCTCCTTGCCCCTAGTTTCAGTAAACAAACTCCTCCTAGCCTCTATCACCTGCTCCATCCTGAGTCACCTCTGGTCACCTGCTCTGTCCTGAGTCATCCCTGGTCAGCTGCTCTGACCTGAGTCATCCTGAGTCACCTGTTCTGTAACCGTCTTCCCCGCTAAACAACGCACCCCACCACTCTGACTCATACCCCTGCTCTCTTTAAAATAGCCAATTGGAATTGGCTTAGACTGTGTCGTCCCACCCTAGCCAATAGGGGAACAACACAGCAGTAGGGGCTACCTGTGTCAGGAATAAGAACCCCTTCCCCTTCCTTGTTCAGATGTGCTCTCGCCATTGCTCCATCCACGAGGTGCGCCCTTCTATAGAAGTAAAATTGCCTTGCTGAGAAAATTAAATTTATGTTCGAGTGCTATTTCTTTTGTGGCATCAAAAATTTATTTCTAACACAGTCATTCTATTCCTAGGTATTTACCTAGAAGAAATGAAAGCATATGCCCATAAAATTTCTTTTGCACAATTGTTCATACCAACTTTATTTGTAAGAGCCTCAGACTAGAAATAACCCAAAAGTGCATCAATAGGTTAATGGATAAACAAATTGTGGTAAATTTGTACAATGGAATACTACTCATTCTAAGGAACAATAAAATAAATGAAATATTGATACATGCTATAACATGGATGAATCTCAAACTAATTACATGAAGTACAAGAGGGCAGGCAAAAAAGAGTACATATTGTATAACTCCATTTATGTAAAAGTCTAGAAAATGCAAAATAATCTATAACAACAGGAAGTATATCATGTGGATGGGCATAAGGCAGGGAAGTGCAGGAGGGAGAGATTACCAAGTGGCACATGATCCTTTTGGTGTGATGGGTGTATTCATTGGCTGGACTGTGATGATTGTTTCACAGATGTACACATATGTCAAAACTCACCAATTGTATACTTTAAACATGTGCTGTTTATTGTATATTAACCACATCTCAATAAAGCTCCATTATATTCTGTATTTCCTCCTTGAAGAAAATCTGTTTTAAAATAATGTTTTATCCTTATGGTTAGGTACTTTACAATGCTGTATTAATTATCATTTGGAATTCTATAAAATCATTTATAGAATTTACACTTTATGTCTATTGTGTAGTTCTTACAAAAGATTCATTAGAATATTTTGAAATCACTTAAAAGGAAGTACAGTTATAGATTTTGTATTGGTTCCATTTTATTCATTGTATTATTCAAACCTATTGTATCTTTACGAAATTTTTAAATTATTTTGATAATGTAGATTTATTGTCTTCAATTATAATTACACATTTATTGTTTCATTGATGATAGATGATTCTTTTACATATGCTTGACTGGGGTGTGGGGAGGGAGTCTTTTTTGAGGGTGGTTCTGTGGAGGCAACTTGAAATTTCTTAAACTCTACATTAAGTTGGGGCTCTTTTTTTAATTGCTTCAGAAATTTTATCTTCAATTATTCCTTTTTTTTTTTTCTTTTGACAAGGTCTCACTCTGTCACCCAGGCTGGAGTGAAGTGGCCCAATCATGGCTCACTGCAGCCTCGACCTCCCTGGCTCAAGTGATCCTCCCACTTCAGCCTCCTGAGAAGTTGGGACTACAGGCAAGCTCCATTACACCCAGCTTTTTTTCTTTTTTTTTTCCTTTTTTTTGAGACAGAGTCTCACTCTATTGCCAGGCTGGAGTGCAGTGGTGTGATTTTGGCTCACTGTAACCTCCACCTCCCAGGTTCAAGCAATTCTCCTGCCTCAGCCTCCTGAGTAGCTGGGACTACAAGCGCATGCCACCACGCCCAGCTAATTTTTGTATTTTTAGTAGAGACAGGGTTTCACTGGGTTGGCCAGGATGGTCTTGATCTCTTGACCTCGTGATCCACCCGCCTTGGCCTCCCAAAGTGCTGGGATTACAGGTGTGAGCCACCACGCCTGGCCTTTTTTTTTTTTTTTCAAGTACAGATGAGGTCTTGCTACGTTGCCCAGGCTGGTCTTGAACTCCTGGGCTGAAGTGATCCTTTCACCTCGGCCTCCCAAAGTGCTGGGTTTACAGGTATGAGCCACCACACCCAGCTTAATTATTTCTTAAATTGTGCCTATTGGCTGGGTGCGATGGCTCGCGCCTGTAATCCCAGCACTTTGGGAGGCCGAGGCAGGTGGATCACCTGAGGTCAGGAGTTGGAGACCAGCCTGGCCAACGACTCTGGAGACTAAGGCAGGAGAACTGCTTGAACCCAGGAGGCAGAGGTTACAGTGAGCCGAGATCGCACCATTGTACTCCAGCCTGGGCAACAAGAGCGAAACTCCGTCTAAAAAAAAAAATTGTGCATATTGCTGGCCTTTTCTTTACCTTCTTATATAGCTCTGTGTCTTGTCAGTTGGAGCTTAGATGCACAGAGCCACATCTTTTTTGGAAGAGACTTTGGATACTATGATCTCCCAACCTCTTCAACTTATAGACAAGGAAACAAAGGCACAGAGAATGTCTTACCTAAGGCCAAATAACTGGGTGAACTGGTTTGGAACATCAAAGTTTTAATTTCCTGTTCTATGTCCTTTGTACTCCACATCCTCTTTTTCATCTTTTTAGGATGGATCATCATTTCCATTTAAGGGTTCTCTGCTTAACTTCCCTGTGGCTTGAGACATGTTTTCATGTTGTTTCCTTTATTACTTGTTAGCTACATTGTCTCATTTCTCTTGGGGAAGCAAACCTGTGTTGTGTGAGAAAGCTTTTAATAACCTTTTCCCCCACCCTGCTACTCTATGACTATGACCTATCTTTTGATAAACTGTTTCCTAATTTTTAGTCCTCAGGTCTTGTTTTTTGGTTTTACTTTCTTTTCTTACAGTCAATTCAGTTGCTTCAGTCTCATGTTTGTGGTTCTTAAGATTTTCCCTCTATTTTCTTCCTTTTTCTTTGGGATCTTGAGGTTATAAAACCTTTCCCTCCCACCCTCATTATGACTGAGACTTACTTTGTTAATTCACGTCTTGTTTAATCTTATTTTGTTTGTCTTCTACATCTCTATTGTTACTTTAGTGGGTTTTCTCAAAACACTCATATTCATTCCATCTTCTTCACAGAACCCTTTTGCTTATAACTCGGGAAAACACAGAAGTTCAATTGTATTCTACAAACTATCATGTGAAGTAAATTATCAATAAAGATTAGGATGGTAAATAGTTTTTGTCTGACTCCTCCCCTTGTGAGCCATCTCTCTGAGCACCTCTTGTTTCCCTGATGAGCTCTTGCTACCAGGTATAGTAAACAGAATTGATATGAGATCAAATGAGAAAGTGTGCATGAAAATAATTTAACTAAGAATACACTGAGCAAATATATTAGTGTCAAAATCATGATATCAATTAACTAAGATTATTAATTAATGTTAAACTTTAAAATAAAAGATAAAGGATAGTTACATGTATATTACAGTTAAATTAAATGCTGCTTTTGTGGGGGCACATGGTGGACCCCTGTACTAGAATTCCTTTTCCCAGAACTATGCAGGCCAGAGCCACATTTCAGAAACTATTTTTTTAAAGGATCAGAAATCAATTGGAATTATAATAAAACATATGACACATCTGATGAAACATAATGTTCATATAAAATAAAATGTGCTTACTTGTTTGCAATTATCTATATGTATACATTTTTATATACAGTAAAAACAATCATCTATTTTTCAGACACTGAGCTGGAACCACCCAAGTAAGCTACTCCTGGATTTCTGAATGTCTGAAACTGTGTAACATGTTTGTTTTTTCAAGCTGCTAAGTATTGGGATAATTTGTTATGCAGCCATACTTAACTAATACAGCAACTCTGCCATGACATTTCCTCCAAACTCTTTCAGGGTACAAGGGACTGGGTAATGAGAAGGGAGGACCAGCTCAGGAAATTGTTCCAGGGCTTTCATCATTGGGAGTGGTTAGATCAATGCTTTGTCACTTCTTTTCCAATAGTAAATCGAGTCATGGATTTCCAGCACTCCCTTAGTTCTAAAGGGAGAACCATGACTCTGTTCATAGCAAGAACATGGAGTCTCTTACAGAAGGCATTTTTCTCTTTATGTGTGTATAAAGTTGATGTGTTGAGGCCGGGCATGGTGGCTCATGCCTGTAATCCCAGCACTTTGGGAGGCGGAGATGGGCGGATCACCTGAGGTCAGGAGTTCCAGACCAGCCTGGCCAACATGGTGAAAACGCATCTCTACTCAAAATACAAAATTAGCTGCGCGGTGGTGCTCGCCTGTAATCCCAGCTACTCGGGAGGCTGAGTCAGGAGAATCGCTTGAACCTGGGAGGCAGAGGGAGGTTGCGGTGAGCTGAGATCGTGTCACTGCACTCCAGCCTGGGCGACAGAGGGAGACTCCGTTTCAAAAAAAAAAAAAAAAGATAATCTGTTGAAAAATTAAGCAGTATCATCATCTTGAGCCCTCATCAACAGGCATTAAATGTAATTTTTTGTTTGTTTTTGAGACGGAGTCTCTCTTTTGTCCTCCAGGCTGGAGTGTAGTGGCGGAATCTTGGCTCACCGCAACCTCTGCCTCCCGGGTTCAAGTGATTCTTCTGCCTCAGCCTCCCAAGTAGCTGAGATTACAGGTGCGTGCCACTGCGCCCGGCTAACTTTTGTATTTTTACTAGAGATGGGGTTTCACCGTGTTGGCCAGGCTGGTCTGGAACTCCTGACCTCAGGTGATCCGCCCACCTCCGCCTCCCAAAGTGATGGGATTACAGGTGTAAGCCACTGTGCCCAGCAATGTAATGTATTAAACTGCTAATTATTCATTGGTCTTAAAAATTTCATTTCTAACAAGTGAAATTTATATAATTACGGTTAATATTAATGGTAATAGAAAAGGAGGAGACCTAGAATTTTTCTTAACAGTCAGTGCATCGCATTGACATATTATAATTTTTGTATTATAGAACAGAATTTTTGTTTTTTGATACAGGGTCTCACTCTGTCATCCAGGCTAGAGTGCAGTGGTGCGATCACGACTCACTGCAGCCTCAACCCTCAGGGCTCAAGTGATCCTCCCACTTCAGAGTCCTAAATCACTGGGAATATAGGCGCATGCAACCATGCCCAGCTAATTTTTAAATTTTTTGGAGAGAAGGGTCTTGCTATGTTTTGCAGGCTGGTCTTGAACTCCTGGGCTCAAGTGATCCTCCTGCTTTGGCCTCCCAAAGTGCTGGGATTACATGGATGAGCTACCACGCCTGGCATAAAACATAATTTTAATTCAGTGCTTCTATACTACTTAAATACTAGTGCTAAATTGGGAGAGGTGCAGGGAAGAGAAAATTGAAGATAAATTGACAATTTAGTGATCGGGTATGTTGAAACCAGTTATTTTTCTGTTCTCCTAAAAGGGATGCTGTCACTTTAAATTTAATATAAACCAAACACTGGTCTGCCAAGGGAAACTGGCAAAAGAGTTGTTAAATTGGTAACTTAGGTTAGTAAGTTAAAATTGCCAAACTGGGTTCCTAAGATGGCCACGGAAGACAGTAAAATTAGGTTGAATTTTCCTAAGTGGCTGAAAACTATCTTCTGTTTGGTGGAAAATATGCAAGAAGTTTTGGCTCCTGACTATAACACAGTGTCTTGTATGTTTTATATGGAGAAATGAGAGTGAGAAAAGTGAGAGTGCGGTTGGAAAAATATGTGACAAGCTGCCCAAGGAAGATTGAAAAAATCTTGTCACTGTTTTTACAATTTCTTTCAGAAGCATGTAGATATTTTACTTCTGAGTCTCAGGAGCAGTCATATAAAATTCTTCCCAGAAAAAGTAGTAAATTTGACAAACTGCCAACAAAAGGACTTAGTCTAAGTAAAACTTCAGGAAATTTAGAAAATTATAGAGTTTTAGAGGGCATTAAGAAACCATGAGGAAAGAAATCCATATGTGTCATAGAATATATACACACATGCATATACACACACATGCACACTCATGTATAATATTTTTAGTAAGATACTCTAAGGAAATATTGGCTTGGCCGGGCACGGTGGCTCACGCCTGTAATCCCAGAACTTTGGGAGGCCGAGGCGGGTGGATCACCTGAGGTCAGGAGTTCGAGACCAGCCTGGCCAACATGATAAAATCCTGTCTCTACTAATAATACAAAAAAAATTAGTCAGGCATGGTGGTGTACACCCATAATCCCAACTACTCAGGAGGATGACGCAGGAGAATCACTTGAGAGGTGGAGGTTACAGTGAGCTGAGATGGTGCCATTGCACTCCAGCCTGGGCAATAAGAGTGAGACTCTGTCTCAAAAATATATAGATAGATAGATAGATAGATAGATATAGATATAGATAGATAGATAGATAGATAGATAGATAGATAGATATAGGCTTTAGGTGACTTTAATTGCAAATTGTTTTAGCTGATTTCTGTGCTGTGTTTTGGAAGTCTAACTTTGGTATAGGGTCAGGCAGAAACCCACCATTTAATTAAGGAAAGACATCTTCTGCTCCTGCACCTTTCCCAAGGATTCCAAGAAAATGTAGCACTGTTTACCACCACTTGGTAAAGTTGTACAGCATCTGCAGGACTAACTCCCCCCTTCATAGACGTATTTAATCTCCAAAGGTCTAAAATTGCAAAACAATTCTCATGATATAACAGCTTTATGGTGGACACATTTATGAAAAGGTTATATTATAGTGGTTCATACCTGTAATCTCAGCACTTTGGGAGGCTGAGGCGGGTGGATCACTTGAGGTCAATAGTTCGAGACCAGCCTGGCCAACATGGTGAAATCTGTCTGCATGAAAAAATATAAAAATTATCCAGGCGTGGTGGCACACACCTGTAGTCCCAGCTACTCGGAGGCTGAGGCAGGAGAATTGCTTGAACCCGGGAGGTGAAGGCTGCAGTGAGCCGAGATCACGCCATTGCACTCCACCCTGGGCAACAGACAGAGATTCTGTTTCAAAAAAAAAGGTTATAGGCCTGGCCTGGTGGCTCACACCTGTAATCCTAGCACGTTGGGGGCTGAGGTGGCTGGATTGCTTGAGTCCAGAAGTTCAAGACCAGCCTGGGCAGCATAGTGAAACTCTGTCTCTACAAAAAATAAAAAATTAGCGGGTATGGTGGTGCACACCTGTAGTCCCCACTACTCAGGAGGCTGAGGCAGGAGGATTGCTTGAGGCTGGGAGGTGGAGGTTGCAGTGAGTCAAAATTACGCTACTGCACTCCAGTCCAGGTGGCAGAACCAGACTCTGTCTCAAAAAAAAAAAAAAAAAAGAAAAGAAAAAAAAAGGTTATAACTAAACAGAGAGTATTTGGTGAAGAACCAGAGTAAGCAGTGACAATTTTACCTACAAGAGAAATGTAGGCGGGAGAGGTCCCAGAGGGCTCCTGTGATGTAGAGAGGCTTCAAGGAAAAGGTGTGATTTCTGCTGGGCTCTGACAGTAGGAACAGATTTGGGATTGAGAGGAAGGCACTAGATTAGCAGAGGAGCTGAGGGGAGCACCAAGAACAGTGTGAACAGACAAAATGAGGCAATGAATTTAGATCAGGAGTAAAGGCTTATGCCGGGAAGTAATTTCCAGAACCAATGGATCAGTTGAGAGAGACAAGGAAGGTTATTGGGTTTAATAAATGGGCAGTGCATGGAGACCCCTGGAGGTGCTATTTCAGCAGATTAGTCATCTATGGACAGAACTATTTATTATTTATAATAAACCATTTGATTTTTTTGTGAATAAATTCCTTCATAGTTTTTTATGAAAAATAATATTTTATCCTAAAGATCCCTACTGGAGGACTTTATTGCTTTTTTTTGGCAGGATAAGGTACAAGGATTTTTATCCCTGATAGATGAAGTAGCTTGAGAAGCTCCCCTTATTTCAGTAATTTAAACCTAAAAACCTTTGTCTTCAAATCCTTGTTTAAAAAGAGGAAAACCATTTTCTGGCCCACTAGACCAGTAACAACCAAAAAAAAAAAAGATTTCAGTCATTATGCCATCGAAATATACACCTTGAGCAGACCTGTAGACTTTAGGTTCATTTCCTTCAATTTGCTTCAAGGCATTGAACTCAACTCTTCATTGAAAAAGCTGTTGCAGACCCAAGCCAGAGGATCCCGGCAAAGTATGAATAGTTGGTTCTGTGGCTTTTGCTTATGCCTTGGAAAATCATGGAGAGGAGGGTTAGAGAGAAAAGGGCACATGGTACTATGTATACCTACTCTGTTTTTCTTCCATATCACGGGGTGTAGACACTAAGACTGAATGCGCCCATATCTAGGGATTGGAGAAGTACCCCGGATATGATTGGATGAGAAATGATCTATTTCAATGCAATAATGTGTTTTAGCTGATTGTACATTATTGGATAACCATGATCGGGGTTGATTTGGAAAAAGGTGTATAAATTATCCATATTCCTTGCAATTGTGAACCCAACAGTAAACAGAATTATATGAACGAGCTTATTAAAATTTAAAACATAAAATGAGGTTTTACCTTCTGATCTCTTGCATCTTTGCCCTTGAATCAAACATGGATGTGAAATAAAATGATGCATGTTTAAAATGTAGTTATTAAATTCTCCAACTATATCAGTGTTGGAGGCCAAAAGAATGAGGGTTGTGATTAACTCAGTATACCACTGGAGGCTATATGAGTAAACAGCAAACTGTTCTCATAAAGGCAGAATGTTGGCAAACTGACAAATTGCGTCTGCCACCCAGAGGGAACGCTGAGTGCAGTCACGCCTCAGGCGCAAGTGTTTCTTGTGATTAGGCACATCTGAAGCCTGTTAGCAATAATGGGAACCTATGATCAATCAAGCAGCTGACGGATCGCTACCTCCTCCTCCCTGCTCTTTCTATCCAATAAATACGGAGGGCTGTGAAAGCTCAAGGCCCTTGCTCACTAGAAGCAAGGAGCCCCCGACCCCTTCTTTAAAATAGATTCTTTTGTCTTAAGTTTTCATTTCTGCGTTCGTCCTCTTTCATTCAGTCCCGTAGTAACTGTCACAAGCGGCGTTTGTCCTCCTTTGTTCAGTCTCGTAGTGACTGTTACATATTAGGGTATACAAAATTACAGCTAAGAAAAAAATCTTATTCTTTATTGTATTTTTATGGAATTTTATTCATATGGCTTTAGTTTTAGAGACATGAGTTTCTATACTTCTCTTTCATAATGAAGATTACCCTTTTCCTTTTGTTCAAATCAATAAGAAAAAGTGGCTGCAGTTACAAATAAGTTACAGTCACCTACATACAATGGGATGAGGCTCTGGGGGACTTCAGGAGGCAGTGAGTATATTGTGCATGTGGAATGTGAATCACGGGGGTCAGAAGGTAGACTGGGGTAGGCAGCCCCCAGATGGCTCCCAGTGACAGCAGCCTCCTCTTATTCTTGTTCTTGTATAATTCCCTCACATTGATTGTGGCCTGGATCTAGTGACTCGCTTCTAACAAATAGAATGCCAGAAAGGTGAGTCACTTCTGAGATTAGGTTATAAAAATAGGGTGAAGTCTATCTTGCTCTCTTGCTTGCTTATTCTGAGGGGGGCCAGCTGCCTTGTTGTAAGCACCCCACGGACAAGCCCTATGTGGCAAAGAACTGAGAGTGGCCTCTGGCCAACAGCTAGTGAAGAACTGAGGCTGAATCTAACAACCCATGAGGACTTGAATCCTGCCAACAACCACGTGAGTGAGCTTGAAAACAGATGAAGCCTTCAGATGACTGCAGGCTCAGCCAACACCTTAATTGCATCCTGTGAGTGACCCAGCTAAGCACTCCCAGATTCCTGACCCACCTGTGAGACAATGTTAAGTCAAGTTTTGGAGTAAGTTTGGAGTAATTTACAGCTTAATTTACACAGCCCTCAAGTAGCATATGGTCTAATTAAGTAAACTAAGCACATAAATAATAGCTAACAAGTATAATATTTACTATATGCCAGAGATTCTTCTAAGCATTTTACATTTAGTTAATCATTAATCATTTTTATTTATTTATTTTTTGAGACGGGGTCTCACTCTGTCACCCAGACTGGAGTGCAGTGGCGTGATCACTGCTCACTGCAGCCTCAAACTCCCCAGGCTCAGGTAATCCTCCCACCTCAGCCTTCCAAGTAGCTGGGAATACAGGTGCGTGTCACCACACCCAGCTAATTTTTGTATTTTTTGTAGAGATGGGGTTTCGACATGTTGCCCAGGCTGGTGGTCTTGATCTCCTGAGCTCAAGTGATCCACCCACCTCGGCCTCTCACAGTGCTGGGATTACAGGCATGAGCCATCACTCCTGGCCAATCATTAATCTTTATTTCTTTTTTCTTTTTCAGACAGTGTCTTGCTCTGTCACCCAGGCTGGAGTGCAGTGGCATGATCTCAGCTCACTGCAACTGCAACCTCTGTCTTCTGGGTTCAAGTGATTCTCCTGCCTCAGCCTCCCGAGTAGCTGGGATTACAGGCTTCCACCACCATGCTCGGCTTATTTTTTTTTTTTTTTTGTACTTTTAGTAGAGACGGGGTTTTGCCATGTTGGGCAGGTTGGTCTCAAACTCCTGACCTCAAGAGATCTCCCCACCTTGGCCTCCCAAAGTGCTGGGATTACAGGTGTGAGCTACCGTGCCCAGCCAATCATTTCACCTTTATGACAACTCTATTAGGTATTATTACTATCACCATTTTATAAAGAAATTAAGGCAACATGAGGTTAAATAACTTGCTCATGGTCACACAGTAGAGCTGAGTGTCAAACTCAGTTTGGTGCCGGATTTCACGTTCATTTGTACTGCCTCTTGCCATTTCATATACCGTAATAGAAGTATGTACGCTTTGTGGAAGTACTACAGCATGGAGAATGATTGTATCTGTAGGATAAAAGGGTCAGAAGATTTGCAGAGACTTAAGTAGGATTTGAAAGATGGAGGAAAGGGATTCCAGTCAGATGGAATAGCATATGTTAAGGTATGGGGGCACAGACTGACTGTTACTATTCCTTTCAAATGTTTGTAATCAGGTAGTGTGGTCTTCTTCATATTCTGACCTTCATTTCTATTGATAAACACCACCCTCTCTGAATTCTAGTAAACCATTACTCTTTTCAAGAAAAGTGTAATTCCTGATTCTGAACCAAGTGCAGTGACAGAGGCTCAGAATAAGTTGAGCAGAAAAATCACCTTGTTTGTTTTAACACGAGGTGATTTAGGGGATTAGCAATGGAGGCACTTGTCTCTTGTAGCAACAGCAGCACATTGTTTACACACTGTCTACATGCTGTCCACTTGGAGTGCCCAACCACTACAATGCTGTCCACTGATCTTGGGAATAAGGGGAAGATCAGTCATAAATTTGATAACCACAATCAAGTTTCTATATTTAAATGTAACTTTAAATAATCTTGGCTGGGTGTGGTGGCTCACGCCCGTAGTCCCAGCACTTTGGGGAGCTGAGGCGGGCGGATCACGTGAGGTCTGGAGTTTGCGACCAGCCTGGCCAACATGGTGAAACCCTGTCTGTACTAAAAATACAAAAATTAGCCAGGTGTGGTGGCGGGCTCCCATAATCCCAGCTACTCAGGAGGCTGAGGCATGAGAATTCCTTGAACCTGGGAGGCGGAGGTTGCAGTGAGCCGAGATTGCACCACTGCACTCCGGCCTGGGGGATGGAGTGAGACTCTGACTCCAAAAAATAAAAATAAAAATAAATAAATAATGTCACATCAGACCCAAATATGACAGAAGAAATGAAAACAGAAAAAAGGGGGGATTAATTATTCACTGGAAAAATTAAAAGAGGTAACACTAAAAACAGAAGAGGCTGTAGATATAACTAGTGACATAAAAAGAGTGGTTGCCTTTTCCCCTCATTATCATAATTATCCTTAAAGGGTCATTAAAATGGTTTTGAGATAGTTGTAGATTTAATGCAGTTGTAAGAAATAATGCAGCGTGATCCCATATACCCTTCACCCAGTTTCCCCCAATGATAACATTTTGCCTAACTACAGCGTGACATTACAACCAAAAAATTAACATTGATGAGTCCATGGAATTTATTCCATTTTCTTCAGTTTTACATGCACTTGTGTGTGTATGTGCTTACTTCTATGCAATTTTATCATGTGTGTAGAATTGTGTGACCACCACAATCAAGGTACAGAACTGTTCCATCACAAGGATCCTTCATGCCACACTTCTGTAGCCGCAGCCATTTCTATCCCTCTTATTGTCCCCAGTCCCTGGCAACCACCAATCTGTTCTTCATCTCTACAGTTTTGTCATTTCAAGAACACTATATAAAAATAATCTTTTGAGGCTGACTTTTTTCACTGAGCATAATTCCTTTGAGATTCATCCATGTTGTTGTGGTATTAACAGTTCATTCCAATTTATTGCTGAGTTGCATTCCATGGTATGGATGTACCGCAGTTTAACTGTTCACCCACTGAAGGGCATTTGGGTTGTTTCTTATGTGGAGCTATCACAAATACAGTTTATATGAGCATTTGTGTACAGGTTTTTGTGGGAACATAAGTGCCCAAGAATGTAATTGCTGAATGCATGTTTAGTTTTGTAAATGAAACAAAACAAAACACCATACTCTGTTCCAGAGTGGCTGTATCTTTTTATACTCCCACCAGCAACGTATAAGTAATCCCAATTTTTCTGCATCCTCAGCAGCATTTGGTATATTACTATATTTTATTTTAGCCATCTTGATAGGTGTGTAGCAGTATCTCATTGTGGTATACATTTGTATTTTGCTAATAACTAATAATTGTTGAATTCTTTTCATGTCCTTATTTGCCATCTGTATAGCCTCTTTAATGAAATGTATGTTCGTCCTTTACCTTTTTCTGATAGGATTTTTTGTACTGTTGAGTTTTAAGAGTTCTATGTATATAGTCTAGATACAAGTCCTTAGCAGGAGATGTGGTTTGCAAAGGTATTCTCTCAGCCTGTATTTTGTTTTTTCCAACATCTTCACAGAATCCTTTGCAGAGTAAAAGTTTTTAATTTTGATGAAGTTCAGTTTAACAACTTTTCATTTCATAGACTGTGCTTTTGGTGTCAAATTTAAGACCTCTTTGTGTAGTCCTGTGTTCCAAAGATTTTCATCTATTTTTTGTAAGTTTTACATTTTACATTAAACGTTTTATTTATTTATTTATTTATTTATTTATTTATTTATTTATTTATCTTTGAGACTGAGTCTCACTCTGTTGCCCAGGCTGGAGTGCAGTGGTATGATCTCAGCTCACTACAACCTCAGCCTCCTGGGTTGAAGCGATTCTCCTGCCTCAGCCTCCTGAGTACCTGAGATTACAGGCGCCCACCACCACACCCGGCTAATCTTTGTATTTTTAGTAGTGACGGGGTTTCACCATGTTTCCCAGGCTGGTTTCAAACTCCTGACCTCGTGATCCGCCCGCCTCGGCCTCCCAAAGTGCTGGGATTACAGGCATGAGCCACCGCACCCGGCCTCCTCTGTTGTTTTCATTTTCAATTTCATTGGGTTTTTTTCTTTATTATTTCCTTCCTTCTGCTTGCTTTGAGTTTATTTTGCTCTTCTTTTTCTTGTGTCTTGAAGTGAGACTTCCTTTCTGACCCATGGATTTTTAGAAACGTGCTGGTTAGTTCCCAAGTGTTTGGAGACTTTCCTGTTATCTTTCTGTTCGATTGTTTCTGGTTCAATTCCACTGTGCTCACAGAACATAACTTCAATTTCAATTGAACAAATTGAACAAATTTCAATTTTTTATAATTTGTTGAGTTTTGTTCTATGGCTCAGGATATGATCTATGTTGGTATATGTTTCATGGGCACTGAAAAAGAATGTGTATTCTTGGTGTTATTGGGTGGAGTATTCTATAATGTTGATTAAATCATGTCTGTTGGTGGTGATGCTGAGTTTTTTCAAATCCCTGCTGATTTTGTCTAGTTGTTCTATCAATCATTGATAGATGGGTGTTGAAATCTCCAACTATTATTTTGAATTGATCTATTTCTCCTTCCAGTTCTATCAGTTTTTTATTTCACATATCTTGCTGTTCTGTTGTCTAGTGCTTATATATTTTGAATTGCCATGTCTTCTTGACCCTCTTATCACTATATAACGTCCAATTCTGTCACTGGTAATTTTCTTTGCTCTGAAGTCTTCTTTAGGTGGTATTAATATAGCCATTTATGTTTTCTTTTGATTATGTTTGCATATCTTTTTACATTTAACCTGTCTGTATCATTATGTTTGAAATGAACTTATTGCAGACATCATAGAGTTGGGTCATTTTTCTTTTTCTTTTGAGTAAGGGTCTTGCTATGCTGCCCAGGCTGGTCTCAAACTCCTGGGCTGAAGTGATCCTCCTGCCTCAGCCTCCTGAGTAGCTGGGATTACAGGTATGCACCACAGCACCTGGCTTTTAATCCACTCTGCCAATCTCATTTTTAATTGTTATATTTGCAAATGTACATTTACATTTAATGTAATTACATGTTAGGGCTTATGTATGCCATTTTTTTGTTTCTGTGTGTTCTCTTTGTTTTCATTTATCTGATTTCCTGTATCCTGCCAGCCTGTGGGTTATTTGTTCAATCACCACTATTCATCTCCAGAATCTTTTCATCACCCCAAACAGAAACTCTCTACCCATTAAACAATAACACCCCTTCCCCTTTATCTACGTTTTTATTGCACCCCTTTGTATATCTTTTTAGTGGTTGCTCTAGGTTTTACATTATATATATTCATCAGAGTCTACTGGTGTCATCTTTTTACCAGTTTAAATATAGAAACCTTACCTCCCTTTACATTATCACCCTGTTTATAATAGTCTTAAATATTTTCTCTACATGCATTTAGAACTACATCAAACAATGCTATAATTTTTGCTTCCACTATCAATTCAGAAATTTTAAAAACTCAAGAGGAGGAAAGTTTATTGTATATACCCATATTTTTTTGCTGTGGTTTTCCTTCGTGTTCCAAGTTTCCTTCTTTTATAATTTCCTTTCTGTTTAGGAAATTTCTTTAGCCATTCTTTTTGGTAGGTCTGCTGGTGACAAATTCTCTTACCTTTCCTTCATCTGAGATGTCTCCATTTCCCTTTCATTACTGAAGGACATTTTCACTGGACATTGGATTCTAGGTAGACAATTATTTTAGTTCAGTACTTGAAGAATGTTATGCCATTTCCCTCTGGTCTCCATGGTTTCAGGTTAAAAATCTGCTGTCACTTGAATTGGTTCTCCCCTATCAATAATGCACCATTTCTCTCTGGCTGTTTTCAGTATCAATATTTTTTCTTTATCTTCAACCTTCAGAAGCTTAATTATCACATGTCTTAGCATCATAGATTTCTTTCAGTTTATCCTACTTGGGATGTGTTCAGTTTCCTGAATCTGAAGGTTCATCTCGTTTGCCAAGTAAGGGGAATTTTCAGCTATTCTTTGAATTTTTTTTCCTTTTAAATATCATGCAGATCCTTGAGACCCTGTTCATTATTTCCCCTATCTCTATTGTTCAGATTGGGTAAGTTCTATCTGTCTGTCCTCAATCACTGATTCTATCCTATGGTATCTTCAATCTACTATCGAGCCCATACAGCAAGTTTTAAAATTTTACTTGTACTTGTTTTCTGTTCTATAATTTTCATTTAATTCTTTAATAAATTCTATTTTTTTTTGCTGGGTTTTAAATTTTTGTTTCAAGAGAATTTGAATGATTGTTGAAGCATTTTATGATGCTATTTTAATATCATTGTTAGATAATTTGAACACTTGATTTATCTCATCATTTGACAGCCGTTGATTGCTTTTCTCATCCGTGTTGTGATTTTTCTGGTTCTTGGATGAATGATTTTTTATTGTATCCTGGATATTTTGGATAGCATATTATAAGAGTTTGGATTTGTATCCTATTTAATAATTCTTCTTCTTCTTCTTCCTTCTTCCTTCTTCTTCACAGGCATGTTTAGTTTCCCTCTGGGCCCCACTGACAGTAACTTGGCAAAACTGAAGTACTGACTCACATGGTCTTATTGCAAATGGTGGGCTGGAAGTTCAGCTCTCCTATTGCTCCACTGACAACATCCCAGTGAAAGTGTGGCACCATCTTCGACCACCTTGATGCCTCTGATTGGGGATGTAAGCTTGTCTCCTTGCTCAATCTGCTGGGGGAACTGGAGCATTGTCTGCTTCTATAAGGTAGGGAATAAAAGGTCAGCTCCCAGACAGACCTACCAAAGTCACCCACAGGGAACTGGAGAGCTGCCTCCCACTTCCATAGGTTAAGGGGTAGAGTGGAATATCAACTTCCTGGTTGGCTCTGCTGAAACTGTGCTGGGGGTTGAGGTTTGGGGAATGCAGTTGTTCCATCAGTGTTTGGTTGGACTAGGGAAGAAGCTGATGAGGTTTTTCATTGTTGGGCCACACTTTTTTCTATTCTTTGACTCAGGAAAACAGGCTTTCCATTGGTCTTTGTTTTGTCTGTGCCTATTCATGGTGCAGGGCTGCAGAATTCTGTAGTGCCTTGTCCGACATTTAGGAGGAAATGAGGAAACTAGGGAATTTACCACATGTCATTCCTCAAGTCTTGGGATCCCTAGGCAGTCTGACTTCTTTCCAACTTTCAAAGTCTTCCTATGCTTGTTTTTTGTGTTATATCCAGGTTTTTCTGAGAGGGCCTAGGAAAAATGGGACTACTCTATCTTGGTGGAACCAGAAGTCTCAAAAGGCCATTTTTATTTTATTTTATTTTTTGAAACAGGGTGTGGCTCTGTTGCCTAGGCTGGAATGCAGTGTTGTGATTTAGGCTGACTGCAACCTCTACCTCCTGGGCTCAAGCTATCCTTCTACCTCAGCCTCCCAAGTAGCTGGGACTACAGGCACATGCCACCATGCCCTGCTAATTTTTTATATTTTTTGTAGAGATGGCGTTTCGCCGTGGTGCCCAGGCTGGTCTTGAACTCCTCGGTTCAAGCAATCTCCCCACCTTGGCCTCCCAAACTGCTGGGATTACAGGTGTGAGCCACAGTGCCTGGCCTCAAAAGGCCATTTTTAAACACTTGCTTTAGTTTACCGCCTAGAGTCTCCTCCAGGTTGTCAAAAGCCATGAATCGTGTACTTTATCAATTTACAACCCAAACCTTACCCTGCACAGATGCATAAGATATATAAACAGGCTGAATCAAATACATAGGAAGACTTCCAGTTTCCAGTTTATGTAAGGAGTTTGGAAGTCATCACTCCATTCTAACCACAAGCAAAAACTGAACAAACTCTTCTTAGATTTTGTTTTGAGACAGGGTGTCTTTTTGCCTAAGCTGAGTGCGGGGGCACAATCATGGCTTACTACAGCCTCGACCTCCTGGGCTCAAGTTATCCTCCTGCCTCAGCCTCCTGCATAGCTGGGACTATAGGCGCACATCACCTTGCCTGGCTCATTTTTTGTAGAGGTGTTTTCCACCATATTGCTGAGGCCAGTATTCTTAGATTCTTCACAGACGTGAGGTCACAGGGCAAACTGCTGCCTCCTAAGCTGGGGGGTCAGATAAGCAGATACAGAGAATTGCAACATGCTGGAGCATCATCTCAGAAACAGAAATCTCTGAGTGAAGCAGTACTCATGAGGAAAACCTAAACTGTAATTGAAGAAATGCTGAGACTCACAGTGGACAAGTCTGAGAGTTAAAAACCCTAGGATGGGGCAGTGGGGCGAGGCTGCATGGAAGCTTCTCACACTTGTGTGGGTTTTACCTCTTAGAGCTTTGGTAGGTTCTCACAGTGAATATCAGAGAAAAAAAATCCATGCTTCTGGAAGGAGAAAGGAAAAAGTTATTTTGAAATATGCCAGAGCATTCAATGATAAAGAAAAAATTCTTGGAAGAGCCAGAGGAGAAAAGTACCTTACCTATAGAAGAACAAAGGTAAGAATTATATCAGGACTTCTCAGAAACTATGCAAGCAAGAAGGGAGTAGAATGAAGTAGTTCAAGTGTTGAGAAAAAACCCTCCAACGTAGAATTCTGTATCCTGTGGAATTATCCTTCAAAAACGAAGGAGAAATAAGCACTTTCTCAGACAAACGAAAATTGAGGGAATTTGTTGCCAGTAGACCTGCCTTGCAAGAAATGTTAAAAGAAGTTCTTCAGAGAGAAGGAAAATGATGTAGGTCAGAAATTCTGATCTACATGGAGAAAGGAAGAGCAATAGAGAAAGAATAGTTGAAAATAAAGTAAAAAACTTAACTTTTTCTTGTTGATCTAACAGATGATAGTTTATTCAAAATGATAGCAATGATGTATTGAATGATTATAGTTTATATATAAATGCAAAGAATGACAGCAGTTATACTGGAGGGAATAATTAGGGATATTTCATTATTATAAAGTATTTGCACTACCCATGAAGTGGTACAGTGCTATTTGAAAGTGGACTTGGATTAGTTGTAAATGTATATTGCAACTTTAGGGCAACTACTAAAAAAAGTTGAAAAAAGAAGTACAATTCATATGCTAAGAAATGAAAGACAGAAAGTGAAATCATAAGAGGAAATAATAGCACCCTGCACTTCTGTGGGGCTTCATGGTTTATGAGCACTTAAAAAAATCATATATATAAAAATATGTGTATATTTTTAAATATATGTGTAATTTAAAAATACATATTTAACAATGTTTACTTCACCTACCTTGCAACATTAATATATATTCTCTCAACAATGTTGCAAGGTAGGTGGAGTAGACTTTGTTATTGAAAACAAAACAAAACAAAACAATGAAGTTTGGTTAAAGTTTCCTTTATTCTACTGGACATAGCATGCTTAACAAGTAATCATGGAGCATAATTTCCCCTTTTGAAGTACAATGACTTACAAGTTATAGAGTCAGAAAGATTTGAATTCAAATTCCAGCTCTACCACTTTATCAGCTGTGTAATCTTGGATAAATTACTAATCCCCTCTGTGCCTCAATTTCTTCATCTGTTAACACAGGGATAATAATCCAAATACTATTTATTTTTAAATTTTATTATTTATTTATTTATTTATTTATTTATTTATTTATTTATTTTGAGACAGAGTTTTGCTCTCGTTGTCCAACCTAGAGTGAAATGGCACGATTTCGGCTCACCGCAACCTCTGCCTCCGGGGTTCAAGCAATTCTCCCGCCCCAGGCTCCCGAGTAGCTGGGATTACAGGCATGCGCCACCATGCCTGGCTAATTTTGTATTTTTAGCAGAGACAAGGTTTCTCCACGTTGGTCAAGCTGGTCTTAAACTCCCAACCTCAGGTGATCTGCCAGCCTCGGCCTCCCAGAGTGCTGAGATTACAGGCATGAGCCACCACACCCGGCATTATTTACTTTAAAAGGTTGCTTTGAGGACTGAGATAATCCCACATTTAAAGCAGAATGCCTAGCATGTTATAAGCACTCAATAAATTGTAGCTATTTATTAAAACCAAAATCAAAAATCAAAAATCCAAACCAAAACAAAAAAACAAACCTCATCACGTTTCCATAATGAGGAAGTAATGATTCAGACTCCAAGCTTTCGAAAACAGGAAAGATGCCTCTGTCTATTCCTGTTTGGTTGTGTTGCACCTCACATGTTACTTAATAAGCCCTGGCATCTCTGTAATTTTAGAACTGGAAGGAACTTAAAGGTCATCTATTCCAAGCTTCTCATTTTATAGATAAAGAATCTGAGGCTGAGAGGGGTTGAATGAATTACAAGATTACAGTGCTAGCACTCTTCCTGCTACAGCTGGTAAAGCACACCAACAGTGAGCAGGAAACAAACCTAAGAAAAACATCCAGATTCCAGAAAGGAAAAGACTCAGACAATAAAACCTGAGAGAGCAGGTTTCAAAAGTTATAAATAACCCCCTACAGGCTAAGCACCCAGGTACGAGGGCAGTGCCTACAAACTATACTCAAGGAAGTCAATGAGGTCCTCATGGAAGTCTATTAGGGGGTAATTTAACTGGTAGTCAACCAGACTAGAACTGCCCTGGACTTCAAGAGTGGTGAAGGCCACAGTGAGGAGGGCTATGCCGCTGAGCAGAGGCTATCTTCTACAAACAGTGGAGCTGAAAGACGGGGATGGTGGACACAGAAGTGCAATACTGTCAATACTGCATATCCAATCCCTAAGAGTCAGTCATAATGGCGAGCAAGTATCATTAATCCAGCCAGCAAACAGGCCCCAAACCACACAGGTGACATAAAAGATGTAGAAAATATTCAGATTAAGACTTTTTGCTAATAGTTGTGCTTTCACCCATTTCTTCAACTGGTCATAGCAGCAATTCCCAGAAATGTCTCAGATAGATATATATATTTTACTTGAAAATGATAAAAATGTGCCAGGCGCAGTGGGTAACTCATGCCTGTAATCTCAACTACTTGGGAGGCTGAAGCAGGAAAATCGCTTGAGCCCAGGAGTTTGAGACTACAGTGAGCCATAATTGCACCACTGCAGTCTGGCCTGGGTGACACAGCGAGACACTAACTCTTAAAACACAAAACAAAACAAAACAAGATAAAAATTGATTTGTTTAAATGAGAAGAAATGCTATTTTTTGCAATTCAGAATTTCTTTTAATAACACATTTTGTCAGTTTACTTTTACTTTTATATTAGTTGTGAGCTAGAGTAGTCAGGAAATTAGTTAGTTCTTTGCCAACCTCCCTGATTCATTTTTATTAACAGAATTATAAATGTAGTCCTTCTTACCCTTATCTGAAAGTGTGTTTTGCATAAAAGCAGAAGGTTTTTAAAAATATAATTTCTCAAATTTAAGAGATGAAATTTTTCCTTTTTCTATCTTGTCTCTCTCTGGTTTCAGTCTTCTAAGAATAATTCAAAGTGAAAATATGTATGAGATATGTTGAATAAGCTATAAGCTAGTGTAACAGCTATTAAGCATTTTAAAAAGATGTCAAAAGCAGTTCTAAAAACTGTTTTTGTTGTTGGAGGAACGTTAAGAGGACAACAAAAGCTGTTTACAAAATAGTAAATACAATGAGAGCGTTCTTTCATAAAAATGTGCATATGAGTTTATGTGTATGCACAAAAAAGAAAAATATCTGTGGAAATTCACCCCGAATGTTAAAACTGATTTTCTTTTTCTGGGTCTTGGGCTTTCATGGGACTTTTATTTCTGTTTACTTGTTTGTATTTTCTAATTTTCCTACAATAAATATGTATTTTGGCTGAAAGACAAAAGGTTTTCTTTTTCCTGTCTTTTTTTGATGTTTACTTACATTTTACAGAGTCAAATCTGGAGTGGAGGGGAAGACAAGAGCAAAGTCCAGAATGAGTATCAATTAAAGCTTCTCCAGGCTGAACAGCATGTGGGGGCAGGAGTCCACTTGATACTAAAGTGGGATTTTGTGTGTGTGTGTGTGTGTGTGTGTGTTCTTCCTTATTGTGTGGTGAAAATGCAATTATAGAAAACTAATTTGCGCGGCGCGCGGTGGCTCATGCCTGTAATCCCAGCACTTTGGGAGGCCGAGGCGCGTGGATCACGGGGTCAGGAGATCGAGATCATCCTGGCTAACACAGTGAAACCCCGTCTCTAGTAAAAATACAAAAAAAGATTAGCTGGGTGTGGTGGCGGGCGCCTGTAGTCCCAGCTACTCGGGAGGCTGAGGCAGGAGAATGGCGTGAACCCAGGAGGCGGAGCTTGCAGAGAGCCGAGATCGCGCCACTGCACTCCAGCCTGGGCGACAGATCGAGACGCTGGCTCAAAAAAAAAAAAAAAAAAAAAAAAAAAAACTAATTTGCAGTTGCTCTGAAAACTAAATTTCTTTCCCTGTTGTTTCTAGAGGTGCTTCTTTGACAATTCACAGTTTAGGCTTAAGGCAATTAGGCACTGTGTAGAAAGGGCCAATACAAAGTGAAGAAGCAACATAAATCTCTGCCCTTACAAGTACTATTTTTCTCTCCCAGCTAACTCTGAAGCCTCTTCTCCTCTAATCTGCGTATTCTTTTTCCTTTAACAAACACTTTTTTTCATGCTGATTAAATCATGGGAGATAAAAAGAAGTCAGCCCAGATCTGAAAACTGATAGTCTAGTTGAGTCAAAAAGGCACATGTTGGAAAAGTTAACTAAAAATATGGGGGCAGTATGCACTAAGGCATGAAATGACTTACACAGAGGTCTTACAGCAGTTAAAGGTAGGGCTGGTAACTTTACTGTGGTCATGGTCTAGATCAGCACTGTCCAACAAAACTTTTCTACAGTGATGGAAATATTTATTTTGCGCTGATTAATACAGTAGCCACCAGCTACATGTGGTTATTATTTGATATGTGGTTAGCACAATTGGGGAACTAAATTTTAAATTATCTAGCTTATATTTCAATTTAAATAGCTACACGTGGGTCGGGTGCGGTGGCTCACGCCTATAAATCCCAGCACTTTGGGAGGCTGAGGCGGGTGGATCACGAGGCCAGGAGTTTGAGACCAGCCAGGCCAATATGGTGAAACCCTGTCTCTACCAAAAATACAAAAATTAGCTGGGCGTGGTGGTGTGTGCCTGTAGTCCCAGCTGCTCAGGAGGCTGAGGTAGGAGAATCACTTGAACCCGGGAGGCAGAGGTTGCAGTCAGCCGAGATCCCACCACTGCACTCCAGCCTTGGTGACAGAGTAAGACTCCATCTCAAAACAAAAAAACAAAAAAACAAACAAACAAAAAAACCTGCTTGTGGCTGGTGATTATGGTATTGAAGAGTGCAGGACTAGGTTCTAGAAGGTGTCACTAGTTAAAGTAAGACTTGTCTTGTTACTTGAAGAAAGGGAGGATTCGAAAAACAGAATAAAGAAAAGTGTCCCAGAAGAAGGCAAAGTATGAATGGGCTGTACTCAAGTCACACTAAGGGTGGGAAAGTGCTTCATGCCTGGATAGGGGTTTGTGCTGTGTTGCTACACAGGGCAGACCATGTCCTTGAGAGAGGATCTGAAGCTGTAGGTAATGAGGAGTCATTGATTATTTGTGATCAGTGGATTATCATGGCTCTTACCTTGTGCCAGGCATTTTGTTGAGTGCCTTAAATGGAATATTTCATACTATAACAACCCTTTGAAGGAGAAGAAAAAAAAAAGACTGAGAAAAGGGTGACTGAGCTTATCAAGGAGATCCTTGAAGAAAAGGGAGGAATAAACATAGATTTGTCTAGGCAGTTTGGCAGTGAAAGAAATGAGTGCTTGAGGAGGGTTAAATTAAGTTTCCTCCCCCAGGTAGGTCAAACCCATTTGGGCTGAAAGTAGAAAGGAAGAACCTACTGCAGAGAAAGAGGGGGAAGATCTGGACAGGGGTGAGAGGCAGCCCGCAGGCCCCAACGGCTGTCTTGGAAAGGGAGAAGGGACTCCTGGTCCTTTGGGTACATGAGAATGTTCACAAAATGGGTGGTACACAGCAATACTTGGAGAAGAGTGATAGAAGTTGCTGGAGCTAGATTTTTTTTTTTTTTTTAATCTCAGTGAAGAATCAGAGACATCTGCCAAGAGGGAAGAAAAATGGGGTGGGGAGAAGGGAGATCTGAAATAATACCAGTTGGGGCTGCCCTAATAATGACTACTACCACCTTTATCATGTGGTTATCATGAGCCTATTATGGGTATTTACATATATTCTCCTTTATCTAACAATTTAGTTAAGTATTAATTCCAATTATTTCTCAGTTATACGGAAGTTAAGGCTCAAAAACGTTATCACGTTAATTTAAGAAAAAGAATTGCCTACCACCTCACGCCAGGGGCTGTTCTAGGCAAAAAATTTAGACAAGCAGGGGGCCTGCCGTCATGGTTTTATGTAAGTGGTGCAGACAGAAAAATAAAACATCAGATCATTTCAGAGTTTAAGTGGTGTGGAAATAATAAAATGTGTTATGGTATTAACGGTGGGGAGGAAGTACATTAGTGTGGTCAGCCAGGGGAGGACCCTGTAAGGGGACAAGTGAGCTGAGAAGAACTTCAGGATGAAAAAGGTAGGAGGAAGAGTTTTCTGGGCCAAGGAAAGGGCAAGTGCAGAGGCCCTGAGGCACGAACTAGCTGGGCTCCTGAAGAAATGCAAAGGTAGTGCAGCCGATGCTGATCAAGGAGGTCTAGGCCAAGGCTGCAGACGCCATAGCAAGCGATGGGAAGGATTTACCCGAGGGGGTAAAGCCGATCCGATCCGATAGCATAAGGCTTCCTAGGGAGCAAGGGCCAGGCTGCCCGGCTCTCCAGCGCGTGTTCTTTCCACCCGGCTAAGCTGCCCGGCACATGGCTCTGGGGCGAGGCCACCGTCAGGAGAGGTTCCAGGCCAAGGGGCCAAAGGGCCACGGTCCGCGGGGGATGGGGACATGACCTCCTGGGTGTCGCAAGCCCGGGGCAGCGCTGACAGCCGGCGCGGGCCTTTCGCGAGCAGCAAGCGGCTCCCCTCACCCGGGCCCAATCACCCCCGCCTTTAATTCCCATTAGGGACCCCCCGCCGACGCAGAACCAGCCCCCGGGCGGCCTGGCTTGGTTTTTCATTCCCGGGAGATGGATCCGTCGCCCAAAAGTTCGGAATGACGGTACCCCTTTCCCTTAAGATCGATGAGGAGACGAAATAAATTGGGATCAGGGCGACGTCCTATGGAAAACAGCCTTTTGTATTTTTGTCTAGTTTTCCCCCAAGGCTTTCCATAAACTACTCGTTTCTCGGTACGCTCTCCAAGTCACCCCCTCCAACAGCGAGCCCGTTGGTTTGGCCCCTCAGCCCGGATTGGCTGAAGGCTTACGCCTCGGCCAGGGATTGGCTTCTTACCACTCCCCGCGCCCATTGGTTGGGGTTCCCCGCTTCTGGGCGGAGTGGTGAGGGCCGGTTTCCGCCTCCTTGTTTATGGAGCGCGTAGTTGTTGCGCTCTCCGAGCGCTGGGGCTGTCTCCAAAGTTCCCTATTTAGCTCCTCAGGCCAATTGGGGCCTCGCTCCACCCTCGCCCTCTCCCTCGCACGCCTTCCGTGTGGTACGGCCCACACCATTAGAGTGGCGGCGCGTGTGGGCGCCCGTCGCGTTCCTCCGCCCGTTCTCGCCGGGTCGCACCCCCCACCCCGAGGGTGTACTTGGTACGGCCCGCGCCGCCTCCTTTCCTCGCCCGGGTGGCCATCCCCCTCCCCCCAGTCGGCGGCGCTTGGTGCCGCCCGGGAGAACCAGGTCATCGGTCGGTTCCCGTGAAAACAAAAACAATCGGCCGCGCCGTCGCAGGCACCCGAACGTCGCGAGCGGGGCCTGGGGACGCGGAGCCGAGTGCAGCGAGCGAACGGGAGCAGCGGCGACTCGCCGGGGGGCTAGGGCGCCATGGGGCAGGCGGGCTCCGGCTGCGCGGGGCTCCCCCGGCGCCGCGGCTAGTGCGCCCGCCGCCTCGGCCGCCTCAGCCTCCCGCGCCGCCCGCTTGGGGAACGAGGAGCAGGACGCGGCCTCGGTGGGGCCCGGGCCGAACGGCTGCGGACACCTGGGCGCCGAGGAGCCGAGCGCCGCCGCCTCCGGCATGGATCAGTGCGTGACGGTGGAGCGCGAGCTGGAGAAGGTGCTGCACAAGTTCTCAGGCTACGGGCAGCTGTGCGAGCGCGGCCTGGAGGAGCTCATCGACTACACCGGCGGCCTCAAGCACGAGATCCTGCAGAGCCACGGTAGGGCGGCCCGCGTGGGCGCGCGGGGCATGGCCCACTGCCCGAGCCCCGGTCCCGGCCCCGCGGCGGGAATCCCTCACCCACCCTCGCGCCTCTGGCCCGGCCCTTGCCTCCCCTGAGGCGCGGAGGCCCCCAGACCCCTGAGACTTTTTCCCCTCTTCGTCCGATTTACCTCGAACCTGCCGCGACCTCGCTGCCAATTCAGAAGGAGCGCGAACCACCCGGAAACCCAGCCGGGAGCGGCGGGCTCCAGTCCGGATAAACGTGGGTGAGGGGGCCGCCCATCGCACCTGCAAACTGCCGACCCCCGAGTGGGCGCCCCTCGTCCCCCGCTCCCAGCCGGCCCCGGGAGTCTCACGTGGTGCCCGCGGCGCTGTTCTGTGGGCGGTGACTGAATCGCCTGGGACCCCAGGTTCTGAGTGATGAGGGCAGTGCAGGAAGCTCCGTTTCCCCTCTGTGCCGCCCCGAATCCTTGGCCAGGGGACTTCGTTTCTTCGTTTTATTTTGGAAAGTCGAGCGTTATTCTTAGCTGTGGGTTAACAACAGCCGCTCCTGCAACTTCATGATTTGGCTGCTGTGTGGACGCAGCTCTTAACTCCGCAGCGGCTCTGACATGGTTCCTTGGAAACCAGCTCAATTCAACCCTTCTGTTCTCCCAGTGTACCTTCTGATGACACCGAGGAGGAACGGGCGACATTTGCCCAAGTAAATTGTGCACATGTTGCTAGTTACTTGCTTTGCCTGGTTAAGTTCGTTCAAAAAAAATAAATTTTCCTATAGAAGGTGTTTCACCTAGATTGTTTTTTTTTTTACTGCCCCAAGCCCTGAGGACAGGTACTTTTAAAGGTTTGGTTTTCTTACACTTTAGAAGTCACAGCGATGATTCCTTTTGATCAAGAAGTGAAGGACTTATTTAATGGGTCTTTAATAAGAGGCTGAGGGGGCTTTTCAGCTTGTGGGCTGAACAGAAATTTATGTGAAGGACGGTTTGGTAGCTGGGGGAAGATGCAGATTATTTGTGGCAGGTGAGATGAGGGCAGTGGCGTTAGCTGAGTGTCTCTCTCCTTCTCCTTCATTTTTTCACACTTTCCCAGACTGCGTTTCAGTTGAGGATGGGTGCTGGTCCATGGGAAAGGAGTCTTACAGCAGCTTCTCATTCTGGACACTGCAGTCATTTTTGAACTCCAGGAAGGAAGCAAACCTGCAGTCATAGTGGATGAGATTTTAATATGGAAAAACCGTATTAATTCTCATAGGAGTTGCAATACTAGTATGGAAAAACGAGCAGACCTTGGTGGCTGCCTGTGAAGGGAAATTTGACTGACGTGGCGATGATGATATAGTTGGTAGATACAGGGAAGTGAAGGTGGAATGGGACAGGAATCCTGGGAAGACTTTGAATTTGGTTTTGGACATGTGAAGTAAGGTTGAAGGGCTTAATGAAGATAGAATCGAGGGCTTTCCTATTTACTGGTGGCTGGAGATGCATAGGTCTAAGATTGTTTTCTGATGTCATTTCTAGGAGGACAGTGGAGGGGATCACTTAGATTGCACAGAAGAAAGACTAGAGTCTAACCACAGTCTTGAATTTTCCTTGGCGAGTGGAGAGCCAAGGCTAGATAGAGCCAGCAGAAATCGAAAAGGGCGAGGACTTAGAAAAGGAGAGATTGGTCAGCTTTTATTTGGCTATTGGGAGTCAGTAACCCTCTGTGCTTGCAGTTTCATAGAATTGCTAAGACAAGCCAGATTACTGGGGGTTAAGAAGAAAAATTCGATGTGAACCGAGGTGTGGGAAATCCAGTACAGCGGTGGGAGGTATTCCCTCTGTGCTCCCGGCCCTGCCAAGGAACCAGTGGAGGAAGAGAATGAAGGGCCTAGACTTGGAGAGGTGGAAGGAACATTTCGTTTTTAGGGACCAGGTCATAGGCAGAGTTTGAGAGGAAAATGATGGAACAGAAAGTACCTTTCTTCCATGAGAGAGGATGTAAGTTGAAGGGGGATGTGATTGTGAGCTTTGTTTTAGAAAATTTAGGGCCAGGCTCAGATGGATAAAATGATGGTGAGAAATTGCTGAGGCAGGAATTTGTTTTTGACTCTCCACTGGGTACTAGGGAACTTTTCTCAGA
Organism: Homo sapiens; assembly: GCF_000001405.40. Taxonomy (NCBI): domain Eukaryota; kingdom Metazoa; phylum Chordata; class Mammalia; order Primates; family Hominidae; genus Homo; species Homo sapiens. The sequence goes on from NC_000002.12 coordinate 86,722,936, forward strand.
ATTTATGGTTTGAGGGGTATTGGCCACACAGTATGCTATGCTGTTAAAAACAGTCTGAGTTGGTGAGTTTGTGTGTTCCCTTTTCAGCCTCCTAATTTTTTCCCTCTTGTCTACCAAATTGCTAGTCTTATATTGGTATCTCTTTGATTTCCTTTAATTCTTCAATAATAGGATTAAGTGACTAAAGGTAGTTATAAAACATGAAAGAAAATAAATACCACAAGTGCCAGGTCTAGTTTCCCAAATAAAATCTTTCTTCTTTTGGTGTTTTTTTGTGTAAAGATAAACATCATGCTTTGGCATCTGGGCTATGGTATTTTTGAAAACAGATGATTTCTAAATTAAAGTTCTCGGCAGGTGATGTGGTAGATATTACATTGAAACTTAAATATGCCCTTCTCAAAGGTATTTTACTGAAAACTGAGTTTGGAACTCTATTTTCAAGTTTAAAGGGAAGATTTTTGGGCTTCTGAATATACCTGTCTGGGCAAATGATTCTGATAACCTGAGAGGCTCTAATTGGGACCCCTCTGTCAGGACTTTGGACCTCATTCTCTGAGATTACTTGTGGTAATACTTGCAAGAATCTGGTATGAATAAAACAGAATTTTTGAGGACTATATAGAACACATCATTGCATCATACTGGTGAATGACTGTTGCAGAAGCATCCTTTAGCCAACCTAAAGGGATTGGTTCAGTTTCTGAGGATGAATGTTTTATGTTAAAATTTTTTTTTCATCTCTGAAGTTGTGAGCAGACAGCTATATACTAAATGAGCTGTTAGGATAGTTTGTGATGGAAACTGATCATACATAAATAAGAGTTTAGTTAGTAAGCCCATTGACAACCCTTTTCTAGTCTCAGCACCCTTATTCCAGATTGTAAATACTGCCTGATTGCTGGCTGGGAGATAGTCCTGCAGTGAGCCCTAAAATTTCTCAGGTGGTCTAAATCACCTTTAAGTAGCTTGAAATTCTTTTACATAAAATTTCTCTCGTTAATCTTTTTTAAAATGCAAGTTTCTTAATGCAGATACACTTGGGGAAATGAGGATAGTATGGGCTGGTCTCTCATACCTGGTGAATTGGTTTGTGCTCTGCCATTTAATCCACCTCTGGCCAAATCCGTCAGCCTGACAACAGGAATATCTTTTTTTTTTTTTCTTTTAAATGGGGTTGGACTGGTATCAGGCCTGCAGCAGAGAACAATAATGGAATATAAGGCTCTGAGAGGGAAGTGCAGGCTTCGACTTGGTGCCATAGACAGTTAGGGAATATTGGTGGTTCAGGGACAACATAGGTGTAATAGAAACATGAAGAGGCAATAAGAACCAGGGAGAATACTGAAGAGCTCTGCCGAGGCCAAGACATTCCTCTCCCTGGAGACTGACTCTAGACTTCTCTTCATGCCTTTGGAATTAGAAACCTTAGGGTGGTAGATAGGAGGGTGGGGAGTGATCCAGAGCCTGCAGTGAGGTGTCCAAGGTAAGAGGAATAGAGATCACAGCTTCTGTCATTTAGTTGTGCCAGCCTTTCAGTGAGAGTTTCCCTGTGAGCACGAAGTTTGGTCTAAGTTCATTGTGGTTAATGTAGGCTGGTGGTCATTCCCAGTGTGCCTCGATCTAATTTGTATAGTGCACTGGTGCTTCTAAAACTTCACTCATACACATGTGCACTCTTATTTTTCAGATGGATTCACGATTTTACTTAAGTAGATTTATCTTAGGCAGTGATATTTGTGTAGTCCTACATGTGGTATGTAGGTATTAGGTATAATAAACTACATGTTAAAATAAATTCATAACAATTAAAATATTAGTTTACATACTAGCTAAAATTACCATTCGCATCAGTGGTATGGGAGCGGTGCTTTGGATAACCCTGGCTTAACAGGGTTAACTACTGTATGGTTAACTTTTAGTGATTTGATTTGTGAGTATATGCCTTTTAGCATTTTTTTCCTATTGGCAAATTTATATTGTTTCCCATTAGCACCTCTGTGGTGGAAGGGAAAAACAGAAAAGAACTATTTATCATGTTTTGCTGGTATTCTGCACTCATACTTTGTGAAAGAAAATTAGGCAGAAACAGTTGGTAATGGTTTCAGGACACATTTAAAAGTATACTTGGGAAAATTGCAGTTTTTGTAAGAGTAAAGGACATGCAGTATTCTTTTCTGATTATTTTTAGACTAACGGAGTTCTAATGTGGTTTCTGAAAGTGACTTTCAAGGAATTTTCTAAATTTAAAATTTATTTATTAATTTTTAGTAAGTCATACATTCAAATGGTATCCATTCAAACAATGAAAAAGATAACCCAGTGAATAGTACATTCAAATGGTATAAACTCAAATGATAAAAAAGGACACCCATTGAAAAATCTTTCTACTCTTGTTCCTGGACCACCTGGTTGCCCACTTCACAGACATAAATGCCAGTCTCCAGAAAAAAAATTTTTTTGTTGTTTTTTGAGACAGCCTCCCTCTGTCACCCAGGCTGGAGTGCAGTGGTGCGATCTTAGCTCACTGCAACCTCCGCCTCCTGGCTTCAGGCAATTCTCCTGCCTCAGCCTCCTGAGTAGCTGGGATTACAGGCACCACCTGCCACCATGCCTGGCTAATTTTTGTATTTTTAGTAGAGACGGGGTTTCAACATGTGGGTCAGGCTGGTCTTGAACACCTGACCTCAAGCAGTCCACGCGCCTCGGCCTTCCAAACTGCAGGGATTACAGGCGTGAGCCACTGCGCCCGACCTCCAGAAAAAATTTTAAAAGAATCCAGTGAAATGACGATTTGTCACTTTTCCTTTTTTCTTTAACGCATCAGATATGTATTTCCATTTACTATGATTAAGGCTTAGTGTTATCTCACTTTGCAAGTTGGTAAAGATGTCTTCATCTGTGGGAGTGATCAACATATACTGTATTAGCACCTAAAACTCCTTTGGTGTGTGTGTATGTTGTGACTTCTAGTAGTAAAACTCATGTAAACCATAACTCCTACCCTTATCTCTTTGGTGAATCAAAGAAACTGTTGAAACTTTGGTTACCAGTTGGAGAACTGCTTTCTTTTTAAAAATGTGAAGGTAACAAATGAGAAGGTAAGTAGGCAAGTAAAACATGAAAAACAAAAAAAGAAACTTGTGGAGGTCACATTTTTAACTCATTGCTGTGGTATGATATTGCATCAGTACACAAAAACCAGAGGTTGAGGGTCGCATGTTAGGTATAATCTTCCAATCTAGAATTTGGGTTGTGTATATTAAACACATGTGTTGAAAAGTATGCTTATTTGTATATATGAATGATCTGTGCTTTTTCAGAGCCGACCAGTGTTGAATATATTGTTTTGAATGAAAGTAAATGTATTATATCGGGGCTTGGTAGACTTGTAGCTTGTTTACCTTTTTAGCCTTATTCTTTGGTGTGCATGGAGTAGGCCTCATAGCCAGGTTGCCCATTTGTTACCCAGACTTTTGCTAAATACTAACAAGACACTCTTGAGAGAATAGTGACTTTGTTTTGAATACAATTTGATATCTGTTTTTAACATCTAGTCTGGAAAATAGTATATCAGTAGGTCATAAATAAAAGTTTGGGAGGACATTGTTCAAACATTCTAAGAGAAGAACAGACTGGTTCTCAAGTTATTTAGGCCATTTTAGGTGGTAAGAATAAAAAGTCAGTATATTGGTGTTTCCAGTTGGGTTTAGAAGTAGATTTAACTTTGTTAGCCATTCTTTTTCCAGACGTACTCTGGAGATAATTAATTCTTTTTTATTTGGCACCGTATTCATTTAGACTGGCAGGTGACATAATAGTGTTCATTAAAATGGAATTTGTTGATGTATAAATAGGCTGAGGTTAGGGCTAGGCTGGCTCCAGGGGCACCAGGCATGTCATCAGGACTGATCTTGTTCTCTTCTGTCAACTGTTGGCTTTATTTTCAGGGTAGTTTTCTTCACATGGGGTAGAGATGACCAATGGAGCTCAAAAGACAGGAACATGGCCATTTTGTTGGAGATACTCCAGGGAGTACCTTTATTATTCCGTTATGGATCCTTTCCCTGAATCAGTAACTGGGACCAGGGAGTGAGGTCTTCTGGCCACCTTGAGCTGTGCTCACCCCCTCAGGAGGTATATGGCCTTATAATACACTGTTCATCAGGTAAAGAGACAGTTCTAGAAAGGAACACTTAAACCCAGACAGAGTAATATATGTCTATTACAGTGCAACAGCTACATGTTATATCAGTAACATTCTCTGAGATGTTTTCCTGACTAGCCTCGCCTTCTCAGCTTTTGCCTGGCCTCCTAACTATAATGCTCATATAATTCAAGTAGTGAGTTGTTAGTATGACTTAATCTATAGACTAGAGAATACAACTTGGTTCATGTTCCTCTAGAACTTTTTTGAAATTACTTTAATGCTTGACATAGTAAAGTAATTTTCCTAAAGTTATTTTATTTCTAAAGTAGTTTCTAACTCTGGATAATAACATTGGTAAGGAGAAACTTGCCAACACTTCTGTGATACTGTCATACTAGAGCTAATAGAGAAGTTTCTGTTGTTTTCATGTCTTAGTCTCTTAGTCTTTAGGATGATGAAAATGGTGTTTTAGCAAACTGTTCACTTGGAATATTAAAACTAACTTATTTTTATTTAGGGCCCTGCTTCTTCATCTGTAAGGCTTCCAAAATCTTTAAAAATGATCCAAAAATGCAGTTTAGGGAGAAAATTGTGGAGGGCCCTGGCTCTGAGCTATGTGTACTTGGAGACCCGTGGTACTTCCAGGAGATGATGCTCTCTAACTGGACGTTTCCTTGAAAGCTCTGAGAGTAGCAGACACTTCTGGCCATTCTCTTTAGATTAGATGTTAACTCAACCCTTCAGAGAACAAAGACTAGACTGTCTGGCAGGACTCGAGGATTTTGAGAAATACAGTATGCTTTCACCTTATATGGGTGTGGTGATTGTGTGGCTGAGCTCAAAATGGTTGTTTGGGAATGTCGCTTGGAGAGGCCATAGGCTTATATTACCAAGTCTTTCTCCACTTAAGATGGAGGCCTGGATGGTGATTTCGTCTGTTATGGGGGCACAATGTAGTGTCAGGCTGTGTGTTATTTATGATGAGTTTGTTGTATCTGCAGAATTCATATAGGTTTAATTCATCTTATTGATACATGAAGACATTTGGGAGGAGATGAGGAGAGAATCTTTTAAAAGAAACATTATTCATGGCCCTGGTCCTCCAGGAACTTGGAGGCTAATTGAGAAGATGAATCTGTATTTGTGGAATAGTACCTAAAATTTTGACCCTGGGCCCAGGAGGTCTGGGTTTGAATCCTTGCACTGCCAATTTACTGGTTCTACAATCTTTTTTTTTTTTTTTGGAGACAGAGTCTCACTCTGTCACCTAGGCTGGAGTGCAGTGGTGTGTGATCTCAGCTCACTGCAACCTCTGCCTCCAGGGTTCAAGCGATTCTTGTGCTCCCAAGTAGCTGGGATTACAGGTGTGCACAATGCATGGCTAATTTTTGTATTTTTAGTAGTGACGGAGTTTCACTATGTTGGCTAGGCGGATCTTGAACTCCTGGGCTCAAGTAATCCACCCGTCTCAGCCTCCCAAAGTGCTGGGATTACAGGCATGAGCCACCACGCCCGGCCTGATCCTACAATCTTGCTTAGCCAGTTTTTCCTTCAGTAAACTGACATCACAGAGTTATGAGAGTGAAATAAATAATAGACGTGAACTGGCTTTGAAATTTGTAAAACAGGGTAGACGTGTTATTTATAAAGTCTGTGCCTTAAGTGGTGTTAAGCTTTTTTTTTTTTGAGGCTGAGTCTCGCTCTGTCACCCAGGCTGGAGTGCAGTGGCATGATCTTGGCTCACTGCAACCTCTGCCTCCCAAGTTCAAGCGATTCCCCTGCCTCAGCCCCCGAGTAGCTGCGATTACAGGCGCATGCCACCAGGCCTGACTATTTTTTTTTTGTATTTTAGTAGAGACGAGATTTTACCATGTTGGCCAGGATGGTCTCGATCTCTTGACCTCGTAATCTGCCCGCCTTGGCCTCCCAAAGTGCTAGGATTATAGGCGTGAGCCACCACGCCGGGCCCAAGCACTGTTTAATTGAGACATTTTGGGTAATATTTAGGTGTCTTTATTACTGGTTTATGTTAAATACCACTCTGTGTCCAGTGGTCTGCTTAACATTGTAAAGAATGCTTAAAAGGTATAAGAAAGAGTCTTTAAGGAACTTAGAAGTTAGTTGGAGAGACCAGACTCATATTTGAAAGGGGGAAAAAACAAGACCACGGCACACAGTGTATAACAGTGCTTCTGGTGAGTACAGACACCAGTGAAGAGAGAGAGCCCTTAGAAAGAACTGCATGGGAGTAGATGGGCATTATTTCAACTGAACTTTAGATCACCTCATCAGTAGTTATTAATCACCATTTATAGGTAGAACTAAGCAAAATCTTCTAGGAGTTACAAAGAACAAGCATTTTCATCCTCTAAGAACTTTGTGTCCAGTTAGGGAGATGAGACTGGCATTTTTTAACAAACACACAAACAAAAGCAGTGCCCTGTAATGCACGGTTATGTATCTAGGCTAGATGCTACATGAGTGGTGTGGACAAAAAGGGGTGGGATTTGAGACAAGGAGAGACTCTTTTTACCTATGGGAAGTTTTAGTAGCAGAGATTGAATATGGATAGCAGAAAGAGCAGATGGAGTGCCTGGAGGGGAGGATGGCAAGAACAAAGGTGTAGAGGAGTGAGAGGTGAAGGACCAGATTGCAGGGGAAAGGCGATAAGAGCATTAAAATTAAATTGGAATCAGGTTTTGTAAAGCCATGGATACCAGGGAAAGTAGTAGACTGGGAAGATATTGAATTACTTTGGGGTGGGGTGGGGACATTTTGAATAGGGAGGGGACAGGGACACGATCAGAGACCAGTTGTCAGCAGTATTTAGGTTGGTTTGGAGTTGGGAGTGAGGTTTGACTAGAGGCAAGAACGTTAGCTAAGGCTAAGTGTCAACCTAGATTTGATGAAATAGGGACCTGTCTTTGGGTACTGGTGGTAGAAATTTAAAGGGACACATGAAAGGGATTTCTGAGGGAAGGAATGACCAGGAGTTGGTGCACAGATGGAGTCTGGCAGAGTAGGAGAAAAGGGCAGGAAAAACCAAAGGTTAATCCAAGGTTTTAAACATGAATGATGGGTAGATCATTATGGAACCAGGTAGAAAATAGGAAGTTTAGGAGAGGGGAAGGTGGAAATCTGAGTTTGATTTTTTTTTGTTTTTGTTTTTGTTTTTTTGGGGGGTGGGGGAGGGGGGGTCTCATTCTGTTGCCCAGACTGGATTGCAGTGTCTCGGCTTACCACAATCTCTGCCTCCTGGGTTCAAGTGTTTCTTCTGCCTCAGCCTCCTGAATAGCTGGGATTACAGGCATGCGCCACTACCGCCTGGCTAATTTTTGTAGTTTTAGTAGAGATGGGGTTTCACCATGTTGGCCAGGCTGGTCTTGAACTCCTGAACTCAAATGATCCACCCACCTCGGCCTCCCAGAGTGCTGGGATTATAGGCGTGAGCCACTGCACCTGGCCTGAGTTTGATTTTTAAATATGAAATCCAGATTCCAATGCTACAGGAAACCTAATGTGGTTCCACCATTCATTTCAGAGATAAATGAGATGCCTAGAGATTAAGTCTTTATATTTGGAATTTGAAGGGAGTGAATAGGTTCTCTAAAATGTGACTGTCACAGACATATGTTTAAAATCTTGTGCCTGTATCTTTTTTCTTCTCTCTGCAATTCTTGCCTCATATACTTTGAAGCCTTTCCTGTCTTCTCTATGATAGTCATTGATACTGTTCTTTGCTCCAGGAGCACTATTAGTCTGTACCATGTAATTTCACTCTAAATATTAACTTTATTTCGTTTTTTTCCCCTCATGTTTGGTTTGCAGCACACTGTGCCTCTAATTTGATGCACAGTCTTTAATAATCTCTCTGGATCAGAACACGTGTCTGTCAGTCTACTGTTCTCTGAAAGGTCAGGAGTTGAACACCAAATACCATACTTTCTTTTACTTTGCAGATTTACCAGCTACTAATATACTGGAAAAATTTTGTTTTCAGTGTTTACCTCCTCCAGAAAAAAATGAATGTGTTCTATTTGTGCCTTTTCTCTTTCCTCTAAGCAGCCGCTGTGTCCTAGGTGCTGAAGTAGCTCACAAGAATCCCAAATTTCAATGGGCCGCAGTTTATTTTACTACAGACAAAATGAAATAGTCCCTTATTTTTAAAAAATTCCAACCTTACCTTTTCAAGTTTCAAGTTTTTCTATTCTAGTACTTCGCAAGGATATCCATGGTCACCTTGTCAGTGACTTTTCTAGAGTCAGTCTTAGATCTTTTTATCCTTTATCTACTTTATTCCCATTCTAAATTTCTTAAATCTGTGTAGAAATTGGTAACATGGGAAAAGTATCTTGAACATTGCTGACACAGGCCTTCAGCACTCAATAAATGTTAATTGACTCTAAATGTTATAGTTCTCCCTTTTACATTTTTTTCTGTTTTTTCTTGGTTTCATTTTGTATTTTAAGGCATCAAGGCTTTTATAAGAGTGGTATATCATAGATTTCCCCCCCCACCAGCCTTCTTAGTGATGCCTAATACTCTTTTAGCTTTCTGATTTTAGTGTTTTTATTTAAATAGCTAATCTAGAATGAATTCTGGAGTATATCTCTATGAGGTCTGAGTTTTCATTTAGGTACAGTTAGGTTTGTTTCCTAAATGGATTTCTTTGTATTTATCTGCATCAAAACTTGTGTTCCATTTTGCTTTCCACTTAATTCTAAATTTAAGATCTCTGTCCATCTTATGAAAGTGGAGTTAACTTTTCATAACTCAGAAGAGCTCAAATGCGATACATGTAATATTTATAAACTTGGATATTTTAAATTTTTACTGCCTATAGGATATTCATTAAAATGTCAAGCCAGGTCTTAGTGATTTCTGCGGAATCTTATTTCTGTGGAAATATTCCAGTCTTAGGTGGTGATACTTTCAACCTTCTTGAAAATCATCACCATAACAATACTTTTTTATATTGTGCCTCCCTATTTTTTTATAGAGTGCTCTCAAGTATGGTGGGTCTCATCTCTCATGTGTTTGACTCGTGGGCAGCATGTATTTCATGGTGTAATTGACACCTTTAAACTGCCTTTTATAGACCAAATTAGAACTTTTTATTATCTCCTGATGGCAGACATTTCAGGCTGCAACATGGTGTGCTGCCTACCAACCAGCTGTTTAGTTTTAGCAATGCTATCTTTAACAGTGTGTTTGTGCAGTTGAACCCCCTCCCCCCATATCATAAAAATAAGTGGCAGACGGAAAATTAAAAGTGCAGATACTGAGTAGGGATGAGAAACGTACTTGTCAATATTAATGATATATTTGTCTAGATTGTATTAAGGTGAGCCAAAATAGTGGGTAAATCTTGTCACGGAGCTGGACACGAGACGTGCTTTTTTTTGAGGCTTGTGATCAGTAGGGAAGAAAGTAAAACAAATGTATGTACAAAATGCTAAAAGTGTATTGAAGGTGTAACCAAGGTATTAGTAGGGATTTTATAGTTTTTAGCTTTGTGCAAACCAGTCACCCTTTTAATGTGTACGTTTGTTATACCTTCCTATATTCTGACTTAGAATATACTTTTATAGGGTCACATTATATATTAGAGATGTTTCATTGCATCTTTGACAAATGTGGAAATAGTTTTGTAAAAAAGAAACTGTCTCAAAAGTGACTTGAGTCAGAGCACAAGCCCATTAATTCCTGGGGTTGGTGGGAGAGGTCATTATTTGGAAGAGAGAAGGAACTTATAACTGATGCCAGGGGACTCTTTTGTGAATGTGTCTTATTTGAAAATATGTGTGCATATGTGTGTTTGTATGTTTGTGTTGATCTTGGGTACTGTGACCTTGTTGAACTCTCATCTATTCTTGGATTGTGTTTGTGTGTAGATTCTTTGGGATTTTCTACTTAGGCAATAATGTTATTGACAGACAGGAACAGTATTATTTCCTAACTTACTTGGTATTTGCAGAACTTAGGCTGCAGTGTTACTGTGTAGAAGATGCTAAACATTCTGTGAGAGAGTGAGGGGTCAGTGGACTGCTGAGTGAAACTGCTGGCAATTTCAGAGGGTGTTGGTAGTACCAGACAGTCTTCAATGCTGGGTTTGAAATTGAGATTATGTAATACATAATTAATTATTTTCATATTTATTCTTTTGGTAACTAGTTACTGAACGTGTAGTATTTGCCAGTTACTATACTAAACGTTGGGGATTGGTCATATTTCCTACTAAAGTTAATTTTGTGGGAGTAATGGACAAATAACTATTTACAACAAAGTGTGAAACTCTGATAGGGAAGTATAGGATGCTATGGAAACAAACATTTTTCTTATTTATTGTTTCTGTGAAACTAGTGGGCATACATCCTAAAATGGCAAAGCAGTGAGGCTCAAGGGCAGAACTTGAAAATTTTGAGTATCGTGCTTAAAATCTGTTTATATGATAAAAGGTGCTGTTCTATTTTATTGAAAATTTTAACTTAATAAAGCAACACACGTAGATGGTCTACATATGTTCGTTCTTTGCTTATATTGAACATGCTAATTCTTACACTTGTTTAATCATAAAACTGACTTTAAAAAGTACTTGTGACCCTCCAGTGATGAGTGAGCATTGCGTCAGAGTTGTTTCTTTCAGGCTCATGCATTGGGCCTGGGTTCCCTGGGTTTACTACATTGGAAGACACAGTTAGTGCAGGACTTTCTTCTGGGTGACAAGTGACCACCGCAGTGGCCAACCTGGATGTAGTTATGGTGGAGATGGCTGTCACAGTAATTCCCCAGCTTTTCTTCTAGGAACTGAATCCAGTTTCTTTCACATAAAGGTTCTCCTAGAAGCAGGTTGTGTTTTCATACAGAGAAATCAAAAGAACATTAGAACTCTCCCAGTAGGACTTATAGAAGTTTGGTTGACTGTCAGTCTGGTCATTATAGCAATTTTCAAACCTGTTTTAAACCTTTGGCTGCTTTCCACTGAGTCCATTTGAAAATGCATTAGTGAACTCTTTCTCTCTTAACAGGGCTTTCCCAGGGTTCTCTTTCAGATTATTCCATTCTGCTTTTCTTGAGTTTCCAAATACCTTACAGAAATTATTTTTCCTTGGAGCATTCTGAGAACTCTCAGTATTAATTAATTGGCCATAAACTGCTTGTATCTGTCATTCATAAAATTGAAAACCAAAAATTAGAGGAATTTGTAGATGGTAAAGGAAGAAAAGGAGGTAACAAATAGCACCAAACTCCAGATATGTAAGTTACTACGATTTGAAAATATCAGTGGATTTCAAGGTTGGTGCGTGGAAGTTCAGTGGTAAATTCTAGGTGACCTCTTTCCTCCAGCTTGGCTTCATCCTTTTTTATTTTTATTATTATTGTTTTCGAGACCGAGTCTCGCTCTGTCACCGAGGCTGCAGTGCAGTGGCGCAATCTCGGCTTACTGCAGCCTCTGCCTCCAGGGTTCAAGCTATTCTCTTGCCTCAGCCTCCTTAGTAGCTGGGATTGCAGGTGCTCACCACCACGCCCAGCTAATTTTTGTATTTTTAGGAGAGATGGGATTTCACCATATTGGCCAGGCTGGTCTCAGACTCCTGACCTCAAGTGATCCGCCTGCCTCGGCCTTCCTTAGTGCTGGAATTACAGGCGTGAGCCATCGTACCTGGCACCCTTTTTATTTTTTGTATTTTTCCTACCTTGTTGTCTGCTGGTTGTAGAAATAAATGTGTCTGGATGGATAGGAGGTATGACTTCTTTTTAAAAACATTTTCTTTATTTCTGAAAGAAATCCAGTACTCATTAACAGTCACTCTCCATTCCCACCCTGTCTCCTCCCACTCCAAATACCATTAATCTATGTCTGTCTCTATAGATTTGTCTATTCTGTACCTTCCATGCAAATGAAATGACACAATATGTGGCCTTTTGTGTCTGGCTTATTGAATACTTAATGTAATATTTTCAAGGTTCATCTGTGTCATAGTATGTATCAGTACCTCATTTCCTTTAATGACTGGATAATCCATTGTTTATCCATTCATTCTTTGGAGGTTTGGTTTCTTACCAGTTTTTGTCTTATGAATAATGCTACTGTGAACATTCTGATTCAGGTTTTTGTGTGGACATGTTGTTCTTTTGGGTATATAACTAGGATATAACTAGGAGTGGAATTTCTGGGTCATATAGTAACTGTTTAACGTTCTGAGGAACTGCCAAATTGTTTTCTATGGTGTCTGCACCATTTTATATTCCACTAGCAATGGATAAGGCTTTGAATTTCTCCACATCCTTTCCAACAGTTATTATTGTGTTTTCCTGATAGCCAATCTTGTGGGCATGAAGTAGTATCTCATTGTAGTTTTGATTTTCATCTCATAATGACCAATAATATTGAGCATCTTTTTGTGTGCCTGTTGGCTATTTGTATATCTTCTTTTGAAAAATGTCTATTCAAATCCTTGACCTTTTTTTTTTGAGTTAGGGTCTTGTTTTTCATCCAGGCTGGAATGCAGTGGCGCAATCATAGCTCACTGCAGCCTCAGCCTCCTGGGCTCAAGGGATCCACTTGCCTCGGCCTCCCTAGTTGCTATGACTACTGGCATGAGCCACTGTGCCCAGCCACATTTTTGTATTTTTTTTGTAGAGACAGAGTCTCGCCTTGTTGTCCAGGCTAGTCTCAAACTCCTGGGCTCAAGTGGTTCACCTGCCTTGGCCTCCCAGAGTGCTGGGATTACAGGCGTGAACTGTGCCTTGTGCTTTGCCCATTTTTAAATTGCATTGTTTGTCTTGTTATTGTTGAGCTTTAAGAGTTCTTTATATTATTCTGGATACTAAACCCTTATCAGAATGTGATTTGCAAATATTTGCTCCCCTTCTATGAATTGTCTTTTCACTTTATTGATAGTGTTTGCAACACAAGTTTTTAATTTTGATGAAGTCCATTTTAATTATTTTTTCTTTGGTTGCTTGTGCTTGTGGTGTCATAGCTGAAAAACCATTGCCTAATTCAAGGTCAGAAATGCATCTGTTTTCTTTTAAGAATTTGATAGTTTCAGCTCTTACATTTAGGTCTTTATTCCATTTGAGTTAATTTTTATTTTTGACTTTATTTTTTTGAGACAGGGTCTCACTCTGTTGCCCAGGCTGGAGTGTAGTGACATGCTTACAGTTCACTGCAGCCTCTACCTTCTGGGCTCAAGCAGTCCTCCCACCTCAGCCTCCCTAGAAGCTTGGACTGTGGGCGTGCACCACCACCCCCTGCTAATTTTTGTATTCTTTGTAGGGATGGAGTTCTGCCATGTTGCCCAAGTTAGTCTCAAACTCCTGGGCTCAAGCAATCCACCCACCTCGGGCTCCCAAAGTGCTTGTATTACAGGCTTGAACCACTGCATTTGGCTCATTTGAATTAGTTTTTATATATTATGTGATTCTTTTGCATGTGGATATCTTGTTGTCTCAGCACCATTTGTTGAATATGGCTCTAACAAAAGCAAAAACAAAAACTATTTTTTCCTCACTTTATTTACCATCAATTCAGATACTTATATGTCTTGCACATTTGCAGGCACTATTAATATAAAACTGGAGTATACAATTTATAATAAGGACTTGGTCTTCCCTTGGGGGCTTATGTTTAGTAGAGACTGATGACGGTATATATATATGAAATTGTTAAAATGGGTTATAATTAAGTGCTGGGGGAGTAGGGGAGAGATCAGAAGTTACCAGGAATTCAGAAGAGGGAGTAAGTCTGTGGTCAGATGGGTTCATAGAGAAGATGAGGCTGTTGAGGTTAGGTGTGCTTTAGGTACAGAAAGATCAGAAATGGCCAGAACAGAGCTGCTGAAGCAATTAGATGCTTTTGGTCCAAGAAATCTGTGGAACACCTTTTAAACAGATTTTGAAATTTTCTTGAAGTACCAAGTCTTGCCTTAGCCTAAATTATGTTATTAGAAGTTGGAAGCCTAATTGTGTTATTGGAAGTTGGAAACACTTGATAGAAACTTTGTGCAACTGTATTTAGAGATAAGGAAAGCTTTTTTCTTATCTTTTCATTTATCTCAGTAGTTGTCATTGAACCAGACTTAATATAGTCCCTCTTCACAGTTCCCTGTAACCTTTTAGGATTTCTTTTCATAGAATTTTAGAGACACTATTCTTGTCATCGTCACTGATTACTTCCACATTGTAAATCCAGTGGCCAATTCTCAGTCCCCATCTTACTTGACCTAGTAGCACATCAACACAGCTGGTTACTCCTCCTTCCTTGACACATTTTCTTCTCTTGGTTTCCCCAACATTATACTTTTCTTGAGTTTCCTCCTCCATCACAGTTAGTGCTTCAGTAGTCTTTGTTAGCCTCCTTTTCCAGTTCTATTTCTTCCCAGCCTCATAAACTTGGAGTTCTCAAGACTCAGTTCTTTTATCACTTCTCTGTGTCTGTACTGACTCCCCTGGTGATTTCATATAGTCCCATGCATTAAGTATCATATATATATATATATATATGTCAGTGACTCACAAATTTGTATCTCCAGCACTAACACTGCTGTTGAACTCCAGGTTTGTATATCTCACCAACTCCTCCACTTATGCACTGTGGTGCCTACTCAATGTCTCAAACTTAACAAGCCCCAAACTGAACTTTCTCTCTCTCCTCTCCCCTCATACCTGCTTAGCCTTTATTCTTTTTTGGCAGGATGGGGAGTTGAGGTCTCGCTCTGTCACTCAGGCTGGAGTGCAGTGCTGTAGCTCCCTGCAGCCGAGACGTCCCAGGCTGAAGTGATCCTCGCACCTCAGCTTCCCAAGTAGCTGGGACCACAGTCGTGTGCCACCATGCCCAGCTAATTTTTGTATGTTTTGTAGAGACAGGGTCTGACTCTGTTGCCCAAGGTTGGTTTCAAACTCCTGTGCTCAAGTGATCCTCCTGCCTTGGCCTCCTGAAGTGCTGAGATTGTTTTTGTTTTAACTGAAGACAACTCCATCTTTCTAGTTGACCCAGGCTAGAAATCTTGGAGACATCTGTGAGTCCTTTTCTTCACTCATGTCCAGTCATGAAATCCTGGACTGAGCCAGTGTCATTTCTCATCTGGATTGCTGCCACAGCCTCTTATTTTCCTGCTCAGTTCTGGTACTCCCGTTGCCAGTTAGACTGACCATATTGAAATGTTTTATCGGCCAGGCATGGTGGCTCACGCCTGTAATCCGAGTACTTTGGGAGGCCGAGGCAGGAGGATTGCTTCAGCACAGAAGTTTGAGACCAGCCTGGGCAACATAATGAAGCCCTGTCTCTGCAAAAAATACAAAAATTATCCGGTGTGGTGGTGGGCGCCTGTCATCCAAGCTACTTGGGAGGCTGAGGTAGGAGGATTGCTTAAGCACGGGAAGCAGAGGTTGCAGTGAGCCCAGATTGTGCCACTGCACTCCAGTGTGGGCAACAGAGCGAGACCCTGTCTCAAAAAAAAAAAATGTTTTTTGTGGGTTTTTTTTTTAATTAGTTTACATGCCTTCTCTGCTCAAAACCTTGCAGTGGTCCCTTTCAGTCAAAGTAAAAGCATAAGTCTTTACAATGCCAAAGAGATCCTACCAAACCAGGACCATTATCTCTTGGACCTCTTCTTCTATTTTCCTTGGCCAGAAATCCACTTTTGACATGCTGACCTCTTTGTTGTTTGAATAGTCTAGGTGTATTTTTGCAGTAGGGCTTTTCTCCCCGCAGCCTGGCATGCTTACCCCAAAGTAGCCAGCCACATGGTAATTCCTTCACTTTTTTCAAGTCTTGCCTCCAGTGTCATCTACTCAGTGAAGCCTACCATGCCAGCACTGTTTTGAAGTTGCGGCTGCTCCACCCACACACACTCCCCATCTCGCTTACCCTGCTTTTCTTTCCCAGGTAGCATGTATCATCTTTTGTCGTAGTATATAATTTGCTTATTTTGTGTGTTACGTCTCTTGCCAGAAGTTAAGTTGTTGGGAAGGGATTTTTGGTTATTTTGTTTCACTGCTGTACCTGTCATATATAGTGAGTGCTCAATAAATATTGGTTAAATGAGCAGGCATCCTAGGGCTGTTTTACTCTTGGGCTCCTTGTTTAAATTCTCAGGTTCCATCCCGGACCTATTGAATGAGAAACTCTGGGGATGGGGTCCAGCTACTTTGTTTTAACTTTAAGTGATTCTGATGTAAATTAAAATTCAAGAAGCTCTTCTATATAATGTTGGTTAGGATTTCAGAAACCAGGCCTGTTGCTTACAGGTGGGAATACGTAGATAGAGAGAGAAATGACAAATACCATAACTGGGTTTGTTTTATCTGTCTGTTTTTCTCCCTTCTCCTCCTTTTTTTCCTGCTATAGGAACAAAATTTGGAGGGAGGTAGCTCAGGGAAAGGATGTAAACTGTAGTAACTTTTGGTTGATCTCATGTGTGTCAGGGGTCTTCAAAACCACCTTTAGGTTCCAGTGATTCATTAAAAGGAGTCACACAATTCAGCATATAATCATACTCTTAGCTAGAATTTATTACAGCAAAAGGGTGTAAAGCAAAATCACCAAAGGGAAAAGACTCATGGGGCAGAAGTCCAAAGTCCAAAGTTAGGCAGTCCAGAGTTAGGCAGTGGGTGCCCTGGTGACCAGCCCCCAATAAAAACCCTGGGCACTGAGCTTCTAATGAGCTTCCCTGGTAGGCAACACTTAACACTTCTCACAAACCATGGCTGCAGGAATTAAGCATATTCCATGTGACTTCACTGGGAGAGGACTATTGGAAGCTTTCTCCAAGCCAGGAGAAAGCCAGGTACTCACTGCCTAGCATGTATCAACATTCTAGATTCCCAGAAGGAAAGCAGATGTTCACCATAAATCACACTGTACAACAGTTTAGGCACAATGAGCCATTCTTTTCAGCTAGGGCAGGGGTCTCCAAACCCCCGGGTATGGACCAGTACCCCTCTGTGGCCTGTTAGGAACCAGGCCGTGCACAGCAGGAGGCAAGCAGCGGTGAACGAGCATTGCCGCCTGAGCTCCACCCACTGTCAGATCAGCGGCAGCATTAGATTCTCATAGGGGCATGAACCCTGTTGTGAACTGCACATTCGAGGGATCTGGCTCACGTGCTCCTTAGGAGAATCTAACTAACGCCTGATCTGAGGTGGAACAGTTTCATCCTGAAACCATTCCCCCCAGCCCTCGTCCGTGGAAGAAATGTCTTCCACGAAACTGGTCCCTAGTGCCAAAAAGGTTGGGGAACACTGAGTTAGGGAGTGATGGGAACACTCCCAAACTCCCAGGTTTCTATATGCCAGCCAAGAGGTGACTTTGTAAGCAGGACTTTCTAAGGGTAGTAGTCTATGACCTGCTGTGTTAACTCCTTTCTGCACATCGTGGTACCCAGGGAAGTTTGTTTTCTTCTACCTCTTTATATGGAATATGAAGCATTTGCACTAAATCATCTCTCTTGAGGAAATTTAGTAACAACCAGAACGTTTTGAGAATGACTTGAACAGTGTAACTGGGTTTAATAAGTGAGTTTATTCACTTAGACATATTTTCTCAAAAATAATACTGCCTTGACAGTATTATTCACAGCCTGTGCTGGTTGTTGTAATGATAAAAATGATTCCTTTCACAGTAAAATTTTCTTATTTCCAAAAATAAAAAAATTATATCTTTCTGAGTATCCATTTGAAAAATCACATCTATGAATGTGACCATCAGCTTCAAAGCAGATACTGGTTTTTCTTCACTTTTCTTCCATCTTTCATGGTCCAAAAGGCCCATTAGAAACTTGCCATCTTTGGGTTTGCTTAAGTGAGTAACCAATCCTTCCTTTGTTTTTTTATAGGCCAAGATGCTGAATTATCAGGGACACTTTCACTTGTTTTGACACAGTGCTGTAAAAGAATAAAGGATACTGTTCAAAAATTGGCCTCCGACCACAAAGACATCCACAGCAGTGTTTCTCGGGTTGGAAAAGCCATTGATAAGGTATGGTATTGAAAGAAGTGTTTTGTATTTTTTAGCATCATTCTTTTTCTTCTGTCAGTGCTTTGATAATACTAGCTTTCACAAATTACTTTATGCTATTCCTGTCATGTTTGCTTTTGATGACTTTTACAGGTCTAGTTTTACTATGTTATTCTTACTAAAGTTCCTTGTTGCTATTATTTAAAAAATAAAAGCAAAATTAAAACCCTCTGCTTTTATAGCTTTGTTGTTTATCCATTTGCATATATGACTAGAGCTCCTAGGGTCATGATAAATAAAGTTCCAAAGAAATTTTAACCCAGTATGTGGGAGTTTGTTTACCAGAAGTAACTTTTCCTAATTCCTGAATAATTCCCTAGCTGTGACTCTGTCTCTGTTATGGGATGATTAGAATAACAGCCTTGTATCAGTCTCCCCTGCATCATCCTAACTGTTTTCTTCCTATGGGCGTCCCAGCTACCTTTCAATTTTGCCTTCTGTGTGAATGAGTGAGTGAGTTGGTTGCTAGGCAGTGAGGCTGGTCACTTTGATTTGATGTTTTTTTTCTTGTGACATTTTTTGAGTAAGCCATCTTTGACCTGGTGGTTGACTTATAAGCAGTTACCATTTTTAGTACCAGCTGATTTTATTCATGGAGTTCATAGTCCTATTGGCACCTAAGAGAAGTAGTTCAAGGTTACTGTGTGATACCTCTGACTACTTCAGACATTGGGGAGATTGTGACTGGT
This sequence comes from Homo sapiens, assembly GCF_000001405.40. NCBI lineage: Eukaryota > Metazoa > Chordata > Mammalia > Primates > Hominidae > Homo > Homo sapiens. The sequence goes on from NC_000002.12 coordinate 86,741,798, forward strand.
TGGGGCATTTCTCTTCACACATCGTAAATGTCTGGGAGGGTAGGAAGAACTTTCGAGGAGTGCCCTTTGTAGCAAAGGCATCTTCTAAACAGTCTTATGAGTTAACTTAGTCTGTACTCACAAGAGTGATAGTTGTAACAGAGGTAATAGAAGCTCATTGAATCTGGAGAGTGGTTCGTGTAACTCATGGGTAGACCCAACTGTTAGAAATTATCCTGTGAAAAGGCTAGGCTTGACGCTGCTTGAGTCAGAACTATATGCTTATAAGGCAATACTGTTCACTGGTAGGTGTGGTATGACAAGACTGTGAGTGGCATGGGCTCAGAGGACTTGTTTTGGTAGTTGTGGCTTACAGAAGTGTTAGTGGCCTTTCAGAAAGTTCTCACTACTCCCATAGTGGTGTGAGGGGTTTGACTTGGCCAGAGAGTCGGAGGGTGGTTTTGGCAGCAGCAGGGTTCCAGCCACGTTGTTATGTCAGTGATGGCAGTCACCAGCAAAGTCTGGGAAGGCAGACTCTGGGGAGATTGTGACTGGGGAGATTGTGGGGAGATTGAGACTTTGGGGAGATTGTGAAATGGCTTTGAGGTTGTGAAGCCTGTTTGGTAACTCCAAGAGAGTGAACACAGTTTTAGAAGTGGGTTTGGCATCAACCCTCTCTGGTACTATGATATTTGAAGTCTTCAGTTGGTTCCTGGAGTGGTTGTTGGTGTGTATGAGCTTAAGAACTGTGGGAGTGGTGGTGGGACACTTTATTTTCTTCCAGCAGCTGTATCCTTCTAGAATGTGATGGGGCACTTTAGAGATGGTCTTCATTTGTGGGTGAAGAACCCTCAGTTCCTCTAGAGGTACAGTAACTACTGGTGGTGTCTAAGAAGATTCACATTTTGATGTTGACAGTGACCAAGGCATCCTGGTGATTCTAAATGGCTCAAAGTTCAGAGAGAACCCCAGGAAGTTCTTGGGGACATCTGCTTGACCACCAGGCTGCCTGCAGTTATAACAGAAGGTCAGCATTTGGACAGTAGAACCAAAGGTGGTATGACAGTGAGAAGAGCTAAAGCTTCCAAGGCAGCCAATCAGAGATTCTTGGAATAAGGGGGGATGGGCTCAGCAACTATAATTCTAGTGTGTGGGCTACTGACCAGGATCTGGAGCAGTTGGGCAAATAATTCACCAATTATGCTTTCTGCAGCTGGTAGGCTGACCATATATGCCATGTATGTCCCTGTTTCCTAGTTTATGTTTTTTGTCCTGTCATGATGATCAGAATCTTCTTCTGCTCTTGTCCTGCTTGCTCCTGGTGCCTGGCTGAGCATCTCTTACTCCAGACCTAGCAGGTCTTTATAGATATTCATAAGGGTTGTCAGATATTTTGACTAATCTTTAAGGCAAAACATTATCTGGATGTACTTGGTGCCAAACATGGAAGTATCTTTTTGGAAGTGGATATCAAGGGAACACATTTATAATGAATAATCTACATTCTGGCTTATTTGGGCAGGGGGATGTGTTCATGGTAAAGATTCCTAATCACATATTTTAATTTACTCATTGCTCTTTTGAGGACTTTTTTTTTTTTTATGCCCTTGGAAGTTATAAGGACTTTTTCAAGTAATTCTTATACAGTTTCTTTCAAAAAAATTGGGGTGTTTTTGGTTTTTGTTTTTGTTTCTGTTTTTGTTTTGAGAAGGACTCTCACTCTTTTTGCCCAAGCTGGAGTGCAGTGGCACCATCTCAGCTCACTGCAAACTCTGCCTCCCAGGTTCAAGCGATTCTCCTGCCTCAGCCTCCTGAGTAGTGCCCAGCCCAAAAAATTGTTTCATGTTCCTGTGAAAGTAGTTTTGGTTCTAGGTGACCTGGATTCTGGATTCTTCTCATTCGTCATATGAAACTATATTATTTAGTCGGCTGGGCGTGGTGGCTCACACTTGTAATCCCAGCACTTTGGGAGGCCGAGGCAGGCGGATCACCTGAGGTGAGGAGTTCGAGACTAGCTTGGCCAATATGGCAAACTCCCATCTCTACTAAAAATACAAAAAAAAATTAGGCACATTCCTCTAATCCCAGTTACTTGGGAGGCTGAGGGAGGAGAATCGCTTGAACCTGGGAGGCGGAGGTTGCAGTGAGTCGAGATTGCACCACTGCACTCCAGTCTGGGCAACAGAGCGAGACTCCATCTCAAAAAAAAAAAAAAAATACATACATACATACTATATTATTTAGCTGACACTGAATAGTGTTTGTGGTACTGTAGTCTGCCACCACAGAGGAAAGCCTGGATCTTTTAGCTCAGTTCCCTAGTATCTTTCAGTACACACTCTCCCCGTATTTTTGGCATCTACTTGGCCTCAGCTGAAGAGGAAGCTGTTTCCCCAATAGAAGTACCTAGACGTTGTGAATGGGCTTCTCACATACATCAGGAATTCCGTGTAGGCTGTTTCACATAAGACTGCATTGACTTGTTAAGTCCTCCAGGAGCTCTTTTAATTTGAACCTGGTAGTTGTGTAAGCTCTGGGCAGCCTGTTGTAAAGGCTGGGTGGACCTGATTGGTGGTGACCAAACAGGATAAAGCTGAATCCAGTGTGGCATAAGGCTTTTAAGAACCATGCCAAACAGACCTGAGTAATAAACTGGAATGTCCATCAGCCTGTGAGTACCACTTTATGGACACATGCTCCCACCCTTACAGGATGAGGACAAAGAAGCCAGTGGCTCCTGTATGAGCAGGCTGGTTTTGAGTGAGAAACATTAGTAAATTTTAGTCATGCTCAGTGGTATTTTTCCTTTTATATTTTAATACTTATGTTTTAAAGTTCCCTACCTATCATGTCTCTGAAAATATAAGCAGAATAGAAGTTTCTGGTGGTGGTAGCCAAGATATTGTTTGGCTTTTAATTATTATGAACAGAGTCTCGCTCTGTTGCCTAGGCTGGAGTGCAGTGACACCATCACAGCTCACTACAGCCTTGACCTCCCTGGGCTCGAGTGGTCCTCCCACCTCAGCATCCAAGTCCCAGACAAGTAGCTGGGCCTACATGCGCTTGCTACCATGCCCAGTTAATTTTTTTCATTTTTGCGTAGAGATGTGGTCTTGCAGTGTTGCCCAGGATAGTCTTGAACTCCTGGCCTCCCATTGTTGGGATTATTGGTGTGAGCCACTGTGCCTGGCCCATTATTTATTTAAAATAAATAATATTTGTTCTGTGACAATTTTTTTTTTTTTAGTAAAAATAATGTATTTGGGCTGTTCTTGATTTCCTCTCCCATTTTTAGATAATCTAGAATTCAGTCCAGTTTAGGGTATTTTATTCAGTATTTTATTTAGTCAATTGACTTTTAAAGTTTACTTCCTAAGAAAAGTCAATAAAAATGATTATTGCTTTAGACTTCTAGGTATGTGTGCATATGTGTTAAATAGTACTAAAGATTTTAATATCTCAAATCTGATGTGGTATAATTAAAAGCTGACCACATACTACATGTCCTTTATAAGATTGCTGTTTTGTATATGTAAAATAACTGGAAAAATTCTGAGGCTACATGAAAGAAGTTTGCATGGAATAGACACTGCTTATTATAAAGTAAAGGTAGTTGCTATCTTAAATTTGACTTGGAAGAGTGGGTAAGATTTAGAGCAGCAGAACAGTGAGATGAGATTTTTCCTTGAGGCTCGGAAAGGGCAAAACAGCAACTGAGAATATGCCTGACTCATGTTTAAGATGCTTCAAGATTGACTTGATTAGAGTGACTGCTCCTGTTGGGAATAGGGAAAGGTAAATGATGGAAGGCCTGAGAGGTGTGGATTTGATCAGATGATGAAAGCAGTTGAGGATTTACTTGACCTCATTAAGTAGGATGAAAACAGACTAAATAGTAGTCATAGGTAGGAGGATAATAGCTATCACATATTGAGTGTTGACCATGTTCCAGATAGTGAGCTAAGTGCTTTACATACATTTATATCTATCCCATGATGCAGGGACATTATTCCCATTTTATATATGAGGAAACTGAGACTCAATACCCAGGTATATAATTTGGAAGTAGTGGATCAAGGTTTGGAAAAAGTTTTTACTCAAGAATCTGTTCTTAAACACTGTGCTGTACTAGGAAATCACTGAGGCCATTGCAGAGCTGGTAATGTTGAAGGGGAACAATAATAGTTAAAAAAAATTTTAAACCTCATTATCTAAACAGATCTTTTGCCACTGGGTGGAGTATCTACATTGGTGAGGCAAAATGCTGACTGTATTAAGGAGTGAATGGAGTAATGGTATAAAAAAATGACATATAGAATATTTTAAGATAGTTCTGGGTGAGCAGTCCAGAACTGCCTTTTATGTTGGTATGTGATAAACAAGGTCTGTGTGTTGGGTAGAGAGGGACAAAAGGACTTAATATCCATTAAACTGTGCTAGCTAATCCAGTCTGCAATTGCATTTAAGTGCTTTTAAATTAATGAATATTAATATCTCTGCATGCTTTCGTGTATTTGTTTTTGTTTATATTTTCTAATAAGGATTCTTTTAAATACAGAAGCAGAAGGTTTGGTGGCAACCTGGCCCTCAGATTCAGCTTTGGTTAGGTTTGGCCTGGCTCTCAGATTCAGCTACTGTGTATTAAAGGTTTACTGATGGATGGATACTCATAGAGGTTTTCATGTACATTATTTACCTTTATCTTCACCAAAGACTTGTAAGGTCGAGATTATTGTCTCTAGATACAGATGTGAAAACTTAGATTTGTAAGTAACCTGCCTGAAGTCACAGAGTTGGGATTAAAACCCAGATTTTAAGACTTGGAGGAACCTTTCTCAACTGGAGTTCCTTGAGAGAATTCATCTCTAGTGCCCTGAGGGCACCCACTCTACATATGAATTTCTCTCCTTTCCATAGAATGGTAAGAGATACATATCATCCTTGGAAGAATTAATAAAATAGCCACAGAAAGGCAGATAACTAATAGTGGAGGGATAGGGATGCAAATGTGACAGAAAGGCCTGGCAGAGTGGTTTGGCACGTTACTCCCTCATTTTTTAAATAAAGCAATAACATAACAGTGTGAATCTACCTTTCTCTTAATGTTGATAACCAAAGAAGAGGTATAAATACCGTAAGGAGAATATGGAATGTCTACATCAAAAAATGCATCTACAAAATGCTGATTATGACACACTACCAAGTTTATTTTCCAGCCCTTGGTTTGTAAAGCACTGCTATCTGGTATATGCCTAAATATGGATTATTTCATCATAGGACAGGTGCCTCATTATCAGCTTTACTAGGTATTGTAAAATTTTCCCCTGAAGGGTTTATACCAATTTACAGCCCTACCAAACACCTATAACACTTCCTGCTTCCTCATTTCTCACCTATACCTGGTATTATCAGACTTCAAATGTTTAAAGATTAATCAGATGGGTGTGAAGTAGTATCTAGTTGTACTAATTTTGCCTTTCTTTGACCATCTTGAAGGTGGGGCATCTTCTCATGTTTAACATTAGGAATTTCCCATTTGTGCATTTCATGTTCTGTCCATTTTTTCTGTTAAGTTATCTTTCTTATTGAGAGGTGTGTGTTTGTTTCAAACTCTTCTGAATACTAATCTTGTGTGGTTTGTATGCGAAGTAGCTATCGTCTGTTAGTCTGAGGAGAACCAGAATCCAGGTCTTCTTACTCTGTTAAGTATCCTTTGCTGTCTGCCTCTCACTGCTAAACCAGATTAACTGGATGCTTAAAAGGGAAATTAATTCCTGGTAGGTGCAACAATAGCACATTTTGTTGGTTCATACACTAATTTTTCTTCAAAGTAGATGGAGAAGTTTCAAAATACATGTTAATACTATTAGGGAATTGGTACTTAGGAATTAAATACTGAGTTTTATATATATTGTGACCACTGTCTGCTCAGTCATTATAATTTTATAAAATATATTTGAGAAACGGATGGGTTTTTGACGGTAAACAGTGAAAGCCATTTCCGACTGATTTGTGTATTCATGATACGGCATGATACGGCCTGTTTAGATCGCACACTTTCATAATGATGTTGTATCAAAGTTATTTACTCCTCTTCTGCCTCAGCTTCTAGATTTAGTATGTCCTGGATTTCTCCTTCCAAGTCAGAACATCCTCTCCGGATGGACACACCCTTGGATGTGTGCTTTTTTGCTTTTGGTTCTTGTTTGGATCCTTTCTTCCCAATTAAGAACAGGATGCCAAAGCTTTTCTTTGCTTAAAAAATATGAAAAGAAAAAGTATAGTAAGACAGAAGATGTTAATTATAGATGGTATTTCTCTTCATTAGCCACCTCTTGGCTGGTTTGCAGTGCTGTGGATTTTCTGGACAGCCATGCAAATGAGCTTGGTTACCTAGCAACAGAAGCTGGAACTAATGCTAGCTCTGATGCAACAGTGAGTAAGAACCTGCAGTTATAACAAAAGGAGTTTGACAGTGTATTGCATTTCCTCAACCTCTATATATTTTATAATCTTAGCTTTAATTTTTAATGCATGTGACCAGAAAATAAGCTATGGAAGTTTACTTATCTACCTCAGTAGTTTATACTGGAAAATCAGAATGGTAGAAGGGAGCTCAGAAGTGTCCAGAAAACAATCGAATGCATTGCTTATTCATGCTTCTTTTCCAAGAGCAGCAAATAAGTTACGAGCTTGAATGTAGTTAGATTTTGAGTGTAAGGGTGTTTGACTTTTCTTACCTATGTAGTAGTGACCATAGTAAGCCTTAAGAAAATAGAGATACACATAGGGCATTGTTGTAAAACTTTGTAGCAAACCCAAAGAAAATTGTTTAAATATTAGACTCTTTTTGTAATTTTCTAGTTGATGAATATTTACTTTTAATATGTATATTAAGGAAAGAATTGAAGGGATTATTTTGTTTGATCTGAGCAAGTACTGTCAGATGGTAGCTTATTAAAATTCTGACCTAATATATATATTACCGGATAAAATTGTTTCAACATGATCTGTGCTTTGAGCTGACCAGCGTGTCTTCCAGCGTTGTTTTATTTTTCCCTAAGGAATAGGTACTAATAAATTTGTTGTTTGGGGAAAAATCATTAAATGAATAAGTAGAAACCTGAAGGTTGTATTTGGATTTAATGCAGTTGATAAGTTAGTGAGAGAACTTTCTTAATTCATCTCTCTATTCTTTCCTTATACTGTGCATTTAGACATTTAGAGAGTTATGGGCAGGTTCCTGAGTTTGTAATAAACTCATCTTCAGATCTTTAGAAACCCATTCCTTTATGCATTTGAATGGCCCTTTGGGAAGTGGAATTTGGGAGAGAACAGCGTTGATCAGCCTCTGAGCTCTACTCCAGAAGAGACAGAAAGCAGTACCATCTCCGGTGTTGTAGTTGTCATAGACAGCATAAAGATAAAATAATTTACTTAAAAATACTGATGAACTGTTATAAAATTAGCTCTCAACAGGCAGAATCTGATAAATAGAAATTAAACATAATCTTATACAAGCAGTTGTGGTTCTTCAGTGCTAGTTAACAGTTTTTTCATTATATGCATGGATGCTCTTGCTTTAGCATCTAGGTACTTTGTATTATTTCTTTTTCTTTCTTTTTTTTTTTGAGATGGAGTCTTGCTCTGTCTCTCAGGCTGGAGTGCAATGGCGTGATCTCGGCTCACTGCAACCTCTGCCTCCCTGGGTTCAAGCGATTCTCCTTCCTCAGCCTCCCAAGTAGATGGGATCACAGGCACCCACCACCACGCCCAGCTAATTTTGTATTTTTAGTAGAGACGAGGTTTCACCATGTTGGCCAGGTTGGTCTTGAACTCCTGACTTCAGGTGATCCTCCCACCTCGGCCTCCCAAAGTGCTGGGATTACAGGAGTGAGCCATCATGCCCACCCCGTTATTTCTATTCTTTAGGTTAAATACTTGGCTAAGAAAAATGTCTGTGAAAAGGAAATGAATAAAAATTAAGACTGACAATATTCTTGGTTTTTTGTGTTTGTTTTGTCTTGAGTGATTCCAAACCTTAATGTATGTATTCAGTTTTAGGCTACTGTTTTCACATCTAGAGATAGGGTAGATAGCTGTTTATAGGGAGAAAAATGTGCTTAATTTTGGAGAAAAGCACTCCTGCATTGTGATTGTAAATAGTGGGTTGTTTGCAGTTGCTGTTGCTGGTTACTTACTACCTGTTCTTGTACATCATGTAAAATAATCCCATATTGGTTGGACTGTATATTTAAGCAGTGGTTGACTAGGATTGCAATTTTAGTTAAATCTAAATGGCCTTGTCTAGTTAAGTTTATATATTTTTAAAAAGAAATGCAAAACATTTATTAGGGAGCAATGCCTATGAAAGATAAAGGGTGCTGAAGTGGAATTAGGCTGGGAAAGCTTTCACACTGTGATGTACGTTTGCTCTTCTTTCACTCTTGATGTTTCATGTTCCTTCTGGTGTCATTTTCTTCTGTCTGAAGACTTTAGCAATACTTTTAGAGCAAGTCTGATGGCAGTAAATTCAGTTTCCCTCCGTCTGAGAATGTCTTTATTTCATCTTCATTCCTGAAGGATATTTTCACTGGATATAGAATTCTAGGATGACAGTTATTTTCTTTCAGTACTTGACAAATGTCATGCCACTTCTTTCTGGCCTCCATAGTTTCTGTTGAGAAATCTGTAGTCATTTGAATCATGGTTCCCCTGTAAGTAACATGTCACTTTTCTCTGGCTGCCTGCAAGATTTTTTGCTTTATCTTTAGTTTTAACAGTTTGAATGTGAGATGTTTGGGTCAGATTTCTTTGAATTTGTCCATGTTGGAGTTCACTGACCTTCTAGAATCTGAGATTTATGTCTTTTGCTAAACTTGGGAAATACTCTTCAACTATTTTTTTCTGTACCATACTGTTTCTCTTCTCCTAGTATTCCGATGACACACACGTTAGAGCTTTTGTAATTTTCCCACAGGTCCCTGAGGCTCTGTTTTTTTTTTTTTTTTAAACTGGTGTTCAGATTGGATGAATTCTATTGATTTTCACTGACTTTTTGCACTGCCACTTTGCTTCTGCTGTTGAAAAATTCATCCAATGAATTTTTTATTTTGGTTACTCTATCAGCTTTTTCCTTGCTAAGTCTCTCCCTTTGTTTCAAGATTGTTTGTATTTTTATAATAACTGCCCTAAAGTTTTGGATGGTTCCAGCATCTCTGTCATGTTGGCATTGGTGTCTGTTGATCATCTTTTTCCATGTGAGTTGAGATTTTCTTGGTTCTTTGTATGCCAAGTAATTTTGCAGTATCTTGAACATTTTGAATATGTATTATAGTACTCTGGGTCTTGTTTAAGTTCTGTGGAGAGTGTTGGTATTTTTGTTTTAGCAGGCAATCAACCTTGTTGGATTCAGGCCACAAGTTCTAACCAGTCTTTTCTGGGTTGTAGTTTCAGTGTTAGTTTTGTTTCTAAAGCCATTACAGTTATTTAGATTTGTCCTGTGTGTGTAACACCTGGTAGCCAATATGGGACCTAGGAATTAGGTCTATTCCCTAGTTCAGTTTTCAAAATCTGTAGTATGCTGTTTAGAGTCAGGACCATGCATGTATAGCTCAAAGGCAAACCCAGAGGTGTAGATAAACCACTCTCTTAACTAGTTGGCCATGCCCCCACAACCACTTTCAGCCTCAATACTGCAGTTGTTGGGATGTGCCATGGATTATTATGTTGATAGGCATATGTGTTTTCTCCTTTTTTCCCCTCCCATTATAGACAGTGCTGCAGTGGGCATGCTTTTACAGGTCATCATTGCATTCCTCTAAAAATATTGCTGCATATAATGCCTAGAAATCAGTTCATTCGCTTGATTTTATTTTATTCATGGACACCATTATTAAATCTACTTTAAAAAAACATTATCTAAAAATATACCTATTTACTCTTCTAGCATGACAAGTTTTAGAAAGGAGCAGTGGAAAAATTCCTTCCTTTGGGACGCTATAAATTGCAGTTGGGTTCTTATTGGGGTATCTCAGACTGAAACAAAGACCATTTTTTTCCTGTTAAGTGGGGTGAAAATAATCTATTTATGATTCCCTTTCTCTTTCTTTTCCCCAGAATTTTGATTCTGACATTAGCAGTGTGGGAATAGATGGCTGCTGGCAGGCAGACAGCCAAAGGCTTCTCAATGAGGTGATGGTGGAGCACTTCTTTCGACAAGGAATGCTGGATGTGGCTGAGGAGCTCTGTCAGGTAACAGTGTGCCAACTGGGAGGATATGAAAAAGAAACAAGGGAACTCCTTGGAGTTTATAGTATTTGCAGGGTGGGGTTTTGAGTCTTCCTCTAGCTATAGATAGATTTTTAATATTTAAATTATCAGAGATGACCTCATTTTACTAGGAGTATTTTGGGGAATTTTTTAAGTGGCAAAAATTATAGTTCTAGAACTTGTTATCCAGATCATTTTTTTCTTGTTCCTGTCCCAGAAGGTTAGTCCCAGTTCATGAATCAAAGGGCGCAAAAGCGATATTCTTTCTTCATGTCCATTTTTGATATAGAAGGTTAGTATAGCAGACAAGAGGAAAGGGACAAAAACATTGATGTTTGTTCTTCTGTTCTAGCCCAGCTTAAACGATTTTATCAAATGAATTTCCAGCTAAAATTTTTTACTTCGCATTAGCAGCATTTGTCTTTTATTTCTATCACACATGAGTTAGAACTCTACAACAGTTTACCAATACCATGTAGTCATAATAGTAGTAGCTGCCATATATTGAGTGCTTACCTTAAGCCAAGCCCTGCCTTTATTCCTTGCTGCAATCCCATGAAGTAAAAATTATTGTTTCCATTCTACAGATGAAAAATCTAAGGTCTGGAGAAGTAAGTTGCCCGAGGCCTTAACAGGTTCTTTGTGAAAGAACTGGGATTCAGTCCCTGATTCATATGTCTTCACACTCCGTTCTAAGCCACCATGTGCTGTTGCATTTTTGTTTGGAAACATGAAGGACCGAAAGAATTAGTTTAAAATCAGTCTGTAAACCAAACCTCTAATCTAAGCCTTTTCTATTTTAAACAATTCAGATAAATGATAACTCGGTTTTTCTCTGTACCTTACAGGGATTTTGTGTATGTGTCCATGTAATTTCCTGCAGTAAACTGTCATTGAGGATTGTTTGCTTTTAAGTAACAAAAGACCCACAATTACAGTGGCTTAAGCAAAAGTGAAATTTTTTTCTTGCACAGAAATCGGTAGTAAGACGTCCACAGCATGTTTGGTAGCTCTGCATTGTGAAACTCTTAGGGACTTAGCACCTTGTACCTCTGTTATTCCCAGGGTGTCTCCTGTCTTCAGAGTCCAGGATAGCAGCCAAAGCTCCAGCCATACCTTTGTATCCCAGAAAGGGGCAGAGTGCATATTTATGTTTCATTGGTCAGAACTTAACGTCTTACAAAGCCATACCCAGCTTTATTCCATTTGCTTATGTACCCTGCTGAAATTTGGGGATTCTACTATGGAAAAGAGGGGAAGAATGTACTAGGGGGCAGTCATCAGTCTCTACTATAGGGAATTATCTTTAATGGCTTGCCCCATATTTTACAATCTAGAATATACTTTTACCACTAGCTCCTTACCCTGATTACTGCTAACAAAAGTTCTTTCTTTCTTTCTTTTTCCAGGAATCTGGTCTTTCTGTAGACCCAAGTCAGAAGGAACCATTTGTGGAGTTAAATAGAATATTAGAGGCATTAAAGGTCAGAGTTCTGAGACCTGCTCTGGAGTGAGTATTGAGTTTGCTTTCTTTTGAGTACTTTGAGAACTCTCTGTAAGAAAACTCAATCAGAAAACACATTAGAGATTTTTAGATATATTTATCTTACCTGTGGTAGACTTCAGAGAAATCAAAGGAGAATTATTTTATTTATTTTGGCTAAGTGAAATATGGGGGGTGTGCAATATGAGAAAATGGTTGGAGCTTATTTCACTTATCAGTTGGTCTGAATTCCCATGAGAGAAAAGGGTTTTCTGTTTCCAGGCTACACCACCACTTTGTGTGGGCTGACATTACAACAAGCACTATTGTTCAGCCAGTGCAAGTTTGATATTTAAGCTTCCTTCATGTGCTGGGTTTTGCTGGGTTTTATGCTAGCATTCTAAGAAATTATTGGTTATTGGAACTAGGTGGTGTGGATGAAGAGAACAAATATTTTTATAAAGCTACTCTATTCTTAATTACTGTGGATTTTGGTAATTGACCATGAACCTCTCATTGATAAGAATTGTCTGAAATTACTCTGTAAGCTATAATAAATATTATTCTAGAGCAGGGTCAGCAAGCTTTTCCATAAAGGACCAAGTAGGAAATATTTTAGGCTTTTCATTTCACATAAGGTCTCTGTCGCATATTCTTCATTTTATTTTACAACCCTTTAAAAATTTAAAAACCCATTCTTGGCCATCTGCTATACAAAACAGGCAGCAAGCTGTATGTGGCCTGTGCCATAGTTTGCTGGCCCCAGTCCTAAAATTTTTTACTGTGAGGATTACCAGGTTATTTGTAATAAATAGCTCATAAAATAAAGGGAAGAAACTGGATTATAGAAGCAGTGATTTGTTGTGAGCTTATAGCTTTGGAATCCTGGTATTTTAAAACCAGAAAAATTAACCATCAGTGTTACAGGGTTAGCTGGGAAGTTGACTTTTATAAAATGTACACTTTTTCCCTTAAAATTTAGTTCCACTAACCCATTTAATTCTTCATAGCTTAGTTTTTTCTTTCTAATCATTTCTCAGTTCTTTCTCCTTTTTGAGACAGGGTCTCACTGTCACCCAGGCTAGAGTGCAGTGGCATAATCATGGCTCACTCCAGCCCCAACCCCCCAACCTCCCGCCTTAGCCTCCTGAGTAGTTGGGACTACAGGACTGTGCCGTTATGCCCAGCTAATTAAAAAAAATTTTTTTTTGTAGAGACAGGATCTCACTATGTTACCCAGGCTGGTTTCGAACTCCTGAGCTCAAGTGATTCTCCCACCTCGGCTTCCCAAAGTGCTGGAATTACAGACTTGAGCCTCTGTACTTGGCCATTTCTCAGTTCTGAGAAAATTTTGTGTAGTTCTAAAACCAGCCCAGATGACTAGACAGAAATTCCTGTATAAATTTATATAAAATTCTTGTATAAATTATAATAGATCTCACTTAAGAACTGTATCTCTGTGTAAGATGCATATTACCTTTGTAGAATTTGTTTAAGCAAATTTCAGATTGTGACACATCTGGGAGATAAATTCAACCAAATACCTCTAACACCTCTTAAACAAAATATGGCAACAACTACTTTTTTTTTTTTTTTTCCCAAAGAGACAGAGTCTTGCTCTGTGGCCCAGGCTAGAGTGCAGTGGGATGATCATAGCTCACTGCACACTCTCAAACTCCTGGGCTTAAGTAATCCTCCTGCCCCGGCCTCCTGAGTAGCTAAGACTACAGGTGCACACCACCACACCTGGCTAATTTTTAAATATTTTATAGAGACAGGATTTCTCTATGTCGCTCAGGCTGGTCTCAAACTTCTGGCCTCAAGTGATCCTCCTGGAGCGTCAGCTGCCCGAAGTACTGGGATTATAGGCATGGGCCAATGTGCCCGAGAAAGCCTACATACATATATGAACATGTAATGGGTTTCCCAGTTGTTTTATAGTGATTAGCAAATAATATTTGGGTTGTTATTCAAGGTAATATTCACTTATCTATGCGTTTCTTAGGTTTTTTCATTAAACTTTGTTCATATGTGCTAGTCATGTACGTACTATGACTATATCTGTAGTCACTGGCACATAGTATTTGCTACCTTAGCCTTCAGAGTACTCCAGACTTTTCTCCTAAGAGCCTTTTAAACTTTGTGCGTATATAAGATATGTTTCTTATTGATAAGCATGTTATGTATATTGATTATTTCTGTAAATTTTGTCTATTATTTGTTGCCTTAAAACAATTCCTCTCAGGCAGAGAGAGGACTTGTTCCATAAGTAAAAATTTTCTCATTTCATGTTTCTGGGAGTAGTGTTTAATATCAGCATGAGGGAATGTAGTGGTAATCATAGTTAACTCTGCTTGAGTGGTTATTGTATGCCTAGCATCGTTCTAAGCATTTTACGTGTCTTAACCTATTCAACCCTCATATTAACCTATGAGGTAAGTCATCTTACAGAGAAGCAATTAGGGCCTAGAAGATCCTCTGTGAAAAAAAGTCAAAAGATTATATGAGAAATGCTTTACATAATAGTCCCCCAGTATTCTCATTTGAGGTTCATTTTAACTTATTAAGTGTATCATCAAGCCAGGTGCAGTGGCTCACACCTGTAAGCCCAGCACTTTGGGAAGCTGAGGTGGGCAGATCGCTTGAGCCCAGGAGTTCGAGACCAGCCTGGGCAACATAGCAAAACCCTATCTCTACAAAAAAATAGAAAAATTAGCTGGGTATGGTGGTGTACGCCTGTAGTCTGAACTACTCAGGAGGCTGAAATGGGAGGATCACTTGAGCCCAGGAGGCGGAGTCTGCAGTGAACCAAGACCACACCACCACTCCAGAGCCGAATCCTGTCTCAAAAAATAAGAAAATAAATAGAAGTAAAAACGTACCATCAGTAATCCTACAGTAAAGAAACTCATTTAACTTGGTATAACCCAGTGTTTTCTCTGTGTATTTGACCAATCTTGTTTTCCCTCCAGATAACACATTTAAAACCCATAAAATTGGAGTTATACAAAACATAAGATTTAATAGAAATCGTCATTACAACAATTCAGATTTTTCCAATTCTTGCCTATTGTGGGTGCAGAGCAGATACTGACTAAGCATCTTTCATGAGCTAGGTACAGAAAATTCCCTTTACTCAACTTACAGCAAAAGTTGAATGATATGGGACTCCAATTTGGGGAATTCTAGTTAAGGTACAAGGCGGGAGATATCTGCCAGTTATGCAGCATCCCATTTGTTCCTGCTGGGAAGGATATCATGGAGCTCACAAGGGAAAAGAGGAAGGAGAGGATGCAGCAATTCCTCCAGACTGCCTATGCGGTGAGAAGGCAGAGGCCAGCCAAAAATTTGAGGTGGCTAGGCCGGGCACGGTGGCTCATGCCTGTAATCCCAGCACTTTGGGAGGCCAAGGCGGGCGAATCATCTGAGGTCAGGAGTTCAAGACGAGCCTGACCAACGTGGAGAAACCCCATCTCTATTAAAAATACAAAATTAGCCAGGTATGGTGGCGCATGCCTGTAATCCCAGCTACTCAGGAAGGCTGAGGCAGGAGAATCGCTTGAACCCGGGAGGCGGAGGTTGCGGTGAGCCAAGATCGCGCCACTGCACTCCAGCCTGGGCAACAAGAGTGAAACTCAGTCTCAAAAAAAAAAAAAAAAAAAAAAAAAAAAAAAAAGTGGAGGTGGCTAAAGGCCATTGAGGGCCTAGGGGAATGGTGATATTGTGGAGAGAAGTGGCAGAACAACACCTGATTACATAGATCTAATCAGGACCTTGCCTGCTCCTGTGTTCCGTGCCCTTGTACCTCTGAGTTTGTACAGATTTTCCCCCTCATCCAGATTTCTTTTATGCTCACCCAGATTGTTTTATTTGCTTTTTGAATTTCTCTTGGCGCCTAGAGTAGTGCTTACCTCATAGTAGGCCCTCAATGAATAACAGTAATCTGCAGGAGAATTTAGAGCAAACTTGTCATCCTCTTCCATGGTGGCAGATAGAAAGCCAAAAATAGTGTTAACGAGAGAATAGTAACTTAATACAACGAGGTGGGGGAAATATTAGAAAAAATAGGAACTGTCCTTGTAGCTATGCCATTATTAACATACATATTGAAAGAAAGCACTATCTTTAGGGGAAGCTACTTGGTTGCCTTCCTAAACGTGTCTCAAAGAGTAATACTACCTTGCTGGATTTGCCACAGTCTAGTATCTGACTTTCAGCTTTGCAGACTTGGAAACTTGTTTTTGGTGTCCTTATTTTGTTTTGTTTTCACTAAGAACAGGCCTTTAAAAACGATAAAAACCTGAATTGCTAAGCTGCGTACATAGTTTGGATTATTAGGGGCTGTGAAACAAGCTTGTGGTAGGCAGGTCCATGTGGAAGGCACATGAGCTTGCAAAGCCTGGAGTTGGAACAAGAGGAGATTGTTCTAGAAAATGTTCAAAGTTCTCAGGCTAAAATGTCCTGATGCCATTATGTCCACCATGGAGGTTGTGTTGCAGAGCCGTTGGGCAGTTCAGACTTCATTCACTGACTCCTTTTCTCAAAATTGTCCTTGGCTTGCCTTGGTCGAGTTTTGAGTCAGCATTAAGTATCCCAATAGGTAATAAATAAGAGTACAAAATCAAAAGGCACAACAAGATAAAAATACAGTGAAAAGTAAATCTCCCCACCTTTGCCTTCTAATCACAGTTACTCTCCAAACAGGCAGCCACCATTAACTGTATTATGTATACGTACATTTTTATGCACAAGTGGTTGCATACTATACACAGTGTTCTGCTTTTTACTTGAAAAATTTTGAAGTATTTGCCTATATCAGAGCATATAGAACTATTTTTTTTTTTTGGTGGCTGCTTAGTGTTCTCTTTTAGGGATTATACCTTAATTTTATTTAGCCAGTTCCTATGGATGGACGTTTGTAGTTTCCGATATTTTGCTTTATAAGTGATGCAGCATTGAATATCCGTTGCACATTATTTTGAGCATGCCTGCTAGATATGTTGTCCAATATGGTGACCACTCCTATGTGTAGCTCTTACTAATCTCTGCATTACTGAGAACCTCATGTAAAAGGGTGTGTGTGTGTGTCTTAAATAGAGTCAGATATGCAATACCATAGTTTGTGTGGTTTCTTAAATAGCATGTGAAAAGGACAGAGACTCACACCAACTCTGAGATGAGTTTAATGGTAGTAGTTCCAGCAGTGGACTCAGCCCATAGCTGAAAAATTACCATTTGAAAATATCTAAGAAATGAAACACTGAGTGTTCTTTTCAGTCTCTAAAGCAAAGTTACAGAGTTCCTCACTTTTTTGACTGAACTTTTTGTCAGGTTTGCCATTCTCTGAATTTTTTTAAGCATTTGATTCATGTTACTAAGGACATTTCACCAGGTCCACACCTGTGGAGTAAAAATCAATGTCATTCATTCCCCTGAACTTCAGCTTTTACCCCCAAGAGTATAGCCTTAAAGGAAATTAGAAAAAGAGGTTTTTGTAAGCCTTTAAATGCTGTGAAAGGTTACAGTGGAATGTGCTGTGGGATTGGCAAGAGGCTTTTTTTCCCTAGTATTACTAGAAATAGACACCCACCCAGGCTGGCAAAATTGTAAGATTAGAGAGATAAGCCCACTAATGCTGTCTGTTAGGTTCCTGAGGGAGAACCGCTAACTATGAAGGTGAAATCTTGTATTTATTTTTGGAATGATGTAGAAATTCTAAATATGGAGGTAACTGTGTGCCAAGTCTTTTCACAGGCCTGACAATTAAGATAATTAATGCTAATGTTTCTGCTGGGTAATTGTATAGATGTGGATTGCTTCTAACTTAGTCTTCTCATAAGTAATATTGTTTTGGGGTTTGTTGGTGGAAAGGCCCCAAAAGGCTCTTCATCAGAAGAATGTAGTGGCAGAGATCAGTGTAACACTGTTGATCTTACTGTCATTTTTGGGGTTCAGTGTTTCTCTAAATGGAGTAATTCCAAAGGTGACAGTGTTCTCGTGGTCCACGCTGGAAATTTGGGATCAGAATTTTTTTAAAAAAATTATAGAGTTAATAATTTCACTGCATTTTTAGTTTGCTTGCCCCCCCGCCCCCCACCATCTCTACTAAAAATACAAAATTTGCCAGGCGCGGTGGTGAGCACCTGTAACCCCAGCTACTCGGGAGGCTGAGGCACAAGAATCACTTGAACCCGGGAGGCAGAGGTTGCAGTGAGCCGAGATCACGCCACTGTACTCCAGCCTGGGCAACAGAATGAGACTCTGTCTCAAAAACAAAAACGTGGGGAGGAAGGAAGGGGGAGGGGCAGGGGCAGGAATCATTTTAGTGAGAAATAGAAAACGAATTTCGTTTTCTTTGTAATTCTTTAAGATTTATGAGAATGGGCCACAGACACCCTGACTTGCTCAGGTTCTCAAACTTTATGTCTTTCCTCATTATATCAGTCTGGAACTTCTTTGTCTTTATAAAGTAACCTCTTACCACTGAGATCTCTGTGTCCTTTCTCTCCTGTTTGTATTCTTTTTTTTTTGAGACGGAGTTTCACTCTTGTTGCCCAGGCTGGAGTGCAATGGCGCAATCTTGGCTCACCACAACCTCTGCCTCCCGAGTTCAAGCGATTCTCCTGCCTCAGCCTCCTGAGTAGCTGGGATTACAGGCATGCGCCACCACACCCGACTAATTTTGTATTTTCAGTAGAGATGGGGTTTCTCCATGTTCATCAGGCTGGCCTCAAACTCCCAGCATCAGGTGGTCCACCCACCTCGGCCTCCCAAAGTGCTGGGATTACAGGCCTAAGCCACTGCACCCAGCCCTTGTATTCTTTATTGAACCTATGGGCAGTCTTTGCAGGTTTCTAACATACATAAATTCGTTTTTACCACAGTTTAGTTAAATAACACCTGGCTGCCAACAACACAGTTCAGATTTCAGTCACCATGATGTATTAACTGTGAGCAATTGTATAAAATACAGACTTCTCTGCCAGCTCTTCAGTCTACACATCTGGACATAACAGGAGCATCATGGTCATGACCAGTTTTGTCACTTCGCTCTTGATCACTGCACATCTACTGTCAGTTACTCTCAGGCAACAGCTGTGTGGGTTGTGTCACCTCTTTAACTCCCAGGGATAAACCCACGTGACATTTTACAAAAATGGATAATTGGAAGACGGACTTGGCAACAAGAAAAACCTCTAGAAGTGAAATTGAATGTGATTAGAAAGATTTGAAAAAGGACAACAGCAAGATGAAGCTAGGGCAAGACCTAAGCCTACAGGAAGCTAATGGTACAAAGCATATTGGAAAAGTCCTGTCACTATAAAGACGAGGGTAAAGTCACTTCACCATCTTTTCACTTATATTGCACTAGAATAGAAAGATGCTTGTGGTTTAGATGGAACATTTACTTCTACTTTGGATTGAGAGAGAGAAGTGTGTGTGTGTGTGTGTGTGTGTGTGTGTGTGTGTGTGAATCAGTTTGGCTACTATTCGGGCCAAATTGATAATAGTTGCCTTATTGAAAGAAGATGGTAATTACAAGGATATTGAAGAACTTCACAGCCAGTAAAAGATGCTTTTATCATGTTCAGAAGTTGTGAATTGACTAAAGCTATCTGAGGAAGCTGCTATTGTGAGTAAGGATGCTGCTGTGAAATTTGTACTCAGATGTCAAGGATTCATTAAGGCGGATGTTAACAATGATCATCACAGAAGGCAACTCTTGATACCAGAGCTTAGCAAGAGGCATAGAATAGTGAAGAATAGTGAATAGAGTTAAAAATAGATTGACTTTCTTATTAGGAGGCAGCTGCGGAGAGTGACTTTGAATAAAACCTATGCTTATTTGGCCAGTTAACTGTGGCCAGGGAATTGAGGTCAAGAAAATACAAATGTGGGTTTCTGGGTACAATCCTGGAGGTATAAGAGAGAGGTCCTATCATGTCAGGTGAGGATTTCACCTTAATTGCTTACATGTGCTTCAATGTTTGGGAGAGTTAAAAGTGGGGTATCTCATCCTTGGTTTAGAAAATGACATTTTGCCAGGGAGGGAGAAGCTTGGAAGTCCCTTGCCTTGTACAATTTAGTCTTAATATAGTATTAAGAAGTTAAATGAGGACAGTATTGTTTCAGAATAGGATGCAAAGAAATACGACTTTTAAGAAATTTGAAAACTTGTATTCTATGAATTTGGGTTTTGTGTTGTCCTCTCCTCCTCCCAGTTCCTTTTTGTAAAGGTATCTACTTACTTTTCTAAATATTTCTTGGCAAGGAGTGGGGAGGAATTAAGCAATGCTAGTTTTTTTCTTATTTCATAGCCTTGTTTATAGCAAAATTTGAAACTGTGCAAACATAAATTTAGTACATTAAAAATTATATTTGTCTAAATAAATGCCTCTCCAGGTTAAGTGGCGTACAGGTGTTTATAGCTTATAAAGCTTAAATTGATAATTCATAACTTTCAGGAAAAGTAATTTATAATTACTCTATAGGCCTGTTCATTTAAAAAAAGGAAGTTAAGAAATTTTACTTTTACATTAGCTTAAAAAGTTACTGCCTTTTAAAGTATAAAATTAATACATGTTCATTACAGAAAACCTGGAAAATATAGGACAGCATAGACTGTTACAGAAATCACTGTAATATGGTATTGATTGGTGTGTCTTCCTGGTGGTTTCAGACCCCTGGTGCTGATCTAAGAGTTGGTGCCTTGTTCCGATTAGTCATGGCCCATGGTATAGCAGTTGATAAATAATGCTTGAAATCCCAGAGTCATTACTGCTAAACATTCTGGTGTCTAAAAATTACTTTAAAAAATGTATCACTCTTTTGGCTGGGCATGGTGGCTCACGCCTGTAATCCCAGCACTTTGGGAGGCCAAGGTGGGTGGATCACCTGAGGCCAGGAGTTCAAGACCAGCCTGGCCAACATGGTGAGACCCTATCTCTACTAAAAATGCAAAAATGAGCTGGATGCAGTGGTGCATGCTTGTAGTCCCACCTACTTGGGAGGCCGAGGCAGGAGAATGGCTTGAACCTGGGAGGCGAAGGTTGCAGTGAGCTGAGATCTTGCCACTGCACTCCAGCCTGGGCAACAGAGTGAAACTCTGTCTCAAAAAAAAAAAATATTTTTTTATATATATATATATCATATATATATCATATATATCATATATATCATATATATCATATATATCATATATATCATATATATATATCACACTTTCAAGCTGAGCACAATTGCTCACACCTGTAATCCCAGCACTTTGGGAGGCCAAGGCGGGAGGATGGCTTGAGCCCAGAAGTTCGAGACCAGCCTGGGCAACATGGTGAAACCTTGTCTCTTCAAAAAAATACAAAACAGCTGGGTGCGGTGGCGTGCACCTATGGTGCCAGCTACTTGGGAAGCTGAGGCGGGAGAATCGCTTGAGCCTGGGAGGCGGAGGTTGCAGTGGTGAGCTGAGACTGCACCACTGCACTGCAGCCTGGGCAACGAAAGTGAAACCCTTTCTCAAAAATAAAAATAAAAAATAGAAAATCACACTTTCCTCCCATTTAACACTATATCATGAACATATTCCTATGAAAATGAGTTTTTTTGTGAATTGTCTATTTATGAATTTTTCGTTTTTTTCTATTGACTTTTTTAAAATTAAAATTTGTAGTTACTCTATTAGCTCCAGTCTTTGACTTTACAAGCCCTTACACATACATCTCGTATCAGAAAGAGAAAAAAGAAAAATCTTACTGCCTTTCCTTACTTGCTAGTAGGAAAACATACTCATGCTTATATGATTGAAGGGGTGTATAAACTTTTGAAAGTGATCTAATTTAAATGCACTACTTGGAACTGGAAATCTGTAAGGTGCCTGGCAGACTAGAGACTGCAAAAAGCACAGTGCTGTTGGTACTGTTGATTGATGTGGGGCATTCACGAAAGACCACTGCCAGAAGTATTTTGCTGGTTGGCCAGGCACGGAAGCTCACACCTGTAACCGCAGCACTTTGGGAAGCTGAGGCGGGAGGATCACTTGAGCCCAGGAGTTCAAAATCAGCTTGGGCAACATAGTGTTTACAAAAACAATTTTTAAAAAAATTAGCCAGGAATGGCAGCATACACCTGTGGTCCTAGCTACTTCAGAGACTGAGGTAGGAGGATCACTTGAGCCCGAGAGGCTGAGGCTGCAGTGAGCCACGATTACACTACTGCACAGAAGCCTGGGTGGCAGAGTGAGACCCCGTCTCCAAAAAAAAAAAAAGTACATTATTGTCAGCAGGTTTACCTGACTTGGTGTTACCACTTGACTGCATCATTTTAGTGCCAGGCAAGGAACCAAGGCTTACAAATTTAGGTAAATATTTCCAAGATCCAGATGATTAATATTTTTAAAAATCACTTTGACTTTGAAGTCAAAGAAGCCTCATGATTTGACTGTAAGGTGTGAATACATCAGCAAGTTAATTAGAATGTTTACATGCTTGTGCAGCCCTTTCTGGGAAGGTTAGGACCCAGTAAAAGTGCAGCTCTGTGAAGTCCAATCTCAATCAGCAAATTCATTATAAATAATTTGAAAGATTTTACTCTTGTGGTTTATGGAGTTACTGAGATTTTGTATTCTTACCCAGTTCAGATTCTAGTGGTCTTTGGTGAATTAGGTTAGGTGGGGAGTATTTGTCTAACTGATGGTCAAATTAAATAATATAATGCTAACAGCTTCTATATATTAATATATTTAGAGAAATAAAGTACTGTTTCCTTATTGCCTTATTGCAAAATTTGATTTTAACAGCTGGCTATATACTTTCCTGCCTTTGCCCTCACCTGACTTGGTAGTTCCAGTTCAAGATTGATTATTCCAACTGTTCTATAGAAGCCCGAGGGGCTGTATTTTGGCTCATTTAAAATTGAATCTTGTTTTTTCCCTTATTAGAACTATGTTTGTACAAATCATTTTGCACAGTAAGATTTACTGTATGATACTTGTCTAGCTTTATCTTCCTGATCAGATTGAAAGCACCTTGAGGGGAAATAATGGTATTTACTGTTTTTAATCACAAAGTGAACAAAATCTTGCAACTATTGAAAGTTTAAAAGTATAGTTCCCTTTCAGGATCTTTGATTCATGCTTGTATATATTAGGCCAGTTTTGTAGGAAAAGAGCAGTGGATCTAGGCAATTTAATTGTGAATCTCGTGGCTGACACCGCTTCAAAGTGTGGTCCTATGCAAGTTCAGATGCATCATGTGACACATGAGAGTCATTCTAGTGATTGTCTATCTTAATGCTTTTTCTTTCACTGGCTGAAGGGCCTCTGCAAGTGTAGTTATTGGTGGTTACTTTCCTGACAAAGGTCTGGGCCCTAGGGATTGATGTTACCATAGACTTCCACAAGATGGCAGACCAAGCCCCTTTTTTGTTTTACTGGGTTTCAAATAGTTTTTAAGACACCTTGCTTATGCTTTTGATTCTTAAAGTCTTTTTTGCCTTTTCTTTAGGTGGGCAGTGTCAAACCGGGAAATGCTTATAGCTCAAAACAGCTCCTTGGAATTTAAGCTACACAGACTGTATTTTATTAGCTTGTTAATGGGTGGAACCACAAATCAGCGAGAGGCATTACAATATGCTAAAAATTTTCAGCCATTTGCCCTAAATCATCAAAAAGGTGAGTCTAGAGTCAGATGTTATTAATGTTTGAAACAGGGCTATAGCCACCACTGTAACTTAACAGTTCTTAACTAGAGCTAATACCTGTTTGCCAGTAAACAGTTGTAGTTGATAATCACTTACAGGAAAAGTTCTGACTGGCTCTAGACAAAAACAAAAATATTAAAGCCTCTTAGAAGTCAGAGATGTTGCAGATTTTGGAATTCCATATTAAACTTAGAGGAGATGTGAGAAAGAGCAAGGTGTGCACTTGCTCTTTTCCACCCCCACCTGGCTGTATGCTGCTGCTCTTGCCACAGCAAAGTGTCAGAGAGCCAAGGTGGCAACTGTCAACCCCACGAAACTGTGTAGGAAACATTAACTCTGCAGTCAGAGATAATGTGATGACATAATTGTTACTTCTCTAGGTAATGGTAATTATACTATGCTGTAGAGAAGAATTTAAATTATAAGTTCAGTATTTTCACTGCTTTCCTTTTCTTCCCTTTTCTCTCCATGCTGTTTAATTTAGGATGAAGGAAGAAACCAAGCTTAAGGACCAGAATTTTAAAAGACCTGTTAATACATTATTTTAGGCTGTATCAGTATGGGTGGGGGTATTCTTGCTTTTCGCAGCTTATTACTGCAAGCAAACTAATGCTTTCTTGCTGGTGCTTTTTTTAGACATTCAGGTTTTGATGGGAAGCCTTGTGTACCTGAGACAAGGGATTGAGAACTCACCATATGTTCACCTACTTGATGCAAACCAGTGGGCTGATATCTGTGACATCTTTACACGGGATGCTTGTGCCCTCCTGGGGCTCTCCGTGGAGTCCCCTCTCAGTGTCAGGTATGGAAATTAGCCCTGTCTGTTATTGAAGTATGCACTGCATTATCACCTTCCCTTAACTTGTTTGGTTCTTGATGTTTAAAGCCAAAATAACTTTTGTCTTTCCAAAGAAGAGTGCAATTGGTATTTCAAAAGATATCACAATTGGCAGTGATGCTGTTTTAGAGAAGCAGTTTTGAAAGTGTGGTGTATGAACCTCACAGGATCCTGAGAGCCTTTTCCACTGTATTGACATTAGTACAGATGGTCCAGAAACAGTGGTGGACTAAACTGCTAGAGCCTTAGCACAAGTTGGGGCGGTGGTACAAACTCCACGAATAGCTGGATTCCTCACCACCACACACTTGCAGTTTAAGAAATGCTAGTTTTACTTAACCACGTCTGTAATCTCAGCATTTTAGGAGGCCTAGGAGGGTGGATCACGAGATCAGGAGTTTGAGACCAGCCTGGCCAACATAGTGAAACCCGCCTCTACTAAAAACACAAAAAATTAGCTGGACGTGGTGGCGGGTACCTTTAATCCCAGCTAGTCGGGAAGCCGAGGCAGAAGAATCGCTTGAACCCAGGAGGCGGAGGTTGCTGTGAGCCAAGATTGCACCATTGCACTCCAGCCCGTGCAACAATGCGAGACTGTCTCAAAAAAAAAAAAAAAAAAAAAGAAAAGAAAAAAAGAATATTCTTGGCCTGGTGTGGTGGCTCACATCTGTAATTCCAGCACTTTGGGAGGCTGAGGTGGGGGGAATCTCTTGAGGCCAGGAATTCAAGACCCACCCGGGTAACACAGCTAGACTCCATTTCTACAGAAAACTTTTTTAAAAAAGGATGTTCTTGGTGAAACATTAAAATTATTAGTTTTATTAAATCTTGACCTTTCAGTACACATCATCTTAATAATTTGTATGACAAAATAGGAAATCCACATAAAGCACTTCAGTTTCATGTCAAAGTATGGTAATTGTCTTGAGAAAAAGTATGTTGTTTTGAGTTATGAGCTAGCTGGTCACTTTTTTTCATGGAATACTTGTTTTGTTTGTTACTTGTTTTTTTCTTGCTTTTTTGAGATGGAGTCTCCCTCTGTCCCCTGGCTGGAGTGTAGTGGCGCAATCTCAGCTCACTGCAGCCTCCACCTCTTGGGTTCAAGCGATTCTCCTGCCTCAGCCTCTGGAGTAGCTGGGATTACAGGCGCCTGCCACCACGCCCAGCTAATTTTTGTATTTTTAGTAGAGACAAGGTTTCATCATGTTGGCCATGCTGGTCTCGAATTCCTGACCTCAGGCGATCCACTGCCTTGGCCTCCCAAGGTGCTGGGTTTATAGGCGTGAGCCACCGCACCAGCCTTGGAATAGTTTTTACTTGGAAGAATCATTAACATAGTTACGCACACTCAGGTTTTTGGCAGTCTTTTTTTTTTTTTTTTTTTTTGTCTTTTTTCTTAAATTTTTAAGACATTCTTGCTATGTTGTTCAGGTTGGACTCAAACTCCTGGGCTCAAGTGATTCTCCTGCCTCAGGCTCCTGAGTAGCTGGGAGTACAGTTGTGTGCCACATCACCCAGCCATTTTTTTAAGTGAACGAAGCAAGCCTGTCACATTTGAAAGGTCTTAATTAAGTATGATTTTACAAAAGCATGCATGAGTAAAAGAGTCATTCAAAGTACAAGACAGACAAATGGATTTTAATGTAGCAGGGTACAAAAAGTTTAATGGTAAAGTTTCAGATTCTGCTCTGCAGCGAACCTTTAGAAAACTACTACCTGTTTTGGCCAAAACTATGAAAAGTCAGTTTTCGTGTGGTATTAAGGAGGAGTATCCACAATGATCCAAAGTGATCAAAGTAGTACTACACATATGTGTGAAACAAGGTTTTTTTTCATTTACCTCAACCAGAAGAACGTATCACAATAGATTTAATGCAGAGTAAACTATAAGAATCCAGCTGTCTTTCTGTTAAGGTAGGCATTCAGGAGAGTTGTGAGAGTTTGGAACAGTGCCACTCTTCTCACACATATATTTTTGTTTTGGAAACTGTAGTTATTTTTTTATAAGAATGTTTGCAATAATGGCATGGTATTTTATTTTTACATGAACTAATCGGCACCTTTTATGTTTCTCATTTTAATTTCTAATGTATTAAAGATATAATCCACAAAAAGAAAAGCTCTTTGAGATCCTTAATACTTAAGCATATAAAGGGGTCCTGAAACCAAAACATTTTAAGAAACTGTTGTAAGAAAATAACTCTTTTTTAGCTCTTCTATTCATTTAATTCCACAAATGTTTTGCATACCTGCTATGTGCCAGGCACTGTGGGCACTGTGTTGGATATGAAGATGAATAAGGTGCATTCCACAGGGTGCTCCATCCTAGCGTAGGAGTGGACAGATGCAATTAGCTATAATGTGAGGCGCTGATGCCATCAAGTTCTCTGAGGAAGACTCTAAAGTGGGAATGTACATGCAGAAAGTTTACTGACATCAGCACCTGTGGGAGAATGAAAACAGCAGGATTGGGCAGAGAGGAAAGTTGGACTGTATTAGAGTGGCAACAAGGTGTCTCCCATCCGTGAGGAGCTCTGGAGCTGCTGTGGGCCCGTGGAGTTGTCCCAAATTGGGCCTATAGGGCTGGGGTTTTGTACCCTCACATGGAGCAATTGCTGGATGTGACTCTGGTCAGATGACTCTCTTCAACTGAGGACAGTCCTGAAGAGACGGACACAGCTGAGAGTTGGCTGCCAACACTTCCAGATCTGAGAAATGAGTGCTTCCACCCTGGACAGGGGTGATCTGGGGATAAGAGGAACTATGCAAAAAAAATGTTTCAGGAGCAAGCATGTCATTTGACTGATAAGCTGAGCCCATTAAATCCAGTTGTTTTGTGCAATATAAAACCTTTTTTGGCACTAATGTAAGATTATTATGAAATTCTTTATATTTTACTTTTTGAAACAGGGTCTCATTCTGTTGCCCAGGTTGGAGTGCAGTGGCACGATCGTGGCTCACTGCAGCCTCAACCTCCTGGCATCCTCCCACCTCAGCCTGCTCAGTAGCTGGGACTCTAGGCACATGCTACCATACCTGGCTAATGGCTAATTTTTATATCTTTTGTAGAGACGGGGGTCTCACTGTGTTTCCCAGGCTGGTCTCAAACTCTCAAACTTAGGTAATCCTCCCACCTTGGCCTCCCAAAGTGCTGCAATTACAGGAGTGAGCCACCACCATCTGCTGTTATTAAATTCTCTAAAAACCTTATTCTCAATTCTGTACTTCTTTCCTGTGGATTGAAAATGGTGTGTAAATCAGCACCATCTGCAGACCACATTTTGAGTATCATTGTTCTAATTAGCGTATACCTTGGAGCACATTTTGTAAGAAAAATAAGTCTGGTGGTATATGGTCTGTAAGGAAGGGAATAGGAAAGGAAGTTATGTCTTGTATATTGCTGAGTGAAGAATTTTGTGCAAGAACATCTCTTTTTCCTTCAAACTCAGATGCTAAAACTACTGTATTTGGAAGAGTGTAGTAGTTCTTAATTCCTGCTCTTCATTTGAATTAATTGGTTCTCCAAAGCTGCTTTCTTTTTTAAAATGCATGTTTTAAAACTTTATTTTTCTATTTTCTGAGGAAGTAAGCTAAAGTTAAATTACCCTAGCAGATGAGTTTTTTTTTTTTAACGTTTGCGTTCTTTAACTGCATTTACCCCCATATTGGTGAGGTTTATTTAGAAAATTTAGAGTTTTATTTTTTGTTTTGTTTTTTAACTGGGATTGGTTTTCAGTAACTTCAGGAAATATACCAGTGGGCCTGGGGAAGAAGGGGAGGGAAAACAAGTTATTTCTCTTCTAGTGGAAATGGCTGG
This sequence comes from Homo sapiens, assembly GCF_000001405.40. Lineage (NCBI taxonomy): Eukaryota > Metazoa > Chordata > Mammalia > Primates > Hominidae > Homo > Homo sapiens. The sequence continues at coordinate 86,769,878 of NC_000002.12, forward strand.
ATTTACTTTTAGCAGAACAGAAAGCTCTCACCCTGTCCAGTGGCCAGGGTCTGCAGCACATAGAGTCTGGAGAAATTGATGTCTCCTTGGACCAAGCGGCCTGACCCCTGGCCTGGCACTGACGTTTCCTCTTCTGCTCTCCCAGTTTCTCAGCAGGTTGTGTGGCGCTGCCAGCTTTAATTAACATCAAAGCCGTGATTGAACAGAGGCAGTGTACTGGAGTTTGGAACCAGAAAGATGAATTACCTGTGAGTTCCATTTTCTATTGGCTATTTACTTTTACTGCCATTAGAAGAATATGGCATCTTTAAATGTTCATCTTACCTTTTAACCAGGAAACATTGTAGCCATTTGACAGGAGTTCTTTTATGGATATATAAAAGATTAAACAATACAAATGAAGAGCCTAGTACATTTTGGGGACCCTGGAGGAGGAGTATTATAATTTTGACTTGAAGTGCCTTTGAAAGCTGGTGAAGGGAAACATCAGAAGTGGGGAGGGCTGTACATACAGTAGCAGGCAGTGTGTTCTGCAGTGCAGTTCACAGACCACTCCTGTGATTGTTTTTCTAATATAAACGCAAATTTAATTGGTTTTACTTTTGTCTTAACTATTGCTGTCGATAAGATCACGAGTTTGTGCTGGTTACATTTGCCAATAGAATAAGTATAGAGCTCTTAAAGGTCGTAACACCTGCAGTCATCAGTGGGTCTCTAGTACTGTATTTCTACTGCTCTCATGGAAAGGACCATGGTTTTAAACATCAGCACGATCACTTGCCAACTCTAGAACTTCTCTAAGCAGTAGTGTATTCATCTCTAAGACAAGCACCAGCTTTCTCTTTATGGGGCTGCTGAAGGCTAGAGATAACATAAGCATGCTTAGAATAAGACGGGATACATGGTAGGCACTCAAATTGTGGCTGCCATGGTGCAGTTATGATGTGAAGTGGCGAAGGTCATTGTATGTATGTTTCCACCAGGTCTCTGACAGGCACTGAGGCTCTGGCCTGGAATTGTCGTTCCTGTCATGATTGTGTCACAGACCCTGAAAAGCTAACATACGCATTTGTTTTTTTGCCCGTTTTATACCACACCTGTACACGGGTTTATTTGCAGTTACCTTGTTCTTCCAGCAGGTAACCCTGTCAGTTGGTTGCCCCAGCTTCTCCTCAAAGATCTTTTCTGATTAAAGGCACAGGTGCAGTCCTGGTCCTGAGTGTGGTCAGGACACAAGTAGCACTCCTGCTCTACTGCCGCTAACTTGAACAAGTGAAAAGAACTTGAGCCTTCACTTGTTTTGTGGAGGCAGGTGCCTGGCATCTGGCAGTTTCCCATTTATGTTGTAAGCATCTCTGACATGCACTAAGAGCAGACTGAAATCTGAATTCACCTAAAGACTGTGTGTCAAGCCAGTAAAGCCATTAGAGGTGGTGATCAGGTCATTGTTTGTCAGACTTGTTTTTACACTTTGTCAGCTTTCTTGAAAATAATCTTGAAGGCTAATTTAACACTTTGAATCACTAAGACTGTCCATCTGAGTTAGAAGAGTGCTATAGAAAGTTACATTCAGGTGAATAGATCTGATCAATGTTCTTTGCTGCACAGTGTATATTACCATGTGGATGGTTTTGTGAAATATGACTTCAGCTTTTTTACTTTTTTTTTTTTTTTTAACAGATTGAAGTGGACCTTGGTAAAAAGTGCTGGTATCACTCTATATTTGCCTGCCCCATTCTTCGTCAGCAAACAACAGATAACAATCCACCCATGAAATTGGTCTGTGGTCATATTATATCAAGAGATGCCCTGAATAAAATGTTTAATGGTAGCAAGTAAGTGTCTGACTTTTAAAAAATGTTAGCAAATAAATTTTGTTTTGGAACTTGGTAGGAGGATAAGAAGTGATGAGGATTAAAAAAATGTAGCTAGATTTAGAACTAAATAAATTTCTTAACTATTCATTTGGCAAAGTTGGTGGTATCTGATTTGAGTATTTTTAATGTGTCTATGGATTTGGTGATTAGATTTATAAGCATGTCTTTAACTTAACTTTTGGGGTAGGTGATAGATTTTCCCCTTTTTTATACAAATGGTCGCATACTAAAAAATGTTCTGTACTTTGCTGTTTTCACTTAGTGATGTATTTTGGAGATCTTTTTCTGTGCTGCAGAAACAGCCCTCATTATTTTTTTGTTAAAGCTGCAGTATATTCTACTGTATAGAAATATGATTGGGTAGCCAGTTCCCTATTGATGAACATTTGTTTCTCTAAACAGTGCTAAGTGAAGGCCAGGTGTGGTGGCTTATGCCTGTAATCCCAGCACTGTGGGAGGCCGAGGCAGGCGGATCACGAGGTCAGGAGATTGAGACCATCCTGGCTAACACGGTGAAATCCCATCTCTACTAAAAATACAAAAACAAAAAATTAGCCGGGTGTGGTGGCGGACACCTGTAGTCCCAGTTACTCAGGAGGCTGAGGCAGGAGAAGGGCGTGAACCCGAGAGGCAGAGCTTGCAGGGAGCCGAGATTGTGCCACTGCACTCCAGCCTGGGCGACAGAGCAAGACTCCATCTCAAAAAACAAAAACAAAAAACAAAACAAAACAAAAAAACATAGTGCTAAGTGAATTATCTATACCTGATACATAAATTCCTAGAACTGAAATTGCTGGTTCAAAGGATATATGCATTTGTAATTTATTTTAGTTAGTGAGCTCAGCTTTTTTTTTTTTTGCGATTGAGTCTCACTCCATCATTCAGGCTGGAGTGCAGTGGTGCTGTCTCAGCTCACTGCAACCTCTGCCTCCTGGGTTCAAGCAATTTTCATGCCTCAGCTTCCTGAGTAGCTGGAATTACAGACGCACACCACCACACTTGGCTGATTTTTGTATTTTTAGTAGAGACAGGGTTTCGCCATGTCGCTCAGGCTGTTCTCAAACTCCTGAGCTCAAGCATCCACCCACCTCAGCCTCCCAGGTGTGAGCCACCTTGCCTGGCCAAAATTGTTGATCTTAGTTCAGGCTGTACTGGTTTCATGTGTCACTGTGAGGCATGTGGGCCGTTCTTGGTGTGGGCTTGTAGCTGCCATCAGATTTGCTGCCCTTGAATGGATTGTGTGACCAGTACATTTGAAATTCATTTAAAGACTGTTGCAACCTAAACCTTTGGGAAAGAGAAATTGAATTTATTTTCGAAACCCCAAAAACAATTTCCAGAAAAGTTACCTTTGTTTTGTTTAAGAAACAATTTAGGATCTGGCATGGGTGGTATGTATTTGTGACCCTTCAAATCTTGGCAGTTATATTAAGGGAAAGCATAGTTCATCCTCAAAGCAAAATACAAACAGACTTGTTTTTGTGTGTTCTTATATGTGTGTATAATTGTTAAAGATACTCTATAACTAGATAAAAATTGAATACACAGTACTGAGCCTGCTCCTTCACTCAGTGTTTTCTTCTTTGTCTTTAGATTAAAATGTCCCTACTGTCCAATGGAACAAAGTCCAGGAGATGCCAAACAGATATTTTTCTGAAGAGATAACTTTAGTTTGCAATTTGTAAGTGAAACTGAATCGTGGGTGCATTTCAGAAGAGAACGTTCCATATAATGCAGCTAACCAAGGACTCCTGTGTTTCTATAAGCTAATGCTCCAGAAACTTTGCCAACCTGTTAGTGTACACACACTGAGGGGAGTGCTCCCGGTGAATATTATCATAGGGCTTTATTATATTCTTGGTCTTCATTTCTGATCAAGTAAATACACCAGCAGTTGTCATTCAATGCAGGTTTTTGTACTTAATTATATGGTGATTTTTTTACTTTTTAAGAGCAGAAACGGAAATTGACCTCCCCGCCATGTGTTTAATATTCCTCCTGCTTTTACTTTTGTCATTTTCTTGATAATCGTAAGCCTTGAGAGTGTTTGTGAAAAAGTTTTATTTCCTGTTATGTATACATAATTAAATGAAAATTCTTCAGAAAAAGTTTGATAAATTGAATTGTGGTTATGAAACTAATTTGCATTTTTATTTGCTTAAGAAAGAAAGCTGTGATAGATTCCAGATATGCTTTTTGATGTTTTCCTCTGCTCCAGCTCCAAGAAGTCAGCACACCTGCATTTTAGCTCTGCATGCAGCCCCAGCAGGCTGCGTGTTTAAGAATTTCATTGTTTAACTGGCTGGTGTGAGAAGTCTTCCGTTAGCATAGAGTGGAAGGAGTACTATTGTTTGGTTGGGTTTTTGTTTGTTTGTTTTTTGTTTTTGCTTTTATTGCCAAGAGGTGCTTGTTTTAAAAGTATGTTTAATAAAATGAAATTCTAAAGTTAGAAGTGTTCTTAAGTTGATATTTACTCTCTTGGTCTTGGTAGCCCTATTATATCATTGCAGACACAGTGTTGTGCATGTGTGTATTGTATATGTGCACCAGCATCAAACATTGTGTATCTGGAAGGAAAGCAGCATGTTCCAGTTCTAAAATGCAGTTACCAGACCCATCACTTTAAATCCTTAAAGTTAGAAGCTAGCAAATTTTCTGTAGTGCAGAACGTTTATTGCTGTTTTTGTGTTTGAATAGTATAATGTTTGATGCCTCTCTTCTGCAAAGCGTATCATCTCATTGACTGTGAATCTGTATATTATTCTGATGGATACAGATAATGATCTTTTCTCTTGTGAGGTATCTTCATTTATGCACTGTCCAAAAATAGCCATGTGTAAGAGTCTTTCTGTATGACGAACTACATGGAAAAGACTTCTGTGGACATAATTCTGACCGAAACCCATGAAGTTACTTCAGTATAAGAAGAACGTTACACGGAAATCACCAAATATTTTGCAACTTTATTTCTTCTGACATGGAGTGAACATCAATAGGAATACTTTCAAAGAAAATGAAAACACAGAAGCAAAGAGAAATGTGGCACTTCACATTTTAAACTACAGATGGACTTGGTTTGAGGGAGGGGGAATCACAGATTTGGTGCTAAGTTAATTAGAAACTGGCAGCGTTTTACAGTAGTACACCAGCCTGGATGTTTTTTCTAAAATGTTTACCTGGGAGAGCTGGGGTTTGTTTGTGAGGAGAAAGAGTACTGTGGAAAACCTCTGCTTGAGTACCATGTGGCCAGGCCTATGTGGATGGCTACTCCGTGCTGTGCGGCTTCACCAGCGGTTGGGATTGGCCCAGCTTGGAGTGCTTGTGTGGTCCAACCTCAGTCTGGCCCCATAGCGACTTTTGCCCCATGATTCTGCTTCACTGTTGGAATCCTCTTTGAAGTTCCCCCTCTCTTTGCTAAAGCAGTGAAGGAAGAGAACAGAGACAAACTCTTTGGACTGTGAAAGAGAAGGTAGAGAATTCCAGGCAACAGTCTGACCAAGGGTGTAAACCAGTTTATTATATATATATTTTTCCTTTGAATTAAAACCTAGAGTGTTGTATTTTTCTTTCTTTCTTTTTTTTTTTTTTTTTTTTTACCCTTTTTCTCCTTAGGCCAAGTTTAGCTTATTCTTATCTTTCCACCCAAACACCTACACAACGTTTAGGCTTCCTGTAAGGTTTGAATGAGACAGATGTACTCTGAAGGCTGGTGGTAAATGTGTTTGATGACCAGACTCTTCATACAGTCGGCTTGGGCCACTTTAAAGGACAAAAGCCAGAGCTCAGCTTTATCCCTCTCCCAGTGCTGGGAGCCAAAAAACTGTTGACGGTTTTTTGTGCAGCTCAAGAAAACTTTGAAAAGAACATGCTTTAACTGAAGCATTGGACTCTGCAGCTTTCTGTGTAAGGCCCGTGTACTCCCACTGGGCAGGGTGAGGACCAAAAATCTGAAACTCTTATGAATCTGACATATTATATGGAAATTATATCTTGTGACCGTCTTCAAGTGCATGGACTTAAAATTCATGAGAGACTAAATGTGAGGGAGAGGTGGATTTAAAGAGGCCAGACCTTAACCAAAGATGCTGAGATACAGCATTCTGTCCCCCCTGCCCTAGAAACTCCATAAATGCTGTCACAACCCTATCATCGCTGATGCTTTCTGCATGTCAGCAGTCCAGGAGGATGCTTTTTGTCTCTCTTTGCCTCCACTTTACAAAAGATAATATGATAGAGGCAACGTTTATAACAGTCACATTTAATTATAATGTACATCAAAGGCAGAATTTCAGAATGGTTTCTTAAATTTCCTTGGGAACCGTTTCCACATATCAGTTATAGACAAAGGCCATGGGACTATGCTAAACCAATAAAACCTTATTAGCAAATCTTTAGATTCTGACTTAGCCAGAGCATCTGAGTGTTCAAGTACAGTTTTACAGTGGCTAAGGTTGTCTCTTGATCTTTTTTCTCCGTTGTGTGATCACAGATGCTATTTCTGTTTTATTGGTGATTATACGAGACTTCTAATACATAAATGAACGGGTATTGGTGCCTCTTTATTTTAAAAAATTTGAAGAAAAGAGCCACCTCATATTCATAGGGTGTGTATTTTTTGAGTGTGAGCATTTAATTGAAAATAAGAAAGCTATGAAGTAAATGTTAACTTCTCTGTAGCAGCTAATGCATAGAGACACTAAAACCCACACCACATTTTGTGGGAAATGAGGATCCTGATCCTCTTTTGTCCTCTCCAGGTAGTCTCGCAGGTTATGCAGCTTAAGTTCAGTCTTCTTTATGCTGCGATTGATTTCCACCTCAGTGGCTTAGCCTTTGGGACAGTGGATACTGCAACAGCCAAGAACTCTTGGTTATCCGCACAAGCTGCTGGTAGACTACATTAGCCCTCTGGTTTTCCAGCTCAACCTCTGATAAAGTGGACTGAGAGCCACGCTGCTCAGTCTGTTTCGTCAGCCGACTCAGGTTATTTTCAGGGAAGGCATGGAGGCATAGTTTGGTTAGTTTCATCACTAGGATGTATAAGGTGACGACACAAACCAAATACCTTTCTTTCATCACTTAACTATACGTACTTTATCTCTGGTAACACTAGAATGCTGTGGTCTTGAGGGAATGTTAGCAAGGAACACATAGAAGATTTGGTGTTTCATAAGCCTGTCTAGGTGTGGCAGGTTTTGTGTGGTACACTGATGTTTACCATAAGCAGGTACAAGCTTCATGAACCGTTCTTAATGAACTATAATTGAATAGATACCAAAAATAGAATGACAAATGTATTTTAATAGCAGATGAGGCAGTTTTAGGATGAATTTTCCACTGTTGATTTTACTTCAAGACATAGCAAGAGAAACAAAATTTTGTTTTCAAGACATTTCCACTGCAGTTTCAAGCTGTAGTGGGCATATGCTTCATTTACTTCCAAAGAGGCAAAAGCAGCTGGAATTGGCTTACAGCACATGCTTTGTTTCATGTTATGGGTGAGGACCTACATACACTCTTACTTTAGCAGTCACTTAACCTTCTCCAGCAAGGCAGTTGTGGGGTTCACTAGGATTTAGTGCCTGATCTTTTTTTTGGGAAGGGGCGGGAATGAATGTGTTGGGGCTGGGAGGGAAGCAGAAGAAAATGGGAGTGTGAGTGAGTGTGCATGTGTCTGAAGTTCACCATTGCCCCCACCTGCACCTAGCAAGGAACAGGTGTTTGATGTATTTTGCTCATGACTGCAGTATGCATGTATTTTTTTCCTTCTCTGTGTTTTCTAAACTTACACTAAAGGATTCATCAAATCATCTTGTTCAGATGGCTCAGGATTGTATTTATTTTGCTTACCCCGTGCTCTTGGGTTCTATAGTATTTCTATAATTATGTAACGAGAATAGTGTTGCACTGTAATCTATCATATAGAGCTATATGTATGGAAAATTTTGATCAATTTTTTAAGAAATGTATCCTGTTTGCAAAGGCACAGTAAAGTTGCATCTTATAGACTATAGGCAATAAAGCTAACAATAAACCTTATTTAACACAAACCACATCCATATCCTCTGTTCATTTGATTTTGGAAAAAGTAGCATATCCAGTAGTTTCAGGGAATTCATTTTAACTTTAAGAATTCTGATATATTTAATTTATAAATTTCGGACTGATATAATAGAGTTTTGGAAAACTATAAGAAATGCTTTGTTAATGTGTGTATTCCTATGTAAAACACATGGCTTTTCCTGTGTATATTTTTAAAAATTAAAGAAATGCACATTTAAAAAGTGTTTTGTGGAACCAGTCTGTATAAATGTGCCAGGTGACAAAGGTATGAGGGAGGGAGTAGGGAGGTGCTGACTGTGAGAAGAGAAAATTGCTGTCTGTATTTGCTAAGGGTCTGCATGTCAAGAATTTAAGAAAATATCTGTCCCCATCTTACTGTGTTTCTGTGCCACCAACAGTGAGAAGAGAAGGTGACTGAGCAGTGTCCCGAGTTGTTTTTTGTTGTTGTTTTGAGACAGACTCTCACTCTGTTGCCTGGGCTGGAGTGCAGTAGCCCAATCTCGGCTCACTGCAACCTCCACCTCCTGGGTCCAAGCGATTCTCGTGCCTCAGCCTCCCGGGTAGCTGGGATTACAGGCATGTGCCACCATGCCCAGCTAATTTTTTTTTATTTTTAGTAGACAGTGTTTCACCATGTTGGCCAGGCTGGTCTCGAACTCCTGACCCTCAAGTGATCTGCCCACCTCAGCCTCCCAAAGTGCTGGGATTACAGGCGTGAGCCACTGCACCTGGCTGAGTCCCGAGTTTCTGAGTAGGGGATTGTTTTAATGTTTCCAGGCTGCTGCCCCCTCTCGCCCCTCCTGTGCACAGCGGGGACCCTGCCCTGTGTACTGACCAGAGTGGCAGTGAGTGTATGATTGGTAAAGTGGAGCCCGGAAACAGCTCGATGTCCAGGCTGCTGGAGGGGGTAGAACTTGTGCTGTCAGCATTACCAGGGAAGACCAGAAACTGAATTGCCTTGTCCTCCATGGCAGGCCAAGGTTGTAGAGACCAAGCACTTATTTGTACTCCTTTTGTATATTTTTTAAGAGAAAGACTTAGTGTTACCTGAGATTTTAGAATGTTTCTTACCTATGGAAACCCTTGTGGTCCCATCCAGTCAGGTTGGAGCTAGTGGCCCAGGTAGTATAGAAGAGGCCTGGCAGGCCAGGCCAAGGTCTCACCACCTTTCCCTCCAGCATTTGGGCTCCTCAGGACTCAAAGTGTGGTCCATGGACCAGCAGCATCAGCATCACCTGGGAGCCTGTGAGAAATGCAGAATCTCAGGCCTCAGCTCAACCCTGCTGAACCAAAGTCTGCATGGTCATGAGAAAACGGGCTTCCCTTATAAGGAGTGTCCTGGATGCTTCCTATTTCAGGAAGTATCCTCCCTCTTAAATGTGGCAGGTCAAGATCACACGTACTGAACAGAATTTACCCTTGAGGACTAAGGGTAAATCTGTTAGTCATCAAGAAAATTTAAATTTAGTGTGCTTTGAACTCTAGTTATTTTAAAAATCAGTGTATTTCTTTAAGCATCTAGGTAATTGAGGGAGTACTGTATTTGCAGTATGGTAAAAAGCATTTTCCACCCCCTCCACCAAAATGGGGAAGGTGAGTGTCAAAGATGAAAAATAATTTTCATAATGACAAAATAAGGACTAAAAATGCATCCTTAAACAAAACAGCTTGATGCTTCTTACCCCCCAGCAGAGAAACTTGATAATAAACAATATCCCAGCAGAAAATAGGCTTTCTTAACTTTTCTTTTTCCTTCAGCACCCAGTAAGAAGCTTAATAGCATAACCCTGTGTACACAAAATTTAGAATTCTGAAATATTTTACAAAACAATATTTAGTGCTACAAATGTGTGATTTTATTTTTAATGCTCACCAAGACTGATTTGATTTTGTGACCTGCTAATGAGCCAGTTTTTACAACCTTGCATGACGGGACAATGATGCAGTGGTCCACTTACCTACCAAACTTCTTTGAAATCTGTCAATATATCTGTGATAGAAAGTACTTAAAAAAAAAAAACACTTTCCTTGTAGGGTGTTTCATACCCTTGTGTGAGCCTCCTATGCTAGCAAATGTGGCGATACATTCAATGTTAGAAGGCTTGTATAATCCAGAGCTACTAATTACTGAGCTCTCCTGTGTGCCAGGCAATGTTGCATTTACTTAGCTATACTTCCTTTCAGCTTAGAAAAGTACAAAGTGCTTCATGCTAAACATTGGCACGTAAAGTAGAATCCTTTAATAAAAAGACGTGTAGTTTAACATGTTGTAGTATGACATCTTAGCAGTCACTCATCTAACAGATTTTTTAAATTCCACTCTGCTGGGCACTGAGATGAAACAGCCTACAAACTGCTGGAAAGTACAGAAAAGTAGAGCCAAGGTCCTGTAATGAGGTTAATAACAAGAGGGTGTTGGAAGAGAAAGGAGAGCTGTAATCGTGTATTTTTAAGGCCCACTCTAGCTACAATGGGATGAAGGGTGGTTGGGGAGGGGATAAGGCTAGAGCCAGGGAGGACAGTAGGTAGTTAAGGTCAATGTATTTATTGAGTATTGGTCTCGGGTACTCTTGGAGGTCTCGGATAGACTGGCGAATGAGGCAGACTTGTTCTCTAAGTGAGAATCAAGGTCATGAAGGAAATACAGGAAGGCAATGTGCTCATCACACAGTGCTCTGAACCTCCCATTATTTAGAGAAGCAGTATGATGTTCTTGTCTCAAGTGATAGTGGGCTTCCGTGCTCTAGCGTTTTAACTGTATTCCCACTTCTTTCTATTAGCTATGTTTTCTAGAAGGATGAATTTCTAACTTCACCAGTCTCTTTATATTGCTCTCCTACACTGTGTGGGTTATGTAAAATTCTCCCAAATTCCACTTGGGGCTGGCCTTTTTACTCTATTTAAAGACATTTAGTGGCTGGGCACGGTGGCTTATGTCTGTAATCCCAGCACTTTTGGAGGCTGAGATGGGGGGATCACTTGAGGTCAGGAGTTCGAGACCAGCCTGGCCAACATGGCGAAACACTGTCTCTACTAAAAAATACAAAACTTACCTGGGCACGGTGGTGTGCAGCTGTAGTCCCAGCTACTTGGGAGACTGAGGCGGGGGAATTGCATGAACCCGGGAGGTGGAGGTTGCAGTGAGCTGAAATTGGGCTACTGCACTCCAGCCTGGGCAACAGAGCGAGACTCTGTCTCTAAATAAATAAATAATATATAAGACATTTAGCCACCGCTCAAGTGTTGGATCCATTCAAACGAAGGATTCTGGTGTGTCATTTCCTCTCTGAAGTAAAAATGTCCTCAGCATTCTTAGAAGACATGTCCTCTTAGAAGACATGTCCTCAGCATTCAAGACCAAGCTCTCCCCTTCAGAATAGATTAGAAACGCATTTTAGGTTTTCTTTCATTCTTAAGCACAAGACTGTGCTGCCTTTAGTTATTTCAGATTAGTGAGCTAATCTGCCCTAAAGACGAATTTCACAAGGAATTATTAAGTTGTCTTGAAAACTTTCAAGGGTAGCTCAGGAAATATGGGGCTGAGGGCCTCTGTCCTTCCTAGGGTGTACCGTTAGGACTAGGCTTGGTGGCAGGTGTGGAGTAGGTAGCATGGGGTTTGTATGGTGGCTTCATGACCATCAGGGTCCGAGACTCCTTTCTGCTCCGTGGCCTTAACATACGACCTCAAATTTACCCTTGTCTAATCCTAGTTGTGTTCCAGGCAGGAAGGAAGAGGAAGTGGGCGGGGAAATAGCGAACTTCCCCATTGAGATAGCCCCTCTAGGAGTCCTTCCTGGAAGCCCCACCTGGCAACTTATTCACTGTGTATGGCTGCAGGTTGTCCGGGAAACGTGGTCTTTTAGGTGGACACAATACCACCTTTTCGGATTCTAATTGTGTGGTCTTGGGCAAGTGATAGAAACTTCCTACACTTTTGCTTCCTCATCTGCAAAGTAGAATGATAGTAGTTCCTATATCATAGTTTTGATGAGACCTAAATGAGGTACTGACCTATGGTGAATGTTGAATAAACTGGTGGTTTTATTAAGTCAATAAAACATAAATGACATTTGCAGACCACAGTCAGCTAAGGGGGAACAGAAAAGGAGGAGATAGTGACTGGCACTCAGAAGTGAGATGTGTCTGAAGGGATGGAGGGGCCTTCAGTAGGTGCCGAGACGGCAAAATGGTATAGCACACTTTTTTCCTTTTCTGCCTTTCCTCAGCTGCCCAGAGGATGACAGAGCTCCCTTGTGGAATGAATGGCCATAGCCATCAACAGCAGAAGTGGGGTGGTGGCACTCGGGATTCAAGGCTGAGGGGAATTTCAAATGACACAGTGCTGTCAGGGGCTGAGTCTATCTGGGATGGAGCTTTCCTGAGATGTTGCCCTGCCGTGCACTGGGTGCTGAGATCCTGGGGTATATGTAATAACATATATACTGGTCAGAAAGGGCTACTGTTTACCTGGGGGAAGAATAGAAATGAGAAGAATCAGACTCAAGTAGCTACATTCAGAGTATAATCAGTACGACACTGGTTTGGAAAATTCAGTACAAGTTCATTTTTTCAGCATATATTTATTATTTGCTTACCATGTTCCATGAGCTGTTTTAGGCAACTGAGAAAACATGTATAAACTCATGTACTTTGAGGTAGGGACTATTATTAGTTCCATTTTATAAGTGGGGAAACTGAGGGATCAAGACATTAAGTCGCTTGCCAGAGAACACGTAGTTAACAAGTAGCAGAGCCAGGAGGTTGGTTTATTTTGTTTTTGTTTGAGACAGTCGTGCTCCATTGCGCAGGATGAAGTACAGTGGCACGGTCTTGGCTCACTGAAGCCTCAAACGTCTGGGCTCAAGAGATCCTCCTGAGTAGCTGGGACTACAGGTGTGTGCCACCATACCTGGCTAATTTTTTTGTATTTTTTGTAGAAATGGGGTTTCACCATGTTTCCCAGGCTGGTCTCGAACTCTTGGACTCAGTCGATCTGCCTGTCATGGCCTCCCGAAGTGCTGGGATTACAGACCTGAGCTGCTGTGCCTGGCGTCAGGAGGCTGGTTTAGAGCCTCTGCGTTTAACCACTATGCTACTGAGGCCTCCTTTAGTTCCCTTTGGTGGAGAAATGCTGCTCAACCCTGCTTTTAGGAGCAGCTTAAGTGGTGCTGCCTCTTAAGCACCTCTTAAGGTATTGATAAAATTGCGTACAGAGAAGTATTTGCACACAGACCCAGGGCAGGAATGGGGGCAGTTTCCGGCTGATAGAAAAGGGAGATTTCTTCCTAACCCACTTGGATAAAGATTCACAGGGAATTTTCAAAGGTAGAATGGGCTCTCTTAAAACCAGCTGAAAGCTGGAGAAGGAAAATGACAAATTTCTCTCTGGCTTGTCTCTTCCACAAATAGGATATTTTTTATTAAATGAATGAATATTAAATGAACCACACTGAGGCTGGATTCCAGCAGCTGATACCAAGTTTACAGCATAATAGAGGAGTCATTTCTATCCTTTGTGTTTTTCAGGGTCAAAAAGAGCCTGTTATGGGCATCTTCCACATAGTAAGAGGGTTTGTAGAACCAATGTCTCAGGCTAGCAAGTGGCAAATAAACATTGTTGGACCCGAGGCTGGCAGGTCTGAACTGTTGGGTGCTCCTTCTGCACGTGTAGAATGAACAAGTTGGAGGTCTGTGGTTGTCAGTGATTGCTAAGCCTGAATTCACAGCCCACCATGAGCATGCTTTAGGCCTGCATGGCTTGCAGATTTGTTTTCTATTTTCTTCCTGGTCCAGAGGGCCAACTCTAATGAATGGATGTTCCTATATTGATATTTTTAATTTCCAAATTACTGTTTACCATTTTACTTGTGGCAAGTGAAATCCTGGTTGTTTTGAGGATATTAAAAAAATCAGTAAGTATTTGGCCCTCTCTGGAGCCTCCCAAGGGTGGCCTCTCCACCGCCCACCACCACCAACTTTGAGCTCAAGGTTGAAGAGGAAATGCTGCTTTTGGCAGAAATGCCCTTTTCCTGTTTTTGCCCTGGCACAGATTCTTTGACATTCATTGGTGCTCCAGGGTCAACTTCACAAGTTTCTCCCATGAGAAGGGGAGCGACCTGTTGTGAGATGCTCATCCTTCCCAGGGAATTCAGAGATAGCCCCGAGCCCAGGCCCTGCTTCCACAGGAGGCCTCAAAACCTGGCACCTGCCTTGACTGGGTGTGCTGGGCACCTCCTGGCCCTGTCAGCTGGGCTCAGGGAGGAGCGACATGGGGAATTTGTCTCATGGGTAATTTATCAGCTTTCTCTTCTGCTTTCACACATAGGCTACTTCATTTAGAGAACAGAAAGCCACTCTTGCTTTCCATTCTCTAAAAGTATCTTGGTTTTAAAACTAACGACAGACTTCTGGAGGGCTGATTACATGGGTGTGTTTGCTTTATGATGTCATCGAGCTGTACATTTACGACTTAAGCAATTTTCAGTACGAATATTTTACCTCAACAACAAGATGACTTAGTGATTTATCATGAAAGGAGCATCGTCTCCTCTGTTACCAAGAAAGAACAAAAGGAAGAAGGGTAATGCAGGATGAAGCTAATCTGTTTTGATTGATGTGAAAATGGCAGGCTCAGGTGAAGGTGGGGACTGATTCAATAATTTTACTTTTAGGTCTTTATCCTAAAGAAACAAAAATATATGCAACATTTTAAGAGTGTTATAGTAGGAAAAGGTTGGAAACAACTAAATATCAGGTAATAGTTAAATAAATGATGGCACAACCAAAATCGGATGCTGTTTACCCATTAAAGAGGATGCTACAAATGTTTATTCATTAAAGCCACTCATAACAGCATAGTACAACCCTATTTAAAAAAGAAAGACATATTTTACATGTATGTGTAGAAAATAATCAGGAAGAATGTACACCATATTAACAGGAGATTATTCCTAAGGTGAAGAATTATGAGTGGTTCTTATTTCCTTATCTACTTAAGTTTTTTCTCTCCAATGGGCAGGCATTGCTTGTACCATACCTTAAGCAAGGAAGTGCATGTTTGGGACAGCAGTTTGGGCTCTCAGCCT
Organism: Homo sapiens; assembly: GCF_000001405.40. NCBI lineage: Eukaryota > Metazoa > Chordata > Mammalia > Primates > Hominidae > Homo > Homo sapiens. The sequence goes on from NC_000002.12 coordinate 86,784,903, forward strand.
CCTTAAGAGAGTCAGGTCTGCCTCATCCCTGTATCTGCTAGTTGAGCAGAGGCCAGGGCTGTGTGAGGGGCTCTCCAACAATTGTCTTTACAAAGTATAAAAAGTCATCAGTGATCCCAGGAACATGTTTGTATCTCAAATTCAGAGATTCAAGAGGGCCTTAGTTTAACCTCACTGATGCTCAAATTCTATTTGTAAAGGGGTAGCCTGTCCTCTTTCATGGGCCCCTCTGCAATGCAAGGGCTGGGAGAGCAATTCCGCCTCCACATAGGGGTTTCACAGAGATTTTCTTTAGAGATAGAGGGATTCATTTTCCAGGGTTAAGCTCACCACTTCATTTTATTTTAGGTCTATACAATTTTAGGCTTGATTATAAAAAAAAAAAGTCTGATATTGTTTACATTATAGAACTCTGCCAAAGGCAGTTCTCTTCTTTAATTCATTACCTCCTCGAGGCTCTGGGCACAGTATCCCAGGTATCAAGAAGTACTTGTTCCCTTGCCGTTGGAGACTCAAGCACCTCACCCTGAGACAGGGGCCTCGGAAAGAAAGACCTGAATGGTGTGGAGGAAAGAGCCCTGAGCTGGGAGACAAGGTCCCTCCAGCTACTGCTCCAACCCTGACTTGCTGTGTGCCTTTGATCAAGCTGTCTCTGGGCTTTAGCCTCCCCCTTTGTAAAACGGGCGGGGAAGAGGTTGAGATGGCATGGGTGCCTCCAGCTCTCTCAGCATGATTCTGAGAACTCTGCGGGTAGCTCTGGCCTGCCCCTTTCCACGCCCTACCGCGATGTGCGCACAACAGTATTGTGACCCTTGTGGTGTACTGTAGATTTTACCTAGTTTTGTTTCCCGTCAAACACATAAAGAAAAAGTAATCTTTCCCACCCCGCCCCCACTAAAATAATAATCATGAGAATGAATACACAGGGAGGAAGACTGGAAAAAATGAAAGGGAAGGACTTGCTCCCTCAAAAGGAAGGATCTCAGTTTGAAGTAATGTAGTGGCTGTTGCACAGGGTTAGACGTATCTCGCCGAAAGGCTGGGCTTGTCTCCCGATTTGACCACAGGCCTGAAAGAGAGGAAAGCGACCATCATTGTAGCCAGAACCCCGCCAGTGCAGCATCCATCCAGCCACGTCCAGCCTCCCAATCCCCCAGCCTTTGAAAGGTCTGAGAACCTGTTCCTGGGGCACCAGCATGGGACTGGGTGAATGACGTCAGCACAGCACCCGTGCTAAATGCCTTACTTGCACCATCTCATGTAATCCTCACAGCAGCCTTAAGGGTGGGCACTGAGATTGAGAAGTTAAACTTGCCCAAGGTCACACATCTAGGAGGTGGCTGAGCCAGGATCTAAACCGAGTTAGTCTAGCTTCCTGGAGCCCCTGTCAAGGTCTCCACAGAGGTGTGAGAGTGAGACTGATAACCAAAGTCATTAGCTGACCTGATTCTCAGCCCCGGAGGATGACAGGGAGAGAGGAGGATGTGAGCAAATCACCACCATCAGCCAAATGATGTTACGCTAAAAACGTGTTAATTCAGCACCAGGCTAGCACCTTGTAAACATGCTAATTCATCATGAGCGTCATGTCTGCACTCTCAGCCCTCTAAAACCTCTCTGTTGAAGCTGAGCGGCCCACCATCATCACTGAGTATATTAACTCGGGTGTTGGAATTTCCCAGGTGTGTTTAATCTGTATAGCTTTGTATTTTAAGGCAGAACTTTATTCTCAGTTATTCATCTCAAAATGAGAGTTTTCAGAAAAGATCGAGAAAAGGGATGGTCCTTCTGCAAAAGTTCCAAAGTGCACCCTGAATAATAAAAATGCTAAAAACTGGCCGGGTGCGGTAGCTCACGCCTATAATCCCAGCACTTTGGGAGGCCAAGGCGGGCGGATCACGAGGTCAGGAGATCGAGACCATCCTGGCTAACACGGTGAAACCCCGTCTCTACTAAAAATACAAAAAATTAGCCGGGTGTTGTGGCGGGTGCCTGTAGTCCCAGCTACTTGGGAGGTTGAGGCAGGAGAATGGCGTGAACCCGGGAGGCGGAGCTTGCAGTGAGCCGAGATCGCACCACTGCACTCAAGCCTGGGCGACATAGCGAGACTCCGTCTCAAAAAAAAAAAAAAAAAAAAAGAAAAGAAAAGAAAAGAAAAGCTAAAAACTTCCCCCCCCACTTTTTTTTTTTTTTTTTGTGAGATGGAATCTTGCTCTGTTACCCAGGCTGGAGTGCAGTGGTACGATCTCAGCTCACTGCAACCTCCGCCTCCCACGTTCAAGCGATTCTCCTGCCTCAGCCTCCTGAGTAGCCCGGATTATAGGCATGCACCACAATACCCGGCTCATTTTCAAAGTCTTTATCCCCTTGGTATATCACCTGTAACATATGCATTGGAAATCCATTGCATTTCCATTGCTAAAAACAACAATGTGTAAAGTCCTGAACTTGGATTCCCTCAGAAAAATGTAAAGGAGTATAAAATGCAAACTCCAGGTATAAAATGTAAAATATTTCATCTACTGAAAAGAACTGGTGTACACAGTCGGTTATCCTTAACACTTCAGCCTGCAGCCATGGGGAAGGTGTCTGAGCTTTGGATGGAAGTTGCAGCTCCCGGGCAGTATGACCTTGGACAAATCACTAAATGTTCTAAGCCTCAGTTTCCTTATCTGTAAAATGCAGGTAATCATGACTACTTTAAAAGTTGTCATAAAACTTAAAATTAAAAAAAATCTATAAAGCAAGTAACGTGCGTTGTAGGCTTTCATCAAATGGTTATTACTATTGATAATCTGAGTTTAATGTGCCTTTGCCACTTTACTAATCCCTGAGCCATGAGATGGCACAAAGTTGCTGTGAGGATTAAGAGAGATGGGGAGTATTACCCCTATCACAGTGCCTGACTAGAGCAGGCACTTGTTAGATGCTACCACAGGGATGCCTCAGCCAACGGGTGGAGAGAGGTTTTTAACAGAGAGGGAGAGAGAGAGAGAGTGTGTGTGTGTGTGTGTGTGTGTGTGTGATCATGGGCTGAAACTGGATGAGGCAGTCACTTGAGCTGCCAGATAGCCAATTGTCCCTGCATCTCGTTCCCCTTTTTTCTACTCCAGTCCTTGGCAGCAAACCAAGGTCCTACATGACACAGAGAAGTTAGCAACCAAAGCCATTATTATTTTGGTTCAGCTGATAAAAGATTGGCTCTCCCTCAAAAAACTAGACCAGCCAAGTAGGAAAAAAAATTGTTTTCTTAAGAAAACAACAAAACCCAGATGGAATAATCAGAATAAAGAGGAGGTCAGGTCCTACGAGGAGCTAGGATAAATTGGGGGAATCCCTCAGGTTTTTTTTTTTTTTTTTTGGAAGTGCCAGGTCAAATAAGATGGAGATTTACTGGAGTCACACTGCTGTTGGCACCCGCCTAACCCGGGCCTCCTTTTTCTCAAAGACACAGGCCAGATGCCAGCCTTGGCCTCTCTTTGCTCAGGAACTGGCTGACTCCCTGCCCCAGGATTTCACGGCCATGACCTCTCTCTGGGAAAAGTTCCCACTATTTGCTGCTGGGGAAACCAGGACCCCACCCCAGGGCTGGCCAAGGTGAGCAGGCTGAGTTCAAAAGAGACTCACCGGGGACATTTGCAAACACGTCTTCGGTTCCCTGGATAAGGAAAAAGAAGGGAAAAAGTGAGTGCCCCTATCCATCAATAGTCCCCAAAGACAGTGTATTTTTTGTTGTTGCTGTTGTTGTTGCTGCTGTTTTTTGGTTTTACAAAAAATCATTTCAGAACGATCATGGGCTGAAATTGGATGAGGCAAATAGGGAATTGCCTCTACGAATTCTCCTTCCTTTCCCCTATTTCTTTGAGGATTATAACTCTTGAGAGCCGGGTAAGGGCTTCTTATCCATCCTTCGTCTCAAGCATCAATTAAAAAAAATTGCAACTACAGACGCGGGCGAAAGCGGGGAGCCTGCAGACCTGATCCGGCACCTCTCTTGCATGGGACCCAAAGCAGGGTGGGCGGTTCGCCGAAGAGGGCCAAGGACGAACCTCAAACTGATGGTGGTTTTGACTAACCCTCCTGGGCACTTGACTCGGCCACAGCGGCCCCCTCCCGGCGGGCGTTTGTCATGTGTCCAGACATGTGCGCGCGCGCTGCGGGCTTCGTCGACGGAACACACCCGCTGCAGCGGCTCTGGGAACGCGGCTTTGTCTCCCAAAACCTCTCCGAGAGCGCAAGGAGCGGGAAGGGCTTTCTCGCATTCTATCTCCCAGAAAGAAGTGCCTGTACCTGCGGGGCAGCTCGGGAGTCCCAGAAAACTCAACCCCAAGCTCCCCCCTCGCAAGGTCCGCCTGGAGCTAGCAGAGCCAAGGGCAGGAGCGGGGCCGACTCCTTCCCGCCGCGATTCCTCGGGACTTACTGTGGTTGCAGTAAAGGGTGATAACCAGTGACAGGAGAAGGACCCCACAAGTCCCGGCCAAGGGCGCCCAGATGTAGATATCACAGGCGAAGTCCAGCCCCCTCGTGTGCACTGACGACACCAAAGACGCCGACATTTAGGAGAGGGCCCGGGACCTCCCAACCGCCCCACCGTCCCGGGAACGTCTCTCCGCCTCAGATCTCGGTTTCCCACCACTTGGACAGCCCTTGACTCTACCTACAGTATCAGGGCTGTCCCTGGCATGGGCTCTCCCCGCGGTGCGTGCCGCCCCCGCCCCGGGCCCCCGCACGCCTCACCTGCGCCCCCCGCCGCTGGCCGGCACGCCTCTGGGCGCAGGGACAGGGGCTGCGACGCGATGGTGGGCGCCGGTGTTGGTGGTCGCGGCGCTGGCGTCGTGGTGGGCTTCGCTGCAAGAGCAACAGAGCGTGGTTGGGGGCCAGGCTGGGGTTATGGAGGCGCCCCAGCCCCGGCCTCGCGCACCTTTCCCCACGGGGACGCCTCCCCCCGGTTTTCCTGGGAGAAGGGATAGCAGAGGAGACAGGATGGGGACCCCGGGATGCGCGCGGACCCCTGTGCTCGGGCCTCGGCTCAGCCCAGCGCACCCGGCGCCCAGAGCCGGAGCGCAGGAGCCAGCTCCCCTGCACCTGGCCTCTCTCCCGGGCTGAACCAGCAACCCTGGAGCGCGGGTTGATTGCTGTCCGCATTTTACCCACGAGCAAACGGAGGCGCAGATAATTTAAGTCATTTGCCCAGAATCACACAAGAATCCGAACTCGAGTCCAGATCGGCCGGACGTAAAAAGCCATCCCCAGTCCCTACTCAGCCTCGCGTTAGCCTCAGTTTGCTGTGTCTGTGAAATGGGAACAGTATCTAAGTCGCTTCCAGGTGCGCTAAGAGGCTTGAAAGCAGGGCCCAGGTGTGGAAAACAGGTTGAGGTGAACCCCAAGCCCCACGCGGAGAGGTGCCGCAACCCGGCGCGCGGACCTGGCAGGAAGACCGGCACGAAGTGGCTGAAGTACATGATGGAGTTGCTCAGGGCCGAGCAGAAATAGTAGCCCTCGTTCTCTCGGCGGAAGTCGCTCAGGGTGAGGACGAAGGTGTCCCCCAACCTCTTGCCCGAGAACCGCTGGGTGTCCAGCCCCTCGGCCGCCTTGGGCTTGTTTTGGGAGAGGTATAGGAGGAAGGTGGGACTGGCGGCGGCGCCGCGCGGCTGGAAGAGCCACGAGCAGCCCGACGTCGGGTTGGACAGCAGCACCTGGCACTTCAGCTCCACTGTCTCGCCCAGGTTCCAGGTCCGATCCAGCGGCGACACCCGGAACTGGCTCGGCCTGGCGGCGTCTGCAGGCGGCAAGCAGCGAGGCTGAGCCCGCAGTCCCGCGCCCCCCGCCCCCCGCCCGCCCCATCCCCTGCCTTCCCGGGCGTCTCAAACTCACGGAGCAGCAAGGCCAGCGGCAGGAGCAAGGCGGTCACTGGTAAGGCCATGACGCGCTCCCCAGGACGCTGCTTGGCTCGAAGCTCGGGCGCGAGGGGAGGCGCGCGGGAGCCGGTGGGGCGCCGAGGGGGGAAAGTTGCGCCCTTCGGCCGGCCCGGAGCCTGATTTCGCATTTGGAGGATGTGATGTCACCCGAAGCCCCCGCCGAGGAGAGTCACCCTCCTTTTCGCGGTTGTCGCCTTCCAGCCCGGCGAGGAGGCTGGGGCCCGTGAATAGGGCCGTCGAGGCAGCCTGGCCAGGCAACTGGGGGCAGCTGAAAACTGCGGGTTTGGGGATGAGGAAAAGGGCTTGGAAATAGTCCTTGGAAATGGTTGTCTTGTGAGAGTGACAGAGTGGGTGAAGGGAGACCAAAGATTTCAAGAAGTGAGGGCGAGAGTAGGCAGCAAAGGAGGGGAGTGTCCCTTCCTTTGCCTTCACTAAAGGCGTCTCTTGTACTGTCACCTTGGGACTTTTTATTGGCAAAATGGGCACTGAGGGCTGAAAAGGAAGAGGAACTAGCGACCTGCCCGCTTCTGAGGAACTCGCTAGAGCAGCCCCAGTTTTCACCGAGGAAGGACCCTCTCCCTTCCCCCAGGAGATTTCCATGAGAGCGGCAGCAGCCGAAGCTTTGGGTGTCGGTGTCAGTGCGCTGCTGACCTCATTCTTCCGGCCTTTCATCCAGCGGCTAAACTCACCACACAGCCTCATCTCTTCTTGGAGCCATTGCAACAGCCTTCAATTCACACCAGTCTCTCTCCTGATCAGTCCTCCAGCCACGTTGTTATAAAAATTATTATTCTCACAAAGGGGATCTGACAGCGTCACTGCTGCAGCCTCCCATGGCCTGCATTGCTGGATGGAAATTCAACCCCCAGCTTGGTTGACCAGCCCTTGGGTGCTGGCTCCTCCCAGCCTCCGCACAGCCCCCTGCCCTGCCTTTCCCATACACCTGCAGCTGCAGCTTCACAGGCTTGAAGTCATTCAACCCCTGCGCTCTGTGCTTTCACGCCCTTGCACTTGCGGTCCCTCGGCCTGGAATGCTGGTCTGTTTAAGCCCTGGAGGCAGCTCCTGTGCTGTCTCATTTGGACCTCATTTCTTTCACCCCCAGCTCTGGGTGCTCTGCAGGGAGGTGTGGGTGATGTGGGTGAATGCTTGGGTAGAGGCGGTTTTCTCTTTTCTGTCCCTAACACATGTGTGTCCCCTTCCTTTTTGTTTCTTTAAAAAATAAAATAAAATAAAAAAGACTGGAGTCTCGCTGTTTTGCTCAGGCTGGCCTTGGGACTCCTGAGCTCCAGTGATCCTCCCACCCCAGCCCCCTGAGTAGCTGGGACTACAGGCTCATCTTTCCTTTTTGACTGTTGCTGTCCTGAAACCTTCCAGCTCCAGTGGCATGCCCTCTTCCCATTTCTTCAGGGTTTCTGAGTCTTTCCACTTTGAATCCCATAGTGGCTGCACCTCACATTGCTACTGCTTGATCCTAGAGACAAGACACCTGGCATTCTGTGTTCCATGTGTCTGCCCCACCCATTAGTTCTGCTGGGCGAGGACCATGCCGAGACTTCATGATGTGTCCTCCATCCCCAGAAACACAGCATGGGCTGAGCTGTGCTTGTTGAACTGCATTCTCCTTGTCCTTGTGAAGTACAAACTTAAGTGTTGGATGGGTTCTTTGTCGTTGTTGCTATTTTTTTTTTTGAGATGGGGTCTGGCTGTGTTGCCCAGGCTGGAGTGCAGTGTGGCACCACCTCGGCTCACTGCAGCCTCTACCTCCCAGGCTCAAGTGATCCTTCCACCTCAGCCTCCCAAGTAGCTGGGACCACAGGAGCACACCACCATGCCCAGCTAATTTTTTGTATTTTTGGTAGAGATGGGGTTTCACCATGTTGCCCAGGCTGGTCTCCAATGCCCGAGGTCAGGCGCTTTGCCCCGCCTTGGCCTCCAAAGTGTTGAGATTACAGGTGTGAGCCACCATATCAGGGCCTGGATGGGCTTTTTTTTTTTTTTTTAATTATTTTGATTTCAGTACCTCCTTCCAGCTCCCTCAAAGCATCCAAGATGCTTATTCTAGCATGGAACATGTAACATTTTATATTCAGAAATTTTTAAAAATGTCTTTTAAGTGACAACAGTGCAATATATTCTTGTACGAAAACAAACACAAAGTTCCCTGTCTCAACTCTCCTCACTGTCACCTGCTCCCCACAGAAAACCACTGTTACAGTTGAATGTGTCCCTTAGATATTATCTGTACATAAACAGATGTTTATACATCATCTTAGACACATGGGATTGTATGAGATAAATATTTTTTTGCAACCTATCTTGTTTCACAGTAGAAGGAGAGCGTTCAGCAGATGAAGATCCACCCCATTCTTATAAATGGGTGCATTATATATGGGTGTTCCATAATTTAATTCTGCTGTTAGTGGACATTTAGGCGATTTCTCATTATTGCAACACTAGCAAGGCTGTGGTAGATATAATGTATCTGTATCACTGAGGGCTTGCACCAGTACCTGCAGCTTTTTCAAATGGGAGATGAGGGAGTTGGGGAAGAAAACACCTTTACAATGATGGTTATAACTGGCCTATCGATGTATGCATGTGTGTGTGTGTGTGCATGGTATGAGGGTCCCTCGCTGTGTAGACACAGTGCTGTCCCTCAACTCACATGAATGAGGGAGACAAGGAAGCAATCAAGTCCAGACAGGCCACCAACACATCAATTCTTGCTGTAGATGGTAGTTTGCCATTTTGCTCAGCACCACCAGCACTGTATCAGGAGTGTCAAATGGCCCTGCTGGCCAAAGGCTACAATCAACAGGGTGGTAAGGAAGATGGCTAGACACGAAACTGCACTTGCCCAGTGGTGGAAGCACTGAGGGGGCCAGAGTCAACCTCCACCTATTTGGATCTTGAGAATCAGGCCCCTGAGTGTGATGATGGCCAGATTTGGGGGTGTACTGCTTTAAAATAGACTAGTTCCATCTTAGTCTCACGGAAATCAGCTTGGGGGCCTTCTAGCCCTGCAGCTCAGAAAAGTGTCAGCCAGTGGGGTGGCAGCCCCTTTGTACAGAGCACCATGGGGGTTGGGGTGGGGAGGATAAGGCAACATGTCAAACCCATCAAGGAGGCTTTGTGACCCCAGTGATATTTTTTGCAGAACGTGGTGGATTTTCGATGTGACCACAATGACATCCGCCTTGCAGTGGCAGAACAGATGCAATTGCACAAGTTCTGGAGAAACTTTCTGTAGACCAGGTGTGCAGAGGGCTGGGTTGGGCCTGTCCATCACTGCCAGGTAAGTTCCCAAACCCCACACTGTAGCACTGACTTGGGATGGCATGAAGAAATGTGAATGACTGCACTCCTTTAAGCAAGCCCCTTATTTAAAAAAATATCCAGAAGTAGATAGAGTAAGATAGTAACCAGTTTCTATGCTGATTTAAACTGGTCCATGGAAATGGAAAACTTTAATGTAGATTAAAGACATATTCAAAATGCAAAACCGGGCAGAGCAGTGGTAGGAAATCCATCAGGGTTCTGTGCCACTGCTCCTAAGACATGAACTGCAGGGACAACTTGGAATCATGGCTGGGAAATTGCCTGCTGTGTCCCCATCGCCAATTCAGGTCTATGGAGATGTTACTGTTCTTGGAAGGAGTTAGCTTGTCCAGGGCTAGAAACTCTAGAGTTATCAGGGCTTGTTTTATCTTAATTGGAAATACCAATCAATTTGGCCTCACTTCTGTCACCTTTCTTTTCCTCCACCCCGAGTTCCCCAAGTTCATCTAGCTGCTGTCCTTCTTTCCTGGACTTTTGCAATGGCCTCTTAACTGGCCAACCCCATTTCTGCTCTGGTCCCTTCTAGAGAAAATCTCATCATGCCAACCCCCTGCTTCAACCTGAAAGGACTTCCTGGTGTCCCTAGTAGAATGTCGGGGATCCCTAATGTTGCCTGTGAGGCCCTGCACACTTGGTTTCATAGTCTCTGTCCTCTTGTCTGTCACCTTCTTCACTCCTCCTAGGTTCCGCATCTCTCATTTCTCAAGCGGACCCTAGTCCTTTCCACTTCAGAGCCATTAAACATGCTATTCCCTCAGCCAAGAATGTTCTCACCTCTGCTCTCTGCTTACCAAACTCCTCTCCCTTAAGACCCAGCTCAAGCATCTCCTTCCTGTGGGGTTTAGCTCCTTCCCCCTCCCACTCCCAGACAGTACAGACCACATCCTTCTCTTCTCTGTGTCACCCGGACCTTGGGTATCTGCAGACTGGAGCACAATGGTTTGTTTGCCTGTCCAGCTTGACAACCAAACCCTTGGTCCCTTGAGGAAGGAGCCTTGTCCCTCTCATGTTTACACCAGGGTGCCAAACAGAGGGCTTGGCACACACTTGAGTGGCACACACTCAAGAAATTCTTGCTCAGTAAAAGCTAAAGGAAGGTAGAAGTAGGGTACAGCAGACCAGAGGAGGCTTAGATAGTTCATTCCAAGTAAGAGTGGTCAGGAAAGGCTTCACATATAGTTGGGTTTGAAGATAAAGGAAGAATTAGGAGAGAGGTTGTTTAGAATGAGGCATTTGATATGTCTGATCAAGATCAGCTGATACCATGCTTTAACATATAGCAATGGTATAGTTAAAAACAAAAGAAGAGGAGGAAGGGGAGAAGGCAGATGTACTCAAAAGCAAGATAAACGTCTTCAAGGATGTAGTTGCAGGACAATGGCTGGAATCAGGGGCTGGCTTGCTGGGATCTGTTCTTAGCAAACCATTCTTGGGCCTGGGTCTTGAGGGTCTGTTCTTAGTGTAGAGGCACCAAGAGTTTGACTCCTTCAGCTAACAGAGTTTCACAGTGCTTTGCCTATAGAGGAAGGCTGGAGCCAGGCTCTCTGCTTGAAACAGGGATTTGGATCTGATTTTCTCTTGATTGAAAGAGAGCCCACAGCCACCCATGTAAGGCCTAGTTCTGACTGTGGGCCCTGGAAAGTCAGAGGCTACTTTAAAAAACTCAGGAAAAGAGAGAGTAAAGAGAGGAAGAGATTTTCAAAAATTTCTATTCAAGATAACCCTGCACACACACTCGAAATTCAAAGTATACATAAAAAAGACTCAACAAGTGGAATGTGAATTCACTTCCAAAAAGAGGCAAATTATTGAACAATTTGAAAAATGTTTAAAACAAAGAGAACAACAAATGTAGAAAATGCAGAAATTAAAGAAGAACAGTTGAAGATGATAAATACTGAGCATACTGGAAATGAACACTCTACATATTAAACAAGGATATACTCTAGGTTGGACATAGTTGAAGGGATAATTAATGAATTGGAAGCTAGCATTGAGAAATTCATAGAGAATGCAACACAGGGAGATGAAGACAGAAGCAGTTTGAAAAAGCTGTTGAGATGTATATTAGCATGGTGAAGTGTTTAATAGGATTTCAGAAAGGGGAGAACAAAGGGAATGTGGAGAAGAAATATGGGAAGAAAGCATGGCTGAAAATTTTTCACAATTAAAGACAAACATTCTCAGATCAAAAATACTCTTAGTGCCAAGTATAAAAACATATACATCTTTGCACATATCAAGGTGAATTATAAACATCAAGAGTAAAGAGAAGAGGGCATCCCAGGAAGCTAGGATGTTTGAAATATAATTGGGAGAATCCTTGTTGCAGTTTGGATTGGGCAGAGAGGGTAAGAAGCTGAACTGTAATGGGGAAAAATATACACATTTTGGTTACACCTTGCATTGACTCTCTGTCATCCCCTCCCTTGGTGCTGACACATGCTTACTGTAAAACTGATCCAATGATCCCATAGAGTTGATGTTTGTGGTTTCTTTGAATAAACATATAAATTGATCCTTGCCTTCTTAAAACCTGAGAAAGTTACATTTGTCTTATCTGAGTTCCTTTCTAGGGAAACCAACTATCAGGCCTCCCAGATGGTAGCAATGAGCTGAAACTCACCAGATCACTTATTATGAACAATAAGACGTCAGACTCTTCACCTGGTATGATGGCCTAACTAACCTCCTGTTTCCTGTTGTCCAACTCCTTTTCCTTACTCCTCCCAACTTCCTGTTTTCCCACACATGATTACATGTCTTCCCTGCTATATAAACCCCTTAATTTTAGTCAGGTCAGAGGGATGGATTTGAGACTGATCTCCTATCTCCTTGGCTGCAGCACCTGACTAAATTCTTCTTCCTTGGCAATACTTGTTGTCTCAGTGATTGGCTTTCTGTGAGGTGAGCAGAAGGACCTAGATGGATCCCCCGGTGTTTCGGTAACAAAATTGTTTTGGATCTTTAATCTCAGTAACACTGAAACAGAAGCGTTCTGAATGCAACTGGAGAGCCAGGATTTGAGTTCAGAAGAGGGGTCAGGGCTGGGGATGTAGCCTTGGGAAGGAGGTGATAAGTTGTGAGAGTGGGTGTCATTGCAAAGGGAGGTGGTGTGGAAAGAACATACAGAAGAGTATATGGAACCTTCAGGGAAGGCTCGTATTGAAGAGCAGGAAATAAAACATTGGCAAGGAATCCAGGTAGTGCAGGAAATTCAGAATGGGGCTTGAGAAGGTGGAAGAACTTCACAGGGGAGGTTTGGGCTATAAGAGAAGCACAGAGAGGACATCAAAGCCTGTGGCAGGTAGAGATTGTAAGCTCATGTCTGCCCCTGACCCACATGAGGATGTCCCACATGTTTGCCATTGGTGGATGATAAGATGAGGAGGACTCACAGGAGAAAGGCCAACAAGGGAGGGTAGGGGCAGCATGGGGACTTGTGGAGGGCAATGTCAGATGAAGTGATGTTGACTTCTGAACTTCATTCATTATTCACTCATTTAAATATTTCTGCTATTCACTTTTTTAAAAAAAAGTTTTGAAAACATTTTAACATAGAACAATATGTCAAATAATATAAAATGCCCACTCTTTATAAGTGTTAGCATTTTGTCGCATTTCCTTCACATGAACATTACAGATAAAACTGTACCCTCCCAAGTACCACCCCACCCGCCTTCTCATGAAAAGCTAAATTTGGAGTTTTGTTCATTAATTATGACAGAAAGATGGTAAGTTTTTTAATTTTTAATCTGTTAACCTTTCCTATGGAGCTGAGAGAGAAGGATGCCGAATGTCCAATGAGTGTGGATTTGTCTATTTCTCCTTTTAATTCAGTTCATATTTTGTCTCCTATATTTTGAAGCTTTGTTATTAGGTGCATACACATTTAGAATTGTGCCTTCTGGATGAATTCACTCTTTTATCATTATGAAATGTTCGTCTTTACCTCTGCCTCTGGTAATACTTTGTTGTGAAGTCTACCTTTTATTCATAAGGAACAGAGCTTTCTTTCTTTTTTTTTTTTTTGAGATGGAGTTTCCCTCTTGTTGCTCAGGTTGGAGTGCAATGGCACGATGTTGGCTCACCGCAACCTCCACCTCCCAGGTTCAAGCTATTCTCCTGCCTCAGCCTCCCGAGTAGCTGGGATTACAGGCATGCACCACCACGTCCGGCTAATTTTGTATTTTTAGTAGAGACAGGGTTTCTCCATGTTGGTCAGGCTGGTCTCGAACTCCCAACCTCAGGTGATCCACCTGCCTCAGCCTCCCAAAGTGCTGGGATTACAGGCATGAGCCACTGTGCCCGGCCAGAAACACAACTTTCTTATGCTTCCCGTTTGCATAATGTATCTTTTCCTTTTTCTTTTTTTTTTTTGAGGCAGAGTCTAGCTCTGTTGCCCAGGCTGCAGTGCAGTGGTGCGATCTCATCTCACTGCAACCTTTGCCTCCAGGGTTCAAGCAATTCTCCTGTCTCAGCCTCCTGAGTAGCTAGGACTACAGGTGCACGGCACCATGCCCAGCTAATTTTTATATTTTTAGTAGAGATGGGGTTTCACTATGTTGGCCAGGCTGGTTTTGAACTCCTGACCTCAGGCAATCTGCCCACCTGGCCTTCCAAAGTGCTGGGATTACAGGCATGAACCACTGTGCCCAGCCTGCATAATGTATCTTTTTCTATCCATTTACTTTCAACTTCCCCTTCTCTGTTTTGAAATGTTTACTAGATATGTATACATGTATATGTGTATATATATCTATAAATGCTATATAATTTTATTTTCTGAGAGTTTCAAAATACAGAAATGTCATCATATTGTGTGTCTTTGAGCTATGTTGATACATATAGATTTATTTTAAATGCTGTGTGGTGTATTATCCTGTGAATGTGCCACAGTTTCATGTTCAGTGGTTCTTGAACCAGAGTGTTCATCTCTCTGGAAGTATATGGAGGCTGTCCTTGGGGATACACATAATTTTAAGGAAATTGTTTTCCAGATTCTCAACTCCCATTGGTTCTCTTCTCATAAAATGGACCTGCCCAAGAACAAGTCCCTGTGTTTAGGCTTTGTGCTCGTTCTCCTTTCTGGCCTATTCTTTCATGATTATTTTATTTCCCACTTTAAAACTGAAAGGCAAACTTCCCGCCCTCCTGTTCCTTACTATGCTCCAGAGGTGGGCACGTAATCCTCTGGGCCACCAATAAAAAGACAAATCCAAACATTTTTCATGTAATTTCCATCCGTTAGAAATTGCCAAAGAATGCATTTCTCCTGAGCAGAGTCCCCAGTATCCAGGTAGAGTCATCTGGGGGCCGGGCACGGTGGCTCACGCTTGTAATCCCAGCACTTTGGAAGGCCGAGGTGGGCGGATCACGAAGTCAGGAGATCGAGACCATCCTGGCTAACACGGTGAAACCCCATCTCTACCAAAAATACAAAAAATTAGCCGGGCACGGTGGCGGGCGCCTGTAGTCCCAGCGACTCGGGAGGCTGCGGCAGGAGAATGGCTTGAACCCGGGAAGTGGAGCTTCCAGTGAGCCAAGATCACACCACTGCACTCCAGCCTGGGCGACAGAGCGAGACTCTGTCTCAAAAAAAAAAGAAAGAAAAGAGTCATCTGGGAGGGATGCAGGAGGCAGAGTGCCTCACAGCAGGCTTTGGGGCCTCATCCCTCTACTCAGCTCTCTATCATCGAGCTAGAATTCAGAGGTGAGACAGTCATTATGAGGATGCATATTAACGTGTTCATTATGATTACAAAAGGAATCAGAATTCTTTTTTTTTTTTTTAACAGAAATTAAGTCTGAGTTGTTAATTGGTTTGACATTGAAGACCAGCTTTGCCAATGAGGTTAATGGCAGTATTTTAACTTTCCTTGAATCTAGTGAGCTAAATCTTTAGCTCCAAGGTTTTGATGAGAATCAAGTTTAGCGCTAAAGAAACAGCTTAGAAAAAGAAAGAAAAGAAAACACTTTTAACAAGTTTAAAATCTATGATAAGATAAAAGCATTTTGGCCAGGTGCGGTGGCTCATGCCTGTAATCCCAGCACTCTGGGAGGCCGCAGTGGGTGGATCACAAGGTCAGGAGTTTGAGACTAGCCTGGCCAACATGGTGAAACCCCGTCTCTACTAAAAATACAAAGAAAATTTAGTCGGGCATGGTGGCAAGCGCCTGTAATCCCAGCTACTCAGGAGGCTGAGGCAGGAGAATTGCTTGAACCCAGGAGGTGGAGGTAGCAGTGAGCCGAGATCACACCACTGCACTCCAGCCTGGGCGACAGAAAAAAAAAAAAAGAAAGAAAAAAAAAGATAAAAACATTATATCACAATATTGTTTGTATTGGAATTTGTCTTGAAATTAAATTAAAAATATTTCTAATACCCCAACACTTTCCAAGTTAATCAATTTCAGCAATCGTTTTTAAGTGAAAGAAGAATGATGTCATTGATGGCTACTTGGTAGGCTTCGGTAAAACCTAGTTTAGGGCTTCCAAAACCCAAGAAAGTGAATAAATCTAAAAATGGTAACAAACCCATGTGCAGGTCAGTGGTTCCCAAGTGTTTGCTTTCAACAAAATTGGAAGAAGGCCTTCTAGATTTGGCAACTATCACAGGTTGAATTGTGTCCCCCCAAGTATATTTGTTGAAGTCTTATACTCTAGCATCTCAGAATGTGACCTTATTTGGAGACAAGGTCCTTACAGAGGTAATCAAGTTCAAATGAGGCCAATAGGATGGGTCCTAATCCAATATAACTGGTGTCCTTGTGGAAAGGGGCAATCAGGACACACACACAGAGAACATCATCTGAAAACAAGGCAGAGATGGGGTGATGTTTCTACAAGTCAAGGAATGCCAAAGATTGCCAGCAACTGACTAGAAGCTAGGTGAGAAGCATGGAACAAATTCCTTCTGTAGCCCTCAGAAGGAACACACCCAGCTGACACCTTGATCCTGAACTTCTAGCTTCTAGAACTGTGAGGCAATAAATTTCTTTTGTTGAAGCCACCTAGTTTGTGGTACTTTGTTAAAACAGCCCTGGCAAACTAATACAGCAACTAATAGATCATTAAAATTAATTTTTGATGATAGATAACATTGTCTCCCTCCCTCCCTGCCTCCCTCCCTTCCTTCCTTCCTTCCCTCCTTCCCGCTCTCTTTCTCTCTCTCTTTTTCCCTTTCTCCCTTTCTCTCTCTCTCTCTCTTTCTCCCTTGGAGAAAGGGTCTTGCACTTTCGCCCAGGCTGGAGTGCAGTGGAGTCACTGCAGCCTCAACCTCCTGGGCTCAAACAGTCCTCCCACCTCAGCCTCCCAAGTAGCTGGGACTATGGGTGCACACCATCATACCTGGCTAAATTTTTGTAGAGATGGGGGTTCACCATGTTGCCCAGGCTGGTCTTGAACTCCTGGACTCAAGGAATCCATCCATCCACCTTGGCCTCCAAAATGCTGGGATTACAGACGTGAGCCACTGCACCTGGTTCATGCTTTTGTCTTTTTGAAAAAAAAAGGAAAAAGTTAAAAGATTTAGTGATTCTGCTGTAACAAAGCCAACTATTTATTTATGGAGACAAAATTTCTCAGTACTTACATTGTATGACAAACAAAAGCAAAACAAAATTAATACTGAACTCTGTCTCATTCTAGCAATCAATAAATAAAATAAATCCTGTTATTTTATGGGTTCATTAATTAATTGGACCACAAAATTCATTTGTGGGGGGTCCATTTCATTAAGAGCTGAATTTTCCCCCAAAATTATGTTTTAAAAAGCTTTTTTTGAGATAATTGTAGATTGACATGCACATACAAGAAAGGGTACAGAGAATTCCATACCCTTCACCCAGTTTCCCCTAACAAAGGTTACTTTTATATTTATTTATTTATTTTTAGAGACAGAGCATTCTTCTGTTGCCCAGGCTGGAGTGCAGTGGTGTGATCTGGGCCCACTGCAACCTCCGCCTCCTGGATTCAAGTGAGTCTCTTGCTTCAGCCTCCCTAGTAGCTGGGATTACAGGCACCCGCCATCATGTCTGGCTAATTTTTGTATTTTTAGTAGAGACAGGATTTCACCATGTTAGCCAGGCTGGTCTCAAACTCCTGAACTCTAGTAATCTGCCTGCCTCGGCCTCCCAAAGTGCTGGGATTACAGGTGTGAGCCACCATGCCTGGCCAAAGGTTACTTTTAATGTTCATTAATTTTGAAGACTTGCAGTTTATTTATGCTATAAAGGACAATTGTGCACTATTAATAGTCGCAATGATGACATAATCTAAGACTTTTAATATTTAGAAACTTATGGTTGCAGGAAATTAAAAATTCATCTCATGTGCTTTTTTGGCAGAGAAGTATGAAATATTGATCAATATAAGGTCCTTAAGCATATGCACCTATTAAACTTTTATGGAGGAAGTAGAATAGAATTCATAAGTCCATTTGTTTTTACTCTTTATTTTTTTGAGACAGAGTCTCACTCTGCCGCCCAGGCTGGACCGCAGTGGCACAATCTCCACTCACTGCAACCTCTGCCTCCTTGGTTCAAGTGATTCTCGTGTCTCAGCCACCTGAGTAGCTGGGATTGCTACTCAGGTGTGCACCACCACACCCGACTAATTTTTGTATTTTTAGTAGAGATGGGATTTCACCCCTTTGGCCAGGTTGGTCTTGAACTCTTGGCCTCAAGTGATCTGCCTGCCTTGGCTTCCCAAAATGCTGGGATTACAGGTGTGAACCATCGCGCCTGGCCTAGAATTCATAAGTTTAAGGAGAAAAAGGAGTGATGAAAAATTTCCAAAAGTTAAGAACTTTTTCTTGTATTTTAAAAATGAGTGACGGTTGAAACAAAATTGATATATTATTTATGTGCTATTAGAAATAATTAAAAAGAATAAGGTTTTCTTTTTTAAAAATCAACATTTACTTTGGAAATTATGTCCTTTATAGTGATGAAAAATGTTTGATGTCAAGTTAAAAGTGAGTAAAGAAGTACATTCATTTTATAACAGCATTTTTCACAGTAGCTAAAATGTGGTAGCAACCCAAGTGTTTATTACTGGATGAATAGATAAACAAAATGTGGACTCAGGCATCTCTCTTCTGGGCTCATACCCAAAGGAAATGAAATCACCACCTCACCAAGGTATCTGTACTCCTGTGTTTATTGTAGCATTATTCATAATAACCAAGATATGGAGACAACCTAGACAACCATCAATGGACGAATGGTTTAAGAAATTGTGGTACGGATATATACAAGGGAATTCAGCCTTAAAAAAGGAGGAGATAGCATTTGCCATAACCTAGACGGGCCTGGAGGACATTATGCTAAATGAAAGAAGCCAGACACAGAAAAAAAATATTGCACGATCTTACCTGTATGTGGAATCTTTTATTTATTTATTTTCTTAGACGGAGTCTCACTCTGTTGCCCACGCTGGAGTGCAGTGGCGCAATTTTGGCTCACCGCAACCTCTGCCTCCTGGGTTCAAGTAATTCTCCTGCCTCAGCCTCCTGAGTAGCTGGGACTACAGGCACCTGCCACCACACCTGGCTAATTGTATTTTTAGTAGATATGGGGTTTTGCCATGTTGGCCAGGCTGGTCTCAAACTCCTGACCTCAGATGATCCACCTGCCTTGGCCTCCCAAAGTGCTGGGATTACAGGTGTGAGCTACCATGCCTGGCCTGTGGAATCTTTTAAAAAGGTCAAATATATAGAGAATAAAACAGTGGTTATCAAGATTGGAGTAGGAGAGAGGAAATGGGCAGATGTAGGCCTAAGGATACGAAGTAGCAAACATATAGGATGAACAAGTCAAATAAAGTACAATATGAAGACTACAATTAATAATAGCATATTATTCCAGGATTTTTGCTAGATGAGCATAGTTGCTTTTGCTACAGGAGGAAATAAATGGGTAACTAAGTGAGATGATGCATAAGTCAATTTGTTTCACTATAGTATCCATTCTACTAAATATGTGTGTCTTATACCATGATGTTGTATATACCTTATATATACACAATAAAATTTATTTAAACAAACAAAATGTGGTATATACATAGAGTGGAATATTATTCAGCCTTAAAAAGGAAGTTCTGACACATGCCACAATATGGATGAATCTTGAGGATATTATGCTAAGTGAATTAAGCCAGTCACAAAAAACCAAATACTGTATGATTCTATGTATTTGAGGTATTTAAAGTAGTCAAAATAATAGAGACAGAAAGTAGAATGGTGGTTGGGACAGGCTGGGGAGAGGGAGGAGTGGGAGTTATGTTTAACGGTTATAGAGTTTTAGTTTTTCTAGATGAAAAGAGTTAGAGAGAAGGATGGTGGTGAAGGTTGCACAACAATGTGCATGAACTTAATACCACTGAACTGTACACTTAAATGTTAAAATGGTAAGATTGTTATGTGTATTTTGCCACAATAAATTAGTATTATTATTTTTTTTAGAGACAGAGTCTAGCTCTGTCAACCAGGTTGAGTGCATTGGTGTGATAACAGCTCACTGCAGCCTCCAACTCTTGAGCCCCCAACTCCTGGCCTCAAGCAGTCCTCCTGCCTCAGCCTCCCAAAGTGCTGAGATTACAGGGGTGAGCCATTCACTGTTCCTTGCTAAATCTTTTTTTTTTTTTTTTTTTTTTTTTTGAGACAGAGTCTCGCTCTGTCACCCAGGCTGGAGTGCAGTGGTGCGATCTCAGCTCGCTGCAAGCTCCACCTCCTGGGCTTAAATGATTTTCCTACTTCAGCTTCCTGAGTAGCTGGGATTACAGGCACACGCCACCATGCCTGGCTAATTTTTGTATTTGTAGTAGAGACAGAGTTTTGCCATGTTGGCCAGACTGGTCTCGAACTCCTGACCTCAAGTGATCCACCTGCCTAAGCCTTCCTAAGTGTTGGGATTACAGGCATGAGCCACCACACCTGGCCTAAATTTTTTTTTTTAATGAGTGAAGGAGTCCATAGTCTTTCATACTTTGGGGTGATACAAGAAAAGGAAAAAGGTTTAATGACAACTGCCACTTTCATTTATTCATTCCTTTGTTGATGTACTTTTGGGCTGGGTTTTGCTGTTATAAGCTAAACTACAATGGACATCCTTGTACACATTCCCTAGAGTCCAAGTACAAGATTTTCTCTAGGGTGTTTTCCTGGAAAAGGAATGACTTGAGGAGTATGGCAACCTTGTGAGAAATGACTGATTCGAAAGATGTGTCCCATAGCTTTTGATACATTTTTCTCCGAAGTCATGGTTCCAGTCCACACTCACACCAGCTGTGGAGGAGTTTTCATTTACCCACGAGCTTTGTTATTTCTGGTTTTGTCAGTCTTTTCAATTCTGCCAATCTCATAGGGTGTGATGGTATCTCGTTGTTTAAACCTGACTTCTCTTGTTAAGGTTGAGACCGAGCATCTGGCCCCATGTTTGCTGGCTATTCAGCTTTCCTCTTCTGCAGACTGCCCGTTTGTCCACTGCTCTGTTTCAGTAACTTCCATATACCAAGAACTCTCTGCCTTCCATAACTCACATCACTTAAAATACGAATTTTTTTGATGCTTAGAGAACCTGATTTCCTTCCAACCAATTGTGCTCTCCTAATTCCAACAACCAAATGAAGCTTCAACTCTTCTTTTTGTTCAGAGCCCTCCTGAGTCCTGTCCTACTCACAGTAAAGGCTGTGGCAAAATAAATAAATAAGTAAATAAAGGGGAAAAATACACTGCATCCAAAAAAGGCTCGTTTCTTTTTCTTTCTTTCTCTCTCTCTCTTTCTTTTTCTTTTTCTCTTGTTGTGACAATTGTCACAACAAAATGTGTATGTGACAATTTGTTATCTTAAAACAGTTTACCCAAAATAGAAACCTTACAAAGCCAGTGGAAACTTTTCTTTTTGCATAAGTTGGTTAATTCTTTTGAGTGCTGGCCTGGGATCCATGAAATAACCTCAACTCGACCATAAAACTTTTCACTCCCACGTTATGCAAACGGTGATGACCTTGTTGGTGGCAAGCCCCCCGTGTGACTTTCCGAGGGGATCTGAGTGGTGCAAGGTGGAGGACGCAGTGATGGAAACATTGCGAGAGGGAAGGCGTCTGTTTCCACCCACTTACCCTCAGAGCATGAGGGCTGGGCGAAGGCTCTGACTCCTGTAGGGGGTGACCCATTTCTAGGACTATAGAAGGAGAGGTGTGGACCTGGAAAAAGGAAGGAAAGACCACGGCAAGGAAAGTCAAGAAGTGGGAGAAGTCAAGGGCTCTCTCCTCCCTTCCTCCTTGTCCTTGGCCTGCAGCAACTCCTCTTTCTCTTTTTGTGGGGACAGACTGAAGAGGATTTCTTAGTATGGTTTGTACCTTCCCAGTAGAGCAGGAAAAAGAGGAACGAGCTGCTCCCTCCACACCTCAGACGCTGAGGTCAACTGCCCTTTGGGCGGGGCACGTTGGCTCACGCATCTAATCCCAGCACTTTGGGAGGCCGTGAGGGGAGCATCACTTGAGCCCAGGAGTTGGAGACCGGCCTGGGCCACATAGTGAGGCCCCATCCTCCGGCTTGCACCACTCAAATTCCCTCGTAAAGTCACACGGGGAGCTTGCCCCCAGCAAGGTCGTCAGTTTGCAAAACATGGGAGTGAAAAGCTTTATGGTGGAGTGTAGGTTATTTCATGGATCCCAGGCCAGCACCCAAAAGAATTAACCATCTTGTGCAAAAAGAAAATTTTCCACTACTTTTTTAAAGTTTCTATTTTGGGTAAATCGTTTCAAGATAACAAATTGGAGAGAGACCTAGAGAGAAATGAGCCTTTTTAAGATGCAGTTTATTTTGCCCCATGATGTTTTTGTTTTTGTTTTTGCCAGAGCCTTTACTGTGAGTAGGACAGGACTCAGGAGGCCTCTGAACAAAAAGAAGCGTTGAAGCTTCATTTGGTTGTTGGAATTGGGAGAGCACAATTGGTTGGAAGGAAATCAGGTTCTCTCAAAAAATAAAATAAAATAAAATAAAAAAAAAAGCCAGCGTGCTGGCGCGGGTCCATGGTCCAAGCTACTTGGGAGGCTGAGGTGGGGGGATCGCTTGAGCCCGGAAGTCGAGGCTGTAGTGAGCCGTGATTGCACCACTGCACTCCAGCCTGGGCGATAGAACAAGACCCTGTCTCTTAAAACAAACAAGAAACAAAACAAAACAAACAACAAAAAAATTCATTTGGGAATGTTTCTGCGCGTGCCCATAAGCAGAGCCATGCTATAGGATCTCCCCTGTGCCCCAACAATCAGCTTCTTACTTGGAGGGTAGAGAACGGTGCTTCCCCACGCTGCTGTGCAATGGATAGGAGCTATGTGAAGCTGGCGTATGGGTGGGGTTTGCAGGCTTCGTCCGGCTTCATCGCCGGCTGCTGACCCGGCACCAATTCCTGTTCTGCAGGTCTCACCGCAGAGGGGCACGCCAGCCATGAGGACAGATGAGGGAACACGTGATGCCACGATGGGGGTGCCAGGATGAGGTGGGTGCGGTCGCGGACAGGCGCACGAGGAGCCCAGCGGAGCGCCACCCGGAGCAGGCGCGGAGGAGGGCTGGGGAGGGCCACCAAGGCGACGAGAGCCGGTGTGCCTGAATCAGCCTAAAGGAGACGGAGGAGGAGTGTGGTGGGCGCAGGGGCAGGGAGCTGGGGGAAGGGCGGGGGGCTAGCCCAGGCTGAAGGCAGGCAGGAGCAGGGCCGCGATGTCAGACAAGAAACGGCAGCAGTGTGTTTGGGAACCTAGCACCAACCGCACCGGTGGAGACAGGGTCTGCTGTAGAGGAGGTGGGGCCGGGTCCCAGCTAAGTAAGGCGGTGGATCTTGCAGCCCTTCCATCCTCAGCCGCTCATTCTGCGCAAATCTCGGGGCCAGCCTTGGTGGAGCCGTAAAGCGTCCACCAGAACCTGGATCCCTCCGCCACCTTTCCCATGAATTCACCTTTCTGTACACAGCAAGCGCCTGAGCGGAGACGGCCGACACGTTTCCCACTGTTACCCCAGGAAACCGCGGCTCCTGAGGGGGTCAGGGCCTGGGCAGGGGGCAGAGCTCAGCGCGCCGTACTGAGGCAGAAACGGGGTCCAGAGAGGGTGGGGTGGGGGTACAGGGAAGGGTCGCCCGAAGGTCCCTGGCGCAGGGAGGACAGAGGAGGGATCTAGAATTCGTAGGGGAGAAGAGAACTCAGAAAAGATCCGGCCCAGCGCATTTATTTTACAGAGGAAGAAAAACTGAGGCCCAGGGAGGGTAAGTACTGCAGGTAACTAGGCACTAGCAGCAGGGGCACTAGCAGCAGGGACACTCCCTATCTCGCCTGTCACCCGCGTCCAGCAAAATCTGATGCCCTGTCGGCCCAGCAGGGGGCGGTGCTGCTTTAGTTTTGGCCTGGTCGGGGTTGAGCGGAGGAGGGAGCGACTTCGAATTCAGTCTGCACCTGACTGACCTCGAGCAAAAACGAAGCGGGCGCACGTTACCGTCTTCCATCTGGGGGCCCAGCAGCCTCCATCTTCGCCCTAGCCCCTACAGCCTCGTCCCTGGCTGGGGCTCCAGCTCCCCAATTTCTCACCCTCACCACCAGGAGCTACTTATCTTATCACAGGCTCACTTAGATTACCACTAGGAGATTACCACTCGGGTGGGGTGGAGGTGCGGTGGGATTCGCATTTTGCAAGGGATCAAAAGAGCGGCTAATTATGGCATTTCTAGCCCAAGGCATTGGCCAGAGATATTGCGGGTAGGCCCCTTAACCTCCCAGCATCTCGCAGTATCTACCGATTAGTGCTGAGCCTCCTGTGCAATGCATCCGTCTATAGATATGGCCAGAATGGGCCGGGCTTGGTGCGCGGTGGCTCACTGCTGTAATTCCAACACTTTGGGAGGCCGAGGCGGTCGGATCAACTGAGGTCAGGAGTTCGAGACCAGCCTGGCCAATATGGCGAAATCCTGTTTCTACTTTAAAAACAAACAAACAAACAAACAAAAAACAAAAAAAAAACTAGCCGGGCGTGATGGCGCAAGCCTGTAGTCCTAGCTACTGGGGAGGCTGAGGCAGAAGAATCGTTTGAACCCTGGAGGCGGAAGTTGCAGCGAGCGGAGATCGAGTCACTGCACTCCAGGCTGGGGGATAGAGCGAGACTCCCATCTCAAAATAAAAAATAATAATAATAATTTTTTAAAAAGAAAGAAATGGCCAGAATGCCAAAGCTTTAATGGTGGGTAGAAGTCCCCAGACTTGAGAGTCTCGTTCTCCCAACTCTCCTTCCCCGTCAGAAAGTGCGAAGGGACTGGAATGGAGATCCTGAGCGGTCCTGGGTGCCGGGGCCCCGACCGGGGCTGAGCTGGTCCCCTGGTCGGGACGGCTGGGCAGAGGTGCCGAGGGGCCGCGGGCGGCCCTTCGCTGGCTCATTCGCATCCGCAGCCCCTCAAGAAGGCCCTGGGCCCGCAGGGAGGAAGAGGTGAGCACCCGACAGGAAGGAGATGGGCTTGGGGGCTCGGGGCGTGCCCTGGGGCAGGTGGAGCGTCCGGCCTCTGATGTCCCGCGCAGGACACTGAGGTCGCGGTGCAGAGAAGGGTCGGCTTGAGGATCTGACAGCCTTGCCCGCGTTGGAGACGGGGAAAGGCTCGCAGAACTAAGGTGCGGGGCGGGGGTGCGGGTGCCAAGGTCCCTCTGAGGTTCGTTTGGCTTATTCACCGATTTCATTCCGCTCTTGGTTTTAGTTTACCTGGAAGGTCCTCTCCTGCGCTGGCTCTGGGGGTGCTTGGAACCAGAGCCCCTTAGTCGAAGCGCGTCCTGCTGCCAGCTACTACCAAGTCCTTAGGCCGAGCCCGTTTCTCTCCTGGTGATGTGAATCCTCGTTTTTTGTTGTTGTTGTTGTCGTTTACTGAAGTCCCGGGCTGATTAGACACAGCAATGGAAGCTGGGGGTGGCCTGGGCCGTGCATTGAATTTGTGACTTTAGCAAGTCCCTAAATTCCTCTCTGCCTCACTTTTGCTGTCTTTTTTAGGTTAAAAATATTTTGGAGAATAGAAAACAGAACAAAACAAAAATAATGGCTTATAGTGCCAATATGGAATTATAGTCACTCCTAACATTTTGGTATATTGTTTTGCATTTGCTTTGTTTCTATTCTATGCTTATATATTTTTAATTTTTTTCCATCACTGTCATCATATTTCCTATTCAGGTCTCCAGCCTGCTTTAAAAATTTTTTAATCATAAAGTTCCATAAAAATTTTATTTCAGCCAATTTCTTTTATAACACGTTCTTCATGAATCTTATCTGATATCTGCATAATATTCCACTCATACTTTGCACAATTAGACATTAAGGTCGTGTGTACTTTTTAAATTATGATACAGCAATTTCTAAATAGTGTATAATTTCAATTTTTGTTTCTTAGTTATCATAACAGTTCTTAAAAGGTGATAACAAATTTTTAAGTGGATACATTTTTTCCCCCTTCTTTGGTTTATAATTTTATTGCTCTGTGGTCTGAGAATGTGGCTGTATTTACGCTTTTTGAAATTGAAGTTTTTGATTGATGGTTGATTTCGTAAATAAGTTTAGGCACAGTTTTGTATAAATGATTGGGCACAAAATTCTTTATATTAGATCAAGCTTTGTAAAATGTATTATCCATATCTGCTATGTCTTTTTAAAATTTTTATCTACTTGATCTAATTTCTGAAAGAGCTGTAAGTTTTTTAAATGTGTTTGTGGATTTACTATTTCTTCTTTATATATATATATATATATATATATATTTTTTTTTTTTTTTTTTTTTTTTTTTTTTTTTGAGACGGAGTCTCGCTCTGTCGCCCAGGCTGGAGTGCAGTGGCGTGGTCTCGGCTCACTGCAAGCTCCGCCTCCCGGGTTCACGCCATTCTCCTGCCTCAGCCTCCCGAGTAGCTGTGGTTACTGGCGCCCACCACCACACCCGGCTAATTTTTTGTATTTTTTAGTAGAGACGGGGTTTCACCGTGTTAGCCAGGATGGTCTGCATCTCCTGACCTCTTGATCCGCCCACCCCGGCCTCCCAAGTGCTGGGATTACAGGCGTGAGCCACCGCGCCTGGCCTCTTGTTTATATTTCTAACAGTTTGTGCATTATATATTTTAAAGTGATGTTATGGAGTATAAAAACCATATGGCTGTTAAAGTAATAAACAAAGAAACATTTTGGCTTATATATCTTTTTGTGCATTTGAATTATTTTCTTGGTTTGAATTTTTAGAAGGAAATGGCTCTTAAAGGCAAGTTGGCCTTTTAAAGATTTGACAGATGTATACTGTTGGCTGCATCAGAGTTCTTCTTTCACTAACCCCTGGTCAGCCCCAGGAATTAAAAAACAAATTACACACACACACACACATACACACAGATACACGCATATAGTAAGTCTTCACTGTCATCCATAGGTTCTTGGAAACTGCAACTTTAAGCCAAACAACATATAATAAAACCAGTTTTTCAATCAACATTGTAACAAAACAACATTGAATGAAAAAATACTTTTTGAGGATCTGCTGTATGTTATTTTGCTTAAAATCACAGTTTCCAAGAACCTATACATGATGTTAAGTGAGGACTTAGTATGTGTGGTGTGTGTGCGTGTGTGTGTGTGTGTGTGTGTGTACATGCATCAGTGTTATTTTGGGAGAAGCAAGAAGTGGGATAATTTTTACAATCTCCTTTGATTTTTATTGCGGTTGACGGTTTTTCTGTAGATCTGTAATCACTTGAATTTTCTTTTTTGTGTGTGGATTGTCTGTTCTTGTCCTTTTGTGCTTCTGTTTTCTAACTTTTAACTGAAGGAGGTTAATGTCTTTCAGCTCTTAACACTGTAGGAATTACATTGCTATTTCTTCTACCACAAAACACCTTATTGAAAAAGAAAAACTCCAGCACACCAAACAGATGCCTCAAATTCACCCTGACTGCCCCTGCTCCCCCTGGATCTTAGCAGAAATTTCAGTGTGGCAAACAAAGCAGATAGAGTTCCTATGGGGCCTAAAGCTTATGCAATTTGGGAAACTTCTTTAACCATTTTTTTTTTGAGTAGTGAGATTTTAGCATATTTTGGCTAAAATATGGGGAAAAATAATGCCCAGTGAGATTACATGATTTTCCTGGGATTGATAGATTCATGTCTCAATTTCCATCAGAGAAAGGGAGTGGGGTGGTGAGGAAGGGAAAGTAGTATGGAGAGTTAGGACCCTTTGCCTTCTTTCAGGATAAGAAAGAAAAGGAATAGCCGAGCTTGCCATACACAAGCGGCCCCATTCATTTGTAATATTCCTTCGGTATCCTTTTATTGTCTGTGAGATCCATAGTGATGATCTCTCTTTTGTTTCTGATATGAGTAATTTTTGCCTTCTCTCTTTTTTCTTGGTTAGATTGACTAGAGGTTTACCAATTTTACTGATCTTTTCAAAGAAATAGCTTTTGTTTTATTTTCTCTATTGTTTCCTGTTTTCAGTTTCATTGATTTCTCTAATTTTTATTATTTTTATTCTTCTGCTTGCTTTAGGCTTGTATTGCTCTTCCTTCTCTTGTTTCCTAAGGTGGAATTTTAGATGGTCAATTTTAGATCTCTTTTCAAAATATGTGTATTTAATGCTATAAGTTTCCCTCGAAGTACTGCATTGCTGCATCCCATGAATTTTGAGAAGTTGCATTTTCATTTAGTTCAAAATATTTTAAAATATCTCTTGAGACGTCTTCTTTGACCCATGTGTTATTTAGAAGCATGTTGTTTAATCTTCAAATATTTGGAGACTTTTCAGCTCTCTTTTTGTTATTAATTTCTAGTTTAATTCTGTTGTGGTCTGACAGCATACTTTATATGATTTCTGTTCATTTCAGTTTGTTAAAGTGTGTTTTATGGGAAAGAATGCAATCTCTTTTGGTAAATGTTCCATGTGAACTTGGAAGAATATGTATTTTGTTGTTGGATAGAGTATTCTATAAATGTCAATTAGATCAAACTGGTTGAGAGTGCTGTTGAGGTCAATTAAATCATTACTGACTTTCTACCTGCTAGATTTATCAATTATTGAGAGAGAAGTATTGAAATATCCAACTATAATAGTGACTTTGTGTATTTTTCCTTGCATACCTATCATTTTTTCTCTCAGGTATTTTGATGCTTTGCTAATACATGTATGCATGTTAAGGATTGTTTTGTCTTCTTGGAGAATTGACCCTTTTAATATTATGTAATGTCCTTCTTTATCCCTGATGATTTTCCTTGCTATGAAGTCTGCTTTGTCTGAAATTAGCTACTCCAGCTTTCTTTTGATAGTGTTAACAAGATATATCTTTCTCTATTCCTTATAACCCATCTGAGTCTTACATTTAAGGTGGGTTTCTTGT
The DNA here is from genome assembly GCF_000001405.40 of Homo sapiens. Lineage (NCBI taxonomy): Eukaryota > Metazoa > Chordata > Mammalia > Primates > Hominidae > Homo > Homo sapiens. Next base: position 86,813,550 of record NC_000002.12, read on the forward strand.
GGACAGCATATGGTTAGGCCTTGCTTTTTTACTACTCTGACAATCTCTGTCTTTTACTTGGATATATTTAGACCATTCACATTGAAAGTGGTTATTGATATAGTTGGATTAGTATCTACTATGTTCGTAACTGTTTTCTATTTGTTACAGTTGTTTTTTGTCTCTTCTTTCCCCTGTCCCGTCCATTGTAATGACTGTTTATCAACGTTTTCCCAAAGATTGCCTGAGCTCTCAACCAGTATCATGTCTATCTCTGTGTGCAGCAAAATATACTTCCTCATACCTGTGCATAATAAGGCAGGTGCGAAGGTGTTCATGCAGCACTGCCTTTAAAGTGGGAAAACCCAGTCTTCATCAATGGGGCAATAGGAATTTAAATTATGGTTCACCGACCTACAGGAATACCAGGAGGCAGTCAAACATAAGCCAATACATCTATATGTCCTGGAATATAGCAAATTCTGACATATATTGTCAAGTAAAAAAAGCTAGTTGCAGACCAATATATATATTATAACTCTTTTAGGTAAAAATCGTGTGTGTGTGTGTGTGTCTGTGTGTGAATGTCTAAATGCACAGAAAAATGTGTGTCTAAATGCAGAGAAAAATCTCTAGGTTTATACAAACTGTGTGTTTTTACAAACTGATGGCAGATTTGGGAAAGCAAAGAAATATTAATTATATTTTTTCTGACAAAACTTATATTCATGTATTTGTAAGCTTTAAACACACACACACACAAACACACACACACACACACACACACACGCACAACTTATTTAAGACCAGACTGGCCAACATGGTGAAACCCTGTCTCTACAAAAATACAAAATTTAGCCAGGCATGATGCCAGGCGCCTGTAATCCCAGCTACTGGGGAGGCTGAGGTGGAAGAATTGCTTGAACCCGGGAAGGTGGAGGTTGCAGTGAGCCAAGATCACACCACCGCACTCCAGCCTGGGCAACAGAGTGAGACTCTGTCTCAAAAAAAAAAAAAAAAAAAAAGGGCTGGGCATGGTGCTCATGCCTATAATCCCAACATTTTGGGAGGCTGAGGCAGGCAGGTTGCTTGAGCCCAGGAGCTCAAGGCCAGCCTGGGCAACATAAGGAGACCCCGTGTCTACAATAAATACAAAAATTTGCCAGGTGTGGTGGTGTGCACCTGTAGTCTCAGCTACCCAGGAGGCTGAGGTGGAAGAATTGCCTGAGCCTGGGAGGTCAACGCTAGAGTGAGCCGTGATTGCACCACTGCACTCCAGCCTGGGTGACAGAGTGAGACCTTGTCTCAAAAATAAAAAATAAATTAAAAGTAGGCCGGGCCTGGGTGGTTCATGCCTGTAATTCCAGCACTTTGGGAGGCCGAGGTGGTTGAATCACCTGAGGTCAAGGGTTCGAGACCAACCTGGCCAAACATGGTGAAACCCCGTCTCTACTAAAAATACAAAAATTAACCATGTGTGGTGGCATGTGCCTGTAGTCCCAGCAGGCAGAGGCAGGAGAATCACTTGAACCCAGGAGGCAGAGATTGTAGTGAGCCAAGATCGAGTCCCTGCACTCCAGCCTGGGTGACAGCGAGACTCCGTCTCAAAAATATATAAATAAATAAAAAAAATAAATTTTTAAAAAGCAAAGAAGCTTAAAAACGCTTTCCTTCACAAGGAAAGAACATCTGCCTGACATAAGTAACCCTCTCTAACCTCAGCATTTGGCGGCTGTTCTGAAATGGGTGGTCCATACTCATAGTGATCTGGTGCTAGAGATGCAGGAAGCAAAGATGTTCCCCAGTACTTGCCAAGCTCAATGGTTCCCTTTTCCCGGTCTTTAGGATTTTGGGCAAATTTATTCAAGATGGATACATTTGGTTCCACAAGGGGGACACTTTGGGGTTCACAAGGATGGGGGCCACAGCTCACCAGGGCAGAACTTGAGCCCCCTATGACTTGGGGGGTTGATGGTGGCAGAGAAGTCTCTGCTGGGTGTGTGGGAGGATCCCTCTGAGCGAGGGAGGAATCTGGTAAAAGTAGTAAAGATCCACTCATCAGGACCTGTGCTTCTTGCCTATGTTTTCAGGATCCATGGGTTAAGCAGCTTCTGTGAGGTTGTAGTATTGCTGTAGTATCCATGCAGGCATTGGGGGACAAAGGTTCCTGATATACCTTCCCCTTGAGGCCTTGCAAAAAGAAAAACAAGAGAGTCTCAATACATGCACCAAGTCAAGGTGTTGGTTACTTATTAAGTAATGACTGATTTTTTTCTGTGACTCAGTCGAGTCAGATGTTGTGTCAAATTCAACACAGAAAGAGCCAGGCATATAGCACTTGATAGGCCTAGGGTTACCACAGGATCCAACCACATTTGATTCAGGATCTCAAAGCCAGAAACCTCTGTTTCTGTTTCTTGTGATTTCTTCTCAGAAAGAGGAAACCACACACAGAGAATTACCTGCTCAGTTATTCCCCAAAGTTAATATCATTTGGGAAAGCGGGTGAGGGTTTTATCCTTCCCTCTTGGGCATCACTGTCAATTTTATTGCCATGGTTAATCAAGGTGAATTTCAATAGTGTCTGACCTGCAAATTAGTTTTCTGCCATTTGGAATCAAGGATGTACGGGTCAACAGCTGCAGGAGACTTCAGAGAGGTCCCCATGCTTAAAAAATTTCTCTCAGGAGAGTAGTAAGGTAGGGTGGCTATTGTCATCACAGGTTGGAAGACAAGATGGTCACAAATGTTAGAGAATTTATTCTGATGGAAACTTCTCCTCCGGGGTACTTTATAATGGACATGAAGACTCAACTTCAGGAAGATGTAAGTTTTCCCCAGTTAATCTACAGATCCAGTGCATTCAAAATGCCAACCAGATTTTGCTCACAAGCTGATTATCAAATTCATATGGAAGTATAAAGGGCCAAAAATAGCTGAATAATTTTGCTGAAGGGTAAGGGGGGGACCCATTATTCCACATATCATGATTTATAAACTCTAGTAATTTAAACACAAATAGAACAATGAAAGAGAGTAGGGGGCCTAGAAAATACAGATGTGAACATGTTGGAGATGGCTGGGCACTCCTGTGGGTAAAGGATTCGATCATTAGTGCTGTGACATTGGCTTCCCATGTGGGAAAAACGTAAAACTTGAACTCTATCTCAAACCATTCACAAATGTATACTCCAGATAGAATAAATATGAAAAGCAAAGTTTCAAAACTTTTTTAAAAAATGTGTTTTTAAGACAGAGACATGATAAGGCACAGAATTTCTTGGTCAAAATATAAAAGGACAAGCCATAAAAGTGTGATGTTACCATTCGAACATTTGTTTAAAGTATGCAGGGCAAAAACCAATACAAAGTTAAAGGACAAGTCTCAAATTAGTAGAAGATATTTGCAGTGCATAAAAGCAACAGAAGATCTTTATCCATAACATATCAGACTCTCACAAAGTAATAAGTTAAAGACAGCAGAATTAAAAATGGGCAAAGTACGTGACCAAGCCAATATCCAAATAAAAAGATGCCAAACATTACTTGAATCAGTGAGATGCAAATGAAAACAACCAATATCATTTTATATTCAAATTAGCAAAATGAACAAGACCAATAACATCAAGCATGAGGGAGGATATGACCAAATAACTGTGATGCAGTGTTGATGGGGATGTAAATTGTTACAACTGCAGTGGAGATAATTTGGGATATCTAGTAAAAATATCTATTAAAAATGAAGATGCTCTGGCCCCAGAACTTCCACTTCCAGATTCATTGCTCAGAGAAGTTTTGATGTATAAGAGTGTTCACAGAAGCACAAACAACAGAAATTGGAAAATTGTAATAATAATTATAAACTAATATCTAATAGGGGAATGAATAAAATTGTAATACATTAATAAAATATGACACAATAAATGAACTAGATCCACAGGCATCAACACAGGTAAATCTCAAAAATATGTTGAATGAAATAAGCAAATTTTAAAAGTGCATGTACACTCTGACATTATTTATAAAAAATAAAAGCACATGCCATATATTATTCATTATTATGTCATTGTTTATAGATACTTACATAATAAGAGAATCACAAGTATAAAAAAAGCCTGGAGGCAGAACCCACAAATTTCAAGATAGGGTATGCAGTATGGAGGATGGAATAGGGGTGAAGAAGGGGTCTCAACACAAACATTTTATTGCTTGAAATAAAAGACTGAAGCAAATTTGGCAAAAGTTAAATTTGCTAAATCTGACAGATTTATTTAGCAAATCTGCTAATTTGCTAAATAAACTTGAAGCTAGTATGTTACCTTCAGTAGTTTTCTTTATATTTGGCATAATTCATAATTCATGGGAGGAGGTAATTACATATTAAAAATATATATTCACTGGCTGGGTGCAGTGGCTTATGCCTGTAATCCCAGCACTTTGGGAGGCCAAGATGGGTAGATCACCTGAGTTCAGGAGTTCGAGACCAGCCTGGCCAACATGATGAAACCCTGTTTCTACTAAAAATATAAAAATTAGCCGGGCGTGGTGGCGGGCACCTGTGGTCCCAGCTACTCAGGAGGCTGAGGCAGGAGAATTGCTTGAACTGGGAGATGGAGGTTGCTGTGAGCCGAGACTGTACCACTGCACTTCAGTCTGGGTGACAGAGCGAGACTCCATCTCAAAATAAATAAATAAATAAAAATAAATAAATAAAGTATATATTCATAATTAACAGAGTAACTGTATGTAATGAGTACCTGCTGTGTTCCAGGCACTGTTTAAAGTACAGGCATACCTCATTTTATTGCACTTTATTTTTTTATTGTGCTGCACGGATGTTGTATTTTTAGCAAATTGAAAGTTTGTGGCAACCCTGCCTGGAGCAAATCTATCAATGCTGTTTTTCAATAGCATGTGTTGACTTTGTGCCTCTGGATCACCTTTTAATAATTCTTGCAATACCTCAAACTTTTTCATTATTATTGTGTCTGTTCTGGTGACTGTAATCAGTTATTTTTGATGTTACTATTTTAATTGTTTTAGGGCACCATGAACCATGCCCATTTATGACAGTGAACTTGATCCATAAATGTTGGGTGTGTTCTGACTGCTCCATGACCAGCCATTCTGTATCTCCTTCTCCTTAGGCCCCCCTATGCCCTGAGCCACAAAAATATTAAAATTAGGCCAATTAATAACCCTACAATGGTTTCTAAGTGTTCAAGGGAAAGGAAGAATTGCGCATCTCTCACTTTAAATCAAAAGCTAGAAATGATTAAGTTTAGTGAGGAAGGGATGCTGAAAGTGGAGACAGGCTGAAAGCTAGGTCTCTTGTGTCAAATAATGAGCCAAGTTGAGAAGGTAGAGAAAAAGTTCTTGAAGGAAATTAAAAGTACTAATCCAGTGAGCACATGAATGATAAGAAAACGAAATAGCCTTATTGCTGATATGGAGAGAGTTTTAGTGGTCTGGGTAAATCGGAACAGCCACAAAATTCCCTTAAGCAAAAGCCTAATCCAGAGCAAAGTCCCAACTCTCTTAAATTTTATGAAAGCTGAAGTGGTGAGGAAGCTGCAGAAGAAAAGTTTGAAGCTAGGAGAGGTTGGTTGATTCAAGTGGTTTAAGGGAAGATACCATCTCCTTAACATCAAAATGCAACGTGAAGAAGCAGGTGCTAATATAGAAACTAATAGGTGCTGCAGCACAGCAGGTTATCCAAAAGAGCTTTCTAAGATTATTGACAAAGGTGGCTACACTAAACAACAGATTTTCAATGTAGACAAAACAGCCTTATATTGGAAGAAGATGCTACTAGGTCTTTCATAGCTAGAGAGAAGTCAATGCCTGGCTTCAAAGGACAGCCTGCCTCTCTTGTTAGGGGCTAATGCAGCTGGTGACTTTAAGTTGAAGCCAATGCTCATTTACCATTCTAAAAACCCTAAGTCCCTTAAGAATTATGCTAAGTCTACTCTACTTATACTCTGTAAATGGAATAGCAAAGCCTGGATGACAGCACATCTGTTTAGAGCATGGTTTACTGAATATTTAAAGCCCACTGTTGAGACTCGCTCAGGAAAAAAGATTCCTTTCAAAATATTACTGCTCATTGAAAATGTGCCTGGTCACCCAAGAGATCTGATGGAGATGTACAAGGAGATTAATATTGTTTTTCATGACTGGTAAAACAACATTGATTTTACATGGACCAAGGAGTAATTTTGACTTTCAATTCTTATTAAGAAATACATTTCGTAAGGCTAGAGCTGCCACAGATGATGATTCCTCTGATAGATCTGGGTGAAACCTTCTGGAAAGGATTCACCATTCTAGATGCAACAAAGAACATTTGTGATTCATGGGAGCAGGTATAAATACCAACATTAGGAGGAGTTTGGAAGCAGGTGATTCCAATTCTCCTGGATGAGTTGGAGGAGTTCAAGACTTCAGTGGAGGAAGTAACTGCAAGTATGGTAGAAATAGCAAGAGAACTAGAGATAGAAGTGGAGTCTGAAGACGTGGCTGAATTGTTGCAATCCCGTGATCAAACTTAACACATGAGGAGTTTATTCTCTCTGATGAGCAAAGAAGGTGGTTTCTTGAAATGGAATCTACTCCTGGTGAAGATGGTGTGAACATTGTTGAAATGACAACAGAAGATAGAGAATGTTACATAAACTTAGTTGAGAAAGAGGCGTCAGTATTTGAGAGGAGTGACTCCAATTTTGAATGCTGTTCTACTGTAGGTAAAATGCTATCAAACAGCATCGCATGCTACAGATAAATCTTTTGTGAAAGGAAGAGTCAATCAATGTGGCAAGATTTGTTGTTGTCCTATTTTACGAAATTGGCACAGCCACGCCAGCCTTTGGCAACCACCATTCTGATCAGTCAGCAGCCATTGACATCAAGGCAAGATGCCCTCCATCAGCAAAGAAATTATGACTCACTGAAAGCTCAGGTGATTTTAGCATGTATTTGGTAATAAATTATTTTTTGATTAAGACGTACTTTTTTTTTCAGACATAATGTCTTTGTACACTTAGTAGACTACCTTATAGGGTAAACATAACTTTTATGTACACTGGGAAACCAAAAAATGAATGTAACTGGCTTTATTGTGATATTTGCTTTATTGTGGTGGTCTGGAACTGAACCTGAGATATCTCTGAGGTTTGCCTATACTGGAATTTCCAAGGTTAGTGAAACATCCTTTCTGCAGCCTGAGTGGTGAGATTTAGGCTAGTCTCAAAAATATAAAAAATAACTAGAATATAATGTAATAACAGTGATCATTAAGATAACAATGCTAGCAGCTACCATTGACTGAGTAGTATGTGCCATGCACTCTGCAAGCACTATTTTATTAATGCTCATGTGTGAGGTAGATATTATCATTATTCTTGTTTTATATTCAAGGTTCAGAGAGGTTAATTCACTTGCTCAGAGTCACACAGGTAGCCCAGATCTGCTATGTGCCAGCCCTAATTACTGAGCCATCCTGTCTGTCCCACCTTTTCTGACCCAACTCCCCACTTCTGAACCACAGGCGGTGTAGCTGGCTTTGAATATAGGTGCTCTTTTTATATAGGTACTCTTGAAAGGATCAACTTTACTTTTTTTTTTTTTTTCAAATAATCCAATAACTTTGACTTTTTATTAGGTTACACTGGCATTCTCCCAAGTTTTTCATCAAACTCATGAAGCCTGCTGCTCCTTCAATTCTCAAGGCGTTGGAGTGAGGCCGCCTGGGGTGAATCGAAGCTTTCGGATTTATCAAATGTGGTGTGATTTCTAAGACGCCATTGAGCCCTGCTAAAGGAGTTGCTAATATCCACCTCGTTCTGCGGTTAAGAAACCAACAGGAAAAAGAACGCACAACTCCCAGCACAGTGCTGGCGCCTGTGAGGCACTCAGCCGACGGGAGCTTTGTTCTTCGTTGTATTGTGGCGGGGAAGCAACATGGGGCCTTGTCCTGCGGACACACTTGAGTTAAGATCACACTGGGGCTCCTTCAGGCCCTGGGCCAAGTTGGGGCACAGGCCGAGTTCGGTTGTTGCTGTAGCCTCAGAACCACCCAGAGTTGACTGAAGACACTCGGGGGCCTCCATAACTGAGAGCAGGCAGAGGCATTGTTTTTAACCCAGTGTGGACCCCCAAATGGAACATTTTCCTTCCCTAGGTGAACGCCTTCGGAACCCTCCGAAAATCGCAGTTTCACTTTTAGCAAAGAGCCCCGCTGCAGCAGGGGAAAGCCCCCACAAACCCCGTCCTCTCCAAAGGGAATGTTCCGAGCCCCCTGCTTCCTCCACCCTTCTCTTCCCCCTGGTTAATTCCTTCGCTCCAGCTCGTTCTGCCTTCTTTCTTTCTTTGCCTTTTCGAGGCCCGCTCTTCTCTGATTTTGAAGGGCTGGCGCAGGCTTGGGCACTTCTTTCAGGTTCTGTATTGTATGTCTGCCCTGTGGCTTCTCCTTTTGCAACTCCGAGCAACTCTGTGCTTGGATTGCAGCTCCCAACAGTCCTGCCCTGACTTGCCCCAGTCACAGGGCAGAGATGAACCAGGGACTGTACCCAGGGTTTTGAGTTCCTGCCATATTTATAGCATCAACTCTCCTTTAGCTCTTGGGAAAAAGGGTTTTAAAGTGCTGCAATCTTCTAACACAAAATTATATCAGTGCTGAAAATGTGTTTTCCACTTATACCCCAGCAGGAAAAAAAAAAAAGATGATATCTGTTTCAGGTAAGAGTCATGATGACCTCAGAAAGCAATATCAGAAGCTATCAAAATGTTTATACCTGTATATTCAGTAGTCCATTCTGGAACATTTCTCCAGTGGATGTAATCTTAGTCTTGGCACAATAGAGTATGAACAGAGATGTTAAATGTTAAAAGCAATGGAAATGTTCAGAAATAAAGCAATATTTAAGTAAACAATGATAATGCATTCAATATAATTTTAGGCATTAACATGATGATGTTTTAGAATTATGAAACCTATGGAAAGGTTGACAAGGAAAACGCAGACAGCATGCTTGATATAAACATACATTCAGCATGATTATAACTATGTAAAATGTAAAAAATGTTTTTAAAACATTAGAAGAAAATACACCAAGATGCGTTTCCCTTGCTGTTGTTTCTAGTGGCTAATTTTTGCAATGTGTATTACTGCAGTTATATCACCTTTACAAATGGAAAGCTTAAAAATAACTCACTTCCCTTCCCAGAGAGCAATGTTCAGTGCAAAGCCACACTCCACTCCAGGGATGGCCTTCAGCACTGGACTTTTTGGGAGCCAGAATCAAGCAGTATGTGTCACTTCTTATCTCATGTTGTTGGTGCCACTTACTCATATGTTGTCTCATCATTCTGCAGTTGTTTAATGTGTTTATATCTTTCTCTACAACCATTTTTTAAAAGCTATTTTTAAAATTGTGGCAAAATGTATGCATAACATAAATTTACCATTTTAGTCATTTCTAAGTATACACTCCACTGGCATTAAGTATATTTATATTTTTGTGCAATCATTACCACCATGCATCCACAGAACTTTTTCATCTTCCTAAACTAAAACTCTGTACCCACTAAGCACCAACTCCCCATTCCCCCTCCCCCAGTTCCAGGTAACCGCTATGATATTTTCAGTTTCTCTGACGAATTCAGAGACACCACTCTTGGTACCTCCTGCAAGTAGAATCATACTGTATTTACCTTTTTGCACAATCATTTTTTAAAACTTAAAAAAAATTTTTAATTAATTTTTTTGAGACAGTCTCACTCTGTCACCCAGGCTGGTTGGTGTTTGCAGTGGCACGATCATGGCTCACTGTAGCCTTCACCTCGTGGGCTCAAGTGATCTTCACATCTCAGACTCCCGAGTATTTGGGACTACAGGCACCCACCACGGTGCCCGGCTAATTTTTTAATTTTTTGTGGAGATGAGGTCTTACTATGTTGCCCAGGCTGGTCTCAAACTCCTAGGCCCAAGGGATCCTCCTACTTCAGCCTTTCAAAGTGCTGAGATTACAAAGCGAGCCACAAGCCTCGGCCTGCACAATCATTATAAAAAGCTCTCTGAGGATAAGGACCAAGGCCCTGATTTGTTTTCATTGTAAACATAATGTTCATTTGCTCATTGATTTGATATTGACTGTGCACCCACACGTGTGCTGGGCACTGTTCGAGGCAGGGTTTAAGAAACGCTCAAGAAGCACATGTGGTCTCTCAAGGGGACGGTGTAGTGGACAGAGATAACAAAGAAAAACACAGAGAAGAAAGAATGACGGAGAGTGAGAAGTGCTGTAAGTGCAGTGACAGACACCGCCCCAGGGCCTCCTGGACAGGCTGCATGTTTGTAGGATGATGGGGAGTGGTCCTGGAGAAGACTGAGGAGGAGCCCTGGGGGGTCCAGGCAGAGAGAGGAGGGGCACAGAGCTGGAGGACGGAAGGGCCTTTGTACAGCATGTGTGTGTGTGTGTGTATGCTGGGGGACACGCAGGGAGATGGCAGGCCTCAGCACTGGGGAGAGCTGGAGTGCATTCTAGATGCAGCAGGGAGCTGGAGCAGGGACCCTCTTCTCCCTGCCTGGCCTGAGAGCAGGGAAGGAGGCCCTGGGCTGTGGCTGATTGCAGTCAACACTGAGGAACAAGTGCCAATGCTTCATGCAGGGCACAACCTCTGCCACACTTTTACCTATGTGACCTTCTGGGCCAGGTACTGTGAGGTGCTTCATTTCTCAGATAGCAAGGCTGAGGCTCAGATCAATGCTGCTTTGCACACAGCTGGAAGTGGCCAAATCAGCCCGAAACCCCCATTTTGTTCTGCATCTTTGTGCAGGGCTGGGTGGCTGTGTGTGCAATGTCTGTTGTGCTGGACATGCAACAGGAAAGCAATTGTTACCTCTAATTTTTAGGAGGCCAAAGGGCAAGAAGCCACGTGCTCCAGGCCAAAGAGCAGCTAAGGGAATGAAGAGTAAATCTGTGATTGAATGAATGAGCAGATGAAAAGAGAAAAAGCCTCCCCCTGCACAAACCTGCAACCCATTCCCTTCCTGGGGTCCTGTGGGGAGGGGGCTTTTCATCAGTGCCCTGGGTCAGGGAAGAGAGAGGGAGGCCTTGTGGTGGAGGGAAGGGGAGGAGAGCTCACCATCAGAGGTGGAAAGAAGGTTCTAGTCCCTCCAGAGCACACTCAGGGATGCTTTCTTGTGCTTCTGTCCCAAGGCCTTGTCTCGACCTTGCTTACTATAAACACAGTGCTACATCCTGCTTTTCCTTTACTTCATTGCATAAACCTTCCCTGAATCGCTTCCAGAATCTTTAGAACCACCGTTTTTAAGGTTTGAATACTTGTATACCAAGTAAATGACCACAGCTTATTGAAACTCCTCTTTATAGTCAACCACTTAGGTTGTTCTATTGTTATTTCTAGAACACATAACTAATGCCAATAAATAATGATGATGGCACAGATTAGTATTTCCTGAGGATGGATCTCTTGCGTGGGTTCCAAAGCTCTAAGCAATTTATATGGGCCCTGGAGTTTCCTCCACAGCTCCTAAGGCAGCTCTGGCACATGAGGAGGCTGGGAAAAGAGCAGGGGTGATGGGTGCATCTGCCTTGGTAAGTGAACTTGTTGGTTCTGTCCCACGCAGCTTGGGTGTCGGTGTGGGGGGTGTGCTGCTGGGGTTGGAGAGGGGCCGCCCTACATAACGTCCCCACATAAAAGGGGCAGGTGTGCAGGTGGTCCCAGGGATGGCGGCAGCTCTGTCTGACTCCCCCCTACTGGGGGGCTATGGGGGCTGTGGGAGTGGAGGGTGAGGATCACCGTCCTCCAGGATCCCCCAACCCCTCCTTGGCCATTCCCTTTGACTTCCTTGGGAAAGAGTCCAGGCTTCAGAGGATTCTTTGCTCATTTCAATCTGACCCCATTTGAATCCCCAAGGGTCGCAGTAAACCCCAGGCACACAAAGACAGAGGCTTGTGGCTGGCTTGCGGTTGCTGTGATCACGATGGAATCAGACAACGGCTGCCCTGGCAGGCAGCACCCAGGCACCTCTCAGGTGGGAAAAGACTGAGCCAGGTGAATGTCCCAGAGCTCCAGCCAGCTCAGGCTCCTATGGGTGATAACTGCACTAGACACCTCTCCGAAGAAGCCAACAGAAACTGCATGCAGCGGCAACATGAGCAAAGATAAGTGTTGGGACCCGTTCTTCGCTGCCACCTCCAAGTCTGAACAGCAGGCTCTAAGGGGGGCATGGGAGCCCCTCAGAAAGGGCCACTGCCCATGCCTCACCTCCTGCCCGCCACTCCACTCTTTATTGTCCTACCTGACTGTAACAGGCTGCATGCTCAACATGGTGTCAGCTGCCCCAAAGAGCACCAGGAGGAGACAGGGGTGCCATTCGGACATGAACAGGAGCTCCTACCTGAATGTGCAGACCTCCGCCACTGGAGCTCTCGGGGGGAAAACATCCATGACAGCCTCCCTGAGCCTTGAAACATTTGCAGACCAAGCAGGCTCAGGTGCCCGTGTTTGCAGGCGGTTTTTTAGAACGTATCATTTGTCTTATATTGATGTACCCTTCAAAGCCCGGGAGGAAGTGTGGTCTTGTGGGGAGCTCTGTGCAGGCAACATGAGAGTCTGTATTGTCTTCCTAGCTCTGCCCCGGTTGTCAGAGGAGTCCATCTGGGCCACAGGGGTGAGGAGCCGTCACCCCTGCCTTTTGTTTAGCCGGTGACACCTCCCCAGTTGTGTGGCGGGTGATGCAGCAATAATGCCCACGAGCTCCTCTCAACAATCAAAACAAAACAGAGAGCCACTCTAAAACAGTGGCTTTCTTGCAAATGGAATATGCTGAGAATCTGTGACATGTGCAGGTCGGTAAGTGAGAAGGAAACAGGAACCACCAATCGATTCTGACAATGTAGAAAGCAGTGGAGGTTTGGGGCCAGGAGAACAAAAGACCTATGGGAGAGGCGGTGACCCAGGAAGGGTGGCCATGGACTTGGGTGCATCACCTGAGCCCTGTCACTTGGAAAGAACCCTAACGACCATCTTAATCCTGCCTGTATAGATACCTTACTGTGCCGCTGCTGGGTGTGAAGCGTGGCTACTAAAAATGTTCACTTCATTTTTAAGAAGTAGAACAGGTTCAAGGTTATTCCTGTAGACGACAGTGTCGCTCTCGCCCAAGTACACTGTGGGAGGCTTCCTTAGCAGGATCGAAAGGGGTGGAATTACAGTGGGCACTGGAATTGGCTGTGGTTCACACATGTAGACATGACTGTGAATTTCTTGTTTTTTTTTTTTTTTGAGACGGGGTCTCACTCTGTCACCCAGGCTGGAGTGCAGTGGCATGATCTCGGCTCACTGCAACCTCTGCCTCTCGGGTTCAAGCGATTCTCCTGCTTCAGTCTCCTGAGTAGCTGGAATTATAGGCACCTGCCACCACACCCAGCAATTTTTGTATTTTTAGTAGAGAGAGGGTTTCACCATGTTGGCCAGGCTGGTCTCCAACTCCTGACCTCAGGTGATCCACTCGCCTCGGCCTCCCAGAGTGTGAGGATTACAGGCATGAGCCACTGTGCCTGGCTGACTGTGGATTTTGTGGCAGCAAAGAGTTCATCTTGGTTCATCAGCTAAGACTGTGCTCAAGTGTAAGCCACTGAGTAGACTTGTTTATGAGTGATTCTTGGAAGCTTGCAAGGACTTCTTTTGAGTTAAAAAAAAAAAAACCTTCTGGTAGAGTTAAACATGAATTGGCTTGCCCTGAGAGTTCGGGTTTTATGTCACGAGAGGTAGTTAAATGTGGGCTGGGGGCCTGGTGTGGTGGCTAATGCCTGTAATCCCAACACATTGGTAGACTGAGGTGGGTGGATTGCTTGAGCCCAGATTGAGACCAGCCTGGCCAACATGGTGAAACCCCATCTCCACAAAAGTTAAAAAAATTAGCCAGGCATGGTGGCATGTGCCTGTGGTCCCAGCTACTCACGAGCTAAGTGGGAAGATCACTGGAGCCCAGGAGGCAGAGATTGCAGTGAGCCGAGAGGGCACCACTGCACTCCAGCCTGGGTCACAGAGCAAGACCCTATCTCAAAAAAAAAAAAAAAAATGTGGGGTAGACAAATATGGGGCAGGGTTGCTGTAAAGGGTGTTCACGTTTTATTTTGGAAGCTGAATAATGTAGACTTTAAATTGTTTTTGCAACATAGAGATCTACAGCTCTGGACTAATGGATCAGATTTTGCTAGTTGCAAAGATTTTTGAATTTTAATTGCAGTTTGCTGCTGTTTCACCCACAACAAAAGTAGAGGAAGAACTCATAGCTTATATGCAGTGATCATGAACTCTGGGGCTTTGTAGATGAGACTAGGAAAACTTGTGCAGGACCTGAAGTTGAACTGCCTTGGCTCTTGTTCCCATGTGCTGGGGGATGGGGCAAGGACATCTCACCAGGTATCAGTGGGTGGTCTACACTATTTGAGTAAAGTCCTATCCTTATAGTGTTGCTTTCCTGCCTGGTGACTTGACTGAGTTTAGGCTTAGCGACCTGCTTATAAAATGGCAAGAGTACGTACTTGCATAAGCGGTTAATTGACATAATGCAGGTAAATGGAACAGTACCAAACGCTTAATAACAAATGCTTAATAAATGAAGATGGTGGCTGGCAAGTGGGGGCGAATGTCAATAAACAACATGTAAAAATATGGATCATCTGGTCACTTTAAACTTTTAGTGAGATCAAATGTGGGCAAAATTTCTCTACAAATAACTGGAATTGTGTGTGTGTGTGTGTGTGTGTGTGTGTGTGCGTGTCTGGACCCACAGAGAAGTTTTTAATGTAGATATATAAAGTAGATAATCTCATTTATATTTTGGAAAATTTTAATTTTTAAAAATTTTTGTTATTTGATGATGATGATTTGTTTCCCCTTCAGAGGAGGTTTTCCAGCTCTAGGAGATGCTGTTGACAATCTCTCTTCTGAAGTTAAGGGGCCCTTTGAGTGGCTCTGGCCACTGAGAAGTGAAACCCTGGGAGCAGCTAGAGATGGCCAGCCTATGATATTCACAGCCAATGTGTTAAGTGTGAAGTTCTGTGCAAGTAGGTTTTAAATAGGTACAGCCTAAAATACATAATTTTCTTATTATCAAAATCATGTGCCTTTTTAAGGAAAAATCTAAGAAACACAGAAAAGCAAAGAGAAGAGGAAAATAAAGTATTCATATGGGCCTACCTCCAAAGATGCAACCAGCAACCTCTACTTTATTATCTTCTGGATTCCTTTACTCTCTTAAAAATGGGGTCCTACTCTAGTTGTTCTAATAACTCTTCATCACTTTTTAAAAACAGTAATTTGTTTCTTGTCATTATATCTTCTCCATATATACATACACACTCTTTTTTTTTTTCAAAATGGAGATTGCATTGTTGTTTTGCCTGGCTGTCAGTGTAATACTCAGATGGAAGTACTGCACATGCATAAACAAGACGATAAAGATCACTTGTAATCTGCCCCACACCAACCCCTGTCACATTTGGAGTTACCATTTTGGCATATGCTCTTTACTTTTTTTTTTTTTTTTTTTTTTGAGACGGAGTCTTGCTCTGTTGCCCAGGCTGGAGTGCAGTGGTGTGATCTTAGCTCACTGCAACCTCCGCCTCCTGGGTTTAAGCGATTTCCCCCGCCTTAGCCTCAGCCTCCTGAGTAGCTGGGACTACAGGTGCATGCCACCATGCCCGGCTAATTTTTTGCATTTTAGTAGAGACAGGGTTTCACCACATTGGCAAGGATGGTCTTGATCTCCTGACCTCGTGATCTGCCTGTCTCAGCCTCTCAAAGTGCTGGAATTACAGGCGTGAGCCACCGCGCCTGGCTGGCATATGATCTTTCTGAATATTTTGTTTACTGTGGATTCCTAATTAGGGAAAAAGGAGTCAGGCTGGGGGGAGTCAGGCGGGTGGGAGCAAGGGAAAATAAAAAGAGAAAGCAGATAAGCAACAAGTCTGCCTTTCTTTATGGTCCAGGACACACAGCCCTCCTGAGCAAGTAACTCTCACCAGACACGTGCAAGTTAGCTCACTGCAACCTTGGCGTTATTAATACTACACAAAGCCCTCTTCAACAGATAGCATAAACGCTACCCTGTAAAATCACCAGCAAGCCTTTGTCTCCTTGCAGTCAGTTTCTCTCTGCTGCCTGCCTATTGTCCCTCTGGCAATGTATTTTCTAATAAATCTTCTGCCTTCTTTTACCTGCAACTGTTTCGGTAAATCTTTTACCTCCACACCACCGGCTGTCATTCCCCCATGACATTTAACACATGTTTCTTACACACAGATAATTTCTCTCCTCTTCTGCCGAGAGCTGGGTTCATAGAATATCTAACGTTTGATAATCTGCTTTTTAAATTTAATAATGCATTGTGAACATCTTTCCACTTATTAAACATTCTTGCACAGCATTATTTTAATGTCATTTATTACCTTGCATGGATGTATTCTCATTTATTTCACTGGTAGATATGTAGTTTTTAGCATGTTTTTCTTTTTTTTGAGACAAGGTCTCGCTCTGTCACCTAGGCTGGAGTGCAGTGGTACGATCCTGGCACACTGCAGCCTCAGCCTCCTGGGCTCAAGTGATCCTCCCACCTCAGCCTCCTAAAGTGCTGGGATTACAGGCATGAGCCACAGGTCCCAGCCAGTTTTTAGCATGTTTTCAATATGCTTACAATACTCTGATGCATGTCTTTGCCACTAATAATTCTTGTGGGGCCAGGCATGGTGGCTCACACCTGTAATCACAGCACTTTGGCGAGTCAGTTGAGGCCAGCAGTTCGAGACCAGCCTAGCCAACGTGGCGAAACCCTATCTCTACTAAAAATACAAAATTTAGCCAGGTGTGGTAGCATATGCCTGTAATCCCAGCTACTTGGGAGGCTGAGGCATGAGAATTGCTTGAACCTGGCAGGCAGAAGTTGCAGTGAGCCAAGATCGTGCCACTGCACTCCAGCCTAGGGGACAGAGTGAGACTCTGTCTCCAAAAAAAAAAAATTATTATTATTATTGTGCATAACCAATAATATCATGAATATTTTCGTGATATATTCATAGAAGTGAAATTGCTGGTTCAAAAAAAAATACACAAATTTGAGGCTCTAGATATGTATTGCCAAATTGCCCCTCAGAATGGTGGGACCAGCCTGGACTCCCAGCAGTGGATTATGAATGGGCCCGTTTATCAGCACTCTTATCTATCTGAAATGCTATATTATGGTACAATCTGGTAAAATCCATTTAAAAATGCATTCCTTTTGTTTATTATTTTAATAATTCCAATTTATATTAGAAACCAGTTTGCATTTAATTTTATTAGATTTTGTTATTAATTAAATTACTAAATTTCTGGTTTCTGTCCTTTTAAGAAACGTTATTTATTTAAATCATTTAGAATTTCTTTTGGTGTCAGATATGAAGGGCTAAAACTCCATTTTTTCCAAATATTTAACCAATTGTCTCGGCACTCTTTATTATAATCTATTATTTTTGTTTGTTTGTTTTTGAGACGGAGTCTTGCTGTGTTGTCCAGGCTGGAGTGCAGTGGTGCGATCTTGGCTCACTGCAACCTCCACCTCTTGGGTTCAAGAGATTCTCCTGCCTCAGACTTCCAATCGCTGGGATTATAGGCACCTGCCATCATGCCCGGCTAATTTTTGTGTTTTTGTAGAAACGGGTTTCACCATATTGGCCAGGCTGGTCTTGAACTCCTGACCTCAGGTTATCTGCCTGCCTCGACCTCCCGAAATGCTAGGATTACAGGCATGAGCCACCATGCCTGGCTTCTATAATCTATTCTTTCCCCATGTATGTGACTGCTACATTTGTCATGTAATCCACATGTTCAAATGGAGTCTATTCATGCATCACTTCAGTGATTGAAATCAGCAATTTAAAATTGATCAGTAAATATCTAGCAGCTGATAATCCCATGAGGAGAGAGAAACTTCTTTTGCCTTTGAGAAAGAAAATGTTTTCCTTCTGATTCTAAAAGAATAGGTGAGTTGCTTTCCTCTATCTCTGCAATTTTTCCCTCTGCTGGGACCCACAGATGGGGAAAATGAGACCTCTGATGAGGCAGCAGAAACCCAGAAGCCAGAACACCGCTAACCAGTAATGAAGCTGTGGGATCACTGAAGCTCCCCTGCCCCAGGGAGACACGGGTGGTCAAAGTAGAAACTGAAGATCAGCCTCAGAGACTCCCAGACTGAGGAGTCAGCCTAATTTTCTGATAAGAAATTAAAGACTAGGGGCTGGGGGAGTGAGAGAAGTATTATTCTCAAACTTTTAGGAAAAAAAACAAAATGAAACAAAACAGTGAAAAGAATGATCAGGAAGTCAGTAACTTCATTGTGCCTGTGCTTACAATGCCATCTTTTTAACTGTAGGAATTGGCCATTGTAATAACAAATGCCACTGCTGTAAGGAAGGTATCAGTGAGTGGGAAAGGGTCTTAATTGTGCTGTCTCATCTGACGAGCTTGAGTGTTCACACCACGCAGCCACAGCCAGAGCAGCACACTCTATCTGGGGTGGTGAATTGTAATTTTAGGCAAATATCAGAGGAGAAAATAAATTACCTTGAGTGATTATAAAACTAAAAATAGTAAGAGAAGGATAGGTGCAGTGGCTCACGCCTGTAATCCCAGCACTTTGGGAGGCTGAGGAGGGTGGATCACCTGAGGTTAGGAGTTCAAGACCAGCCTGGCCAACATGGTGAAACCTCGTCTCTACTAAAAATACAAAATTAGCCAGGCATGGTGGTGTGTGCCTGTAATCCCAGCTACTCAAGAGGCTGAGGCGGGAGAATCGCATGAACCCGGGAGGCAGAGGCTTCAGTGAGCCAAGATCATGCCACTGTACTCCAGCCTGGGTGACAGAGTGAGACTCGATCTCAAAAAATTAAAAAAAAAAAAAGAGATATCATATCAAATAAGAGGAAGGGCACGGTCACATGAGGTTTTTATGCAGCACCAAATAACCTGCTCGAGTGGGGAATAAATGCCGACACTTCAGGTTGTGAGCCACTATGATACCCACTTTTCCTGCCCCCACCCTCCCTTCTGTTGTTGGTTTGCCCCCCAATTTACTGCTCCCTGTGTGGGTTGAGCTTTGTAAGCTGCCCCAAATCCTTTTTGGGAATTAGACAATGCAAGGATAAATAAAAACATTGATTCTTAGGAGCTTTTCAATGTATTATAAAATTGAATTTTAACAGACAGGTTAATAAAAATAAAAAGAGGAATACTTTTGTTTTGATCTCTTGTTATTTAAATGAAATTTATCCCTTTTCCAGGGGAAAGTTTTTGTTTTGACACTCATGGTCAGCACTGGTCTCCTCTCCTCTCCTCTCCTCTCCTCCCCTCTCCTCCCCTCCCCTCTCCTCCCCTCCCCTCCCCTCCCCTCTTCTCTCCTCTCCTCTTCTCTCTCTCCCTCTTTCCCCTCCACCCTTCCTCTTGCTGCAGCCTCCTCACAGGGTCATAGGCACAGGAACACAGCTACAGACATGAAGATGCTTTCCTGTGTTACAAAAAAGGATAGTTTAAATAATTCCCTGCATCCTGCTTTTCCTCCTTAATAGTACACTCTGGCAGTGTTGCCAAGTTAATCTGTCTTTTTTTTTTTTTTTTTGAGATGGAGTCTCACTCTGTTGCCCAGGCTGGAGTGCAGTGGTGTGATCTTGGCTCACTGCAACCTCTGCCTCCTAGGTTCAAGTGATTCTCTGCCTCAGCCTCCCGAGTAGCTGGGATTACATGCCCGGCTAATTTTTGTATTTTTAGTAGAGACAGAATTTTGCCATGTTGGCCAGGCTGGTCTCAAGCTCCTGACCTCAGGTGATGGCCCACCTTGGCCTCCCGAAGTACTGAAATTACAGGTGTGAGGCACCGCACCCGGCCCTCTCCTCTCCTCTCCTCCCCTCCCCTCCGCTCTCCTCCCCTCCCCTCCGCTCTCCTCCCCTCCCGTCCGCTCTCCTCCCCTCCCCTCTCTCTCCCTCCCTTTCTCTCTCACCCTTTCCCCTCCGCCCATTTCTCCCTCTTTTTCCCTCCCTCCCTCCCTCCCTTCCTTCCTTCCTTCCTTCCTTTTCTTGGGGGGCAGTGGGGACAGAGCCTTGCTCTGTTGCCCTGGCTGGAGTGCAGTGGCTTGCTGTAACCTCAAACTTCTGGACTAAAGTGACCCTCTTGCCTCAGCCTTCCTAGTAGCCGGGACTATAGGCATCCACCACCATGCCTGGCTAAATTTTGTATTTTTAATAGAGATGGGGTTTCACCATCTTGACCAGGCTGGTCTCAAACTCCTGACCTCGTGATCCGCCCACCTCAGCCTCCCAAAGTGCTGGGGTTACAGGGGTGAGCCACCGTGCCCGGCCAAATCATTCTTTTTAAGTCATTCTTTTGATGGCTACACGATATTTTTGGGTATAGATAGACAGCAACTTATTAAATGATTCCCTATTGATTATCTTGGGGTTGTTTCCCATTTTTATTTTGCCCAAACAATATGGATAGAATCATCTTTGTATATTTATTCTGATGCAATGATGCTTCTACTTTCCCGGGGACCCATTCCCAGGAGTGCTGAGTGACAGTCCCTAATTCATATTAAACACTACTAGATGGTGCCCACCTGTTTTCCACAAAGCTGTAGCGCTCGCTTATTCCAGCATCAGCAACACCTGTGTGCCCTTGGCCACAAGCTTTCCAGCAGTGAGCAGCATCACTGTTTTACATTTTTACTCAGTGACATTTGTATGCAAATGACAGATTATTATTTTTCTGGAAAATGTATGCTTAACCATGCCAGGGTCATAACTCATGCTATGAAAAAGATTTTGGTGTAGAGGTCATGGCAGAAGAAATGAGAACGTGTGAATCAGCTTTCTTCTCTTACACACACACACACACACACAAAAGTCTTAACTGAGCTTGGATATTAAAAGCAGTGTGGGGGAGAGGGTGGGGAGGTTTGGAGTTACCATCAGGAGCGTCTGACCAGGCTCAAACGTGGGATAGCTGTCCATTGAACAGCCCTGTATGTCACAATGACTAGGAAAAATTTATAAGACAGACGTTCCAGGCCGGGCACAGTGGCTCACGCCTGAAATCTCAGCACTTTGGGAGGCCAAGGCAGGAGGATCATGAGGTCAGGAGTTCGAGACCAGCCTGACCAACATGGTGAAACCCCGTCTCTACTAAAAAATACAAAAATTAGCTGGGCATGATGGCGCGCACCTGGAATCCCAGCTACTTGGGAGGCTGAGGCAGGAGAATCGCTTGAACCCGGGAGGCGGAGGTTGCAGTGAGCCAAGATCGTGCCACTGCACTCCAGCCTGGGCAACAGAGCAAAACTCTGTCTCAAAAAAAAAAAAAAAAAAAAAAAAAGACAAGCGTTCCCCTGCACCCGCCCCACCAAATCGCCTGCCACACACAGAAGCACGCACAGGCGCACTCTGAAATTACACAGATAAAAGGCCGACAGTATTACTCCCTCTCCCACTGATAAGCTCCTTTCTGTGCTGGGTGGGGCTGGCGGACTTTCTGATGGAGGAAGATGGAACTGCCAGAGTGAGCACTGGCTCTGGTCTGAGCCACTGTGAGCCTTTCTTCTCTCCTCCTTCATCCCCTACACCACAAGATAGACCACCCAACATGGCTTTCTGAGTTTCTAGGGAGCTGGGCTTTGAGCAGGGCCCACAAAAGGACTTCAACCAAAGCCTGCTTGTCTTGTGGAAGCCACCCTACCTCCCTGTTTCCAAACCAGAAGCATCAGTGTGGCTGCAGGGTAGGTACTCGGATAGAGGCAGGGACGACCCAAACTCCATCTTCTGCCCTGGCCCAGCTAGAGCCTTCGTGATCCGAAGGCAGGCCCGCCTTTTGTGCTGATCACGTTTACTGTTGCTCTCCCCTCCCTATGTCCCCCAAACTTGGCTGAGGCTGAGGTAAGGGTGGAGGGGTGGGAGTCATGGCCTCCCTTTTGCCTGGTCTGGTCTTGCCCAGACAGCAGGCCTAGCCCAGCAGGCAGCTTCAGGCTTGCAGGATGCTGAAGGGGTGCTGGGGAGGGGTGTGTGGGGAAGAGGAGCCTCCACCCCTCCACCAACACCACCTCACATCTTCCCCTCGTAACTTTGCCCTCACCCAACCGCAGAGACCTCCACAAAATCTGTAAGAGGCTGTGAACAACACTCCCAGCCAAACATAACTTTTTTGAGAAGGCAATCCATGCCCTCTGCTTGTGTTGGTATCACCCGGGTCTTTCTCTGGTCTGTCCGGGGCTGGCATGAGGCTGCAGCCAGTGAGGCACTGAGGCCACTCACTCTTGGAGCCACGCAAGTGCCAGCCTTGAGCCTGTGTCCCCCCGGTCATGAGAATGAAAGCCCGTGGGGTTAGGGACATCTTCTGAGCCAAATCTTTAGTGTCTGAAACACATGCCTGATTGAGATCTGAGTTGTTGAACTTGGTTCTCTAAGGGGATTGTCCATTGTACTTGGCAGAGTAAACATCCCGAGTGGTCCTCACAGCCTTGAGGAGCACAGAAAGGTGGGTGGGTGGATGGGTGGGGGAGCCAGCAGGGGAGGTGCTGGGAGGGGCAGTGGAGAGGGAGGGCTGTGCTCCCAGCTTGTGGGGGCCTAAGGACTTTCTATCTGAGCCTTTTGCTTTGTTCATTCATTCATTTCAGTTCTGGCCTCAGGCTTAGGAGTGATTTGTACAGGTGGCAGGAAAGAGCCAGAGGACCCCCACAGGCCTCGGCCCTGGGCTACTAGGGAGGGAACTGAGGCCTAGAGGCTGTAAGCAAGACTGCGAGCCCTGGGGGCCCAACTATGTCCATCCTGGCCATGCCGCACCCCTAGTCCCAGCACAGGGCTGGCTGGGCACACAGAAGTTTCCCCAAATAGATATATTTGAACCAGCATCAAGAAACTTAAGGGATTGGGCATGGTGGCTCATGCCTGTAATCCCAACACTTTGAGAGGCTAAGGTGGGAGGATCGCTTGAGCTCAGGAGTTTGAGACCAGCCTGGGCAACATAGCGAGACCTCATCTCTACCAAAAATAAAAAAAAATTAGCTGGGCATGCTGGTGCGCACCTGTAGTCCCAGCTACTTGCTTGAGTCAGGGAGGTCAAGGCTGCAGTGAGCCATGATGGCGCCACTGCACACTAGCCTGGGCAACAGAGCACTGTACACACACACGCACACCCCCAAGGAAGAGGAGAATTGAGTGCAGAGTTGTGGGTATTAGTTCAGTCATAAATGGGGACAGGAGTGGAAATGGTCTACAATTAAAAATGCATGAAAAGGCCAGGTGCTGTGGCTCATTCCTGTAATCCCAGGACTTTGGGAGGCCGAGATGGATGGATTGCTTGAGCCCAGGAGTTCAAGACCAGCCTGGGTGACATGGGGAAACCCCATCTCTACCAGAAATATAAAAAATTAGCCAGGTGTGGTAGTGCATGCCCATAGTCCCAGAAACTCAGGAGGCTGAGGTGCAAGGATCGCTTGAGCCTGGGAGACAGAGCCTGCAGTGAGCTATAAGTGCGCCACTACACTCCACCCTGGGTGACAGAGCAACACCCTGTCTCAAACAACAACAAAATTATGTAGAAGAATGGACATGGTTTCCTTTCAAATTTAGAAGTCTAAGCAAAGCTCTTAAAAGGGTACTCGCTTGTGAAAGGCAGTAAACTAATGGGAAAAGCAGGATCCAGGAGAGCCAACAGTACTGTGGAGGTTGTAAGTGTCTTTTTCAGCGCCTCTGCTTTCAGCTTTACAGGAATCACACGTGTCGTGCATATTTCTGTGAATCTCAAACCGACGCAGGGCTGGGGAATATGGTTTCCTTCTGTTTGAGTTATGTAACTGGGAGGACTCCAGGAACCAGTGACTCACAGTTCCCCGGGAGTGTCAGTGACGCATCGAAGGAGGTTTCCCAAGAAGCGACAGAGGAAATATCTTTTGGAAGGCCTCTGAAGACAGGGCTCTTTCTGTCTTTCCCTTTGACTGGGTGGTAGATTCGGATCAGCTTTGCAGCCCACGCGGGGTCGGGGATCACTTTCTGAAAACAAGTTGCCCACTTCCTACAGGTAGAGACACAAGCTGCGGGGCGGGGGTGGGGATGAGTAAGGATGAAAGGGAGGGGGTGGTGTAGGACCCCCCTTCTTCTTTTGAACAGGCCGGGGTGGGCTCCACACCTGCAGGCTACTTCCCACTGAAAGGAAGGGGGCGGGGGGAGGGGGGAACACCAGTGCTGCTCCCAGACCCATTAAGGTCCACAGAAAAACACAGAAAAGGAAGTACTATAGATGTTCTCCTTCAGGGCAGAGAACCCAGGCTCACCTAAGGTTGCTGGAGTGCAGCCCACCCCTGCCACGAGCCCAGCCCCATGTGAACTTCCAGACAAGTAAATGCAATTGCAAATGTAGCTCGCCCAAAGTCTACAGCTGGTAAAGACCCAGGCTGTGCTGTCTGGCCACCTCGGACCTGCCTCACCGTGATTTCCATGGTTCAGATTTTTTTAATTTATGAATAAATCTTTCGTTTGTGGATATTTTTATTGATTCCAATTTCTTATTATAACAATGGCCAGAGGTTCTTTTTTTCCAAACTTTTAATTGCTTTTTCCCCAACTACAAAAGTAATACATGATGTAAAAATTCACACAAGGAACTGTACAAAGCAGAAGTGGAAATTCCGCAGAGTAACTGCAATTAACAGCTGAAAGTAAATCCTTACAGACCTTTTCCTGTACATATACAAACAAATATACCCGGAGGCCTTGATTTATTATTAGAGAAAAAAGATCAAATCTGCAGAACAATATTAGAAGATGTAATTTTCTATATTCTCTATTTTATGTATTATATTCTCAAGATTTCAATTTTATGTTTTAAAAAATATGGGAAGAAAAAAAAACAAGAAACTTTTTAGAAAAAATTTATTTTTGAGACAAGGTCTGTCTGTGTTGCCCAGGCTGGAGTGCAGTGGCGTGATCACAGCTCACTGCAGTCTGAAACTCCTGGGGTCAGGAGATCCTCCCACCTCATCCTCCCTAATAGCTGGGACTACAGGCAAGCACCACCATGCCCAGAAAAAAATTTAAAAATTTTTTGTAGAGTCGAGGTCTTGCTATGTTGCCTAGGCTGCTCTCAAACTCCTGAGCTCAAGTGATCATTCTGTGTGGGCCTCCCAAAGTACTGGGATTACAGGCGTGAGCTGTAATCCCATGTGCTTGCTGAAGAAACTTCCAAATACCAATTTTACACATTTCTACAATGTTCTGTACTTGGATTTTAAAAAGTCTCTTTCTTGAAGTATAATTTACATCTATATCCATAGCTCTAAAGTCAACATATCTGAGTGTACAGCTTGATGACTTTTACTAATGAAACACACTCATATAAGTGATTCCCAGATTGAGAAGCAGAAATGCTCACCTTCAAACCTCATGCTCCCTCCTAATGACCACCACTGGACCAAGGGTAACTGTATCCTAACTTCTAACAACATATATTTGTTTTGCTTGTTTTCTTTTGTGCTTGAATTTTAACAGTGACTACATATTGTGCCATATATTGTATTAAGAATAATCTATACAGATGTTTTAAAAATATATGCATTTGTCATAACCATCATTTGATATCAGCATATATGGATCTAGCTCATTCCTTAGCAGCCGCCTAAACCCCCTTATTAGACTGTGTCTGAATTTATCTGACCAGTCCCTTTTGATGGACATTTGGATTATTTCCCATTTTTAGCTAGTAAGCAACACTAGAAGGAACAATCTGATGCGTATTTCTTTGTGCATGCCACTTTTTGATGTATTTCTTTCAGATAAATGCCAACAAGTGGAATTGCTAGTCAAAAGATAGCTGGATGGAGTTTGGGGGGCATATTTCATCATAATGGCCCTATAGAGTGTAGTAGCAGCTCAGCTCCTTCTTCAAACAAAGGTCAGGTGCTGGGTGCAGACCTTCTCACCGCAGCCCCCACCATTGGCAGCCCAGCCTGCTCCAGCTCCCTGGGCAGCCGGAGCTGAGCCCGCCTCGGCAGGTGCCTGCTGCACAGAAAACTGACAGAGGAGCGCAAACCACCCCTGCCCCCAGCCCAACCCCATGAGAACTTGTGAACAAGTACATGCAATTGCAAAGACAGCAGCAGGGAGACGGTCAAATTTCAAAGCCTGCAGTGGGACAAGAGGCCTTGTGGCCTGTTCTTACTTCCGCTGTGCACTGGGTGTGAGCCTTCAAGGAGGGCAGACCATGTGCACTGCAGGCCTTAATCTCTTATTTGTTTGTGATGGGCCGGGTGAGGGGCCCACCTGAAACACGAACCCTAGAGGAGTCTGGTCCAGCTGACCCCAATTCTTTCACCCCTCCCCTCAGCCTTGGAAGGCAGCCTGTCCCTTGTCCTCAGAGCTGATGGGCAGAGCTTTTGTTTCTTTTGAACACCTCTTGCTGAGGCAGGAGTCTAGGGTCTGGGGGCAGGGAATCTAAGGCCAATTCGTGCTGAATCAAGGAGAAACATCTATGTCCGGGGGCAGGGAATCTGAGGCCAATTTGTGCTGACTTCTCAAAGCTGGATCAAATGGAAAACACCTGGGTCTGGGGGCAGGGCATCTAAGGCCAATTCGTGCTGAATGAAGGAGAAACACCTACGTCTGGGGGCAGGGAATCTGAGGCCAATTTGTGCTGACTTCTCAAAGCTGGAGCAAACGGAAAACACCTGGGTCTGGGGGCAGGGCATCTAAGGCCAATTAACATACACCAAAAGGAAAAACCCCATCTCCCCACACTGAGTAACCAAGGATCAAAGGCTACTCTCCCTACAACCCTCCCCCTTCCACTGCATCTCAGATGGAAAGGGAGACGGCCCTGGATTGACCACAGACCAAGCACGGGCCATCCCTTCATCCGCATAGGGCGTCAATTCACCTCAGCCTTTCATTAGCCATGGACCAAATCCTTCACCCAGATAAGGGGTAGCCAACAGGTACCTCAAAAGGGGTACTTAAAACCCAGAAAACTTTGCAATTGGGCCCATGGGCTATCTGCTTAGGGTCCACTCCTACCATGTGGAGTGCTTTCTCACTTCAATAAATTCTTCCTTTTGCTGCTTTTATTCCTTTATTACTTTGTATGTTTTGTTCAGTTCTTTGTTCAAAATGCCAAGGACCTGGACAACTTACACTCAAGGCCCTCCTTCCGGTAACACTGCATCTATGCCTTTCTAACTCCACCCACCACACCTCATTCTGCTGCGGCCGCACCCCAGATGCCAGGAGAAGGTCACACTGCCCCTTCCCCAGAGTCGTCTTTCCTTTCCTGTTTTTTTTGTAACATTTCTTACATTCTGTGGTTGTCACAGGTAACTGAACATAACCTGATTTGTCAATGTCCTTCTTTGAGCTGGCCAGGAAAAGCAGGTGAGGCTGGATTCTCCCTGGACCTGGACGTGGTGCTTCTGTTA
Organism: Homo sapiens; assembly: GCF_000001405.40. Classification (NCBI taxonomy): domain Eukaryota; kingdom Metazoa; phylum Chordata; class Mammalia; order Primates; family Hominidae; genus Homo; species Homo sapiens. Next base: position 86,841,043 of record NC_000002.12, read on the forward strand.
ATGCAGCCTCAGGTTGCAGTGTTTTATGGTGCAATAGCTCCTAGGCTGCTAAAGCTCAGGTAGGGGCGGCTAAGATGGGTCTCAGGCACTTTTTCAAACCCAGGCACGAGGTCCTGCTCTTCACTCTCCACTCCTGCTCAGCACTTTCTCCTTGCTTTTTCCTTCTCCAACTGTCAAGGCTAAGAATCAATAAGAAAATGAAGAGACATGTGACAGAACCCCTCATGCCTCCTACCTTCTGTTTGGTGCCTGACTTGAAGCCAGGGATCCCTGCGGTTCAACCCGCGGTAGAAATGAACACGTGCTAGTTCAGCTTGGGAGTGGGCTGGGAGAGGGGCCTGAGGCACCTGCAGCCTGGCTCTGGGTGCCCTGGGCGCTTCCTAGCCTCTCTAGGACTCTCCACACCTACAACGTCGGGCAAATGAGGATCTCAGGTGCAAAAGGAGGATGTACAAATTTTCTCCTTCTGGTTTCTGTTCCACGGAGCACTGATGTCTTTGCTGTAGATGGGCTTTCGCACGTTTATGTCACAGGAGCCGTTTGTTATCTTTAACCTGGGACTTTATTTGTACAACTAAGACATTTGTATAAAACAAACAGAAAATGAAAGAAGCATTAAGCCATGGGAGAGTAGAAATGGGAGCTGAGAAACTTAAGAGTAGAAATGGGAGCTGAGAAGATGAAGTGAACTCCTATCCTCAAACCCGCAAGTTCCCGGCCCCAAAGGAAGCCCTCAGAGACTGATATGCCTTCTGGGAACTGGACAGCCCCTCTCAGCAAGCCTCATTCCCAACCTGCACCTGGCCTCTCTGCGAGGAAGGTCAGCCCCAGCCTGGGAAGACCAAGAGGGAGCCAGCCCAGCATCACCCCATGAAAGACCCAGGACCCAATGTTACTGCCCTACCAGGGCAAAGCAACCTGCAAAGATGGTGGCTAAATGGCCACCACTAAAGGTCCCAGTTCAGGGAAAGCACAGGAGCCGGAAGCGGTGGCATGGGCAGCATTTCTTACTCAGTCCTCCAGCACACTCTGTGAAGTGCCCTGGGGGCAATGAAACCTTCTCCCTAGTATTCCCGATGACCCACGAACAAGTTGCTCCCATGCACATCACACACAGAAAGGCCTTGCAGCAGTGAAAAGCAGGCAGCTTCAGCAGCCATTGAACTCTCCAGGGTTGAATGTGTCCCTTCTCTCATTTTTCCACATCGTGCTCGTTACTGACCGATGTCTTTTTGTAGCAGGACACCAAAACCGTATTCTCTGCTCATTTGTAAAATCTGAAAACAACAGCAAGTTGTGAAACCACTTATTTTCAGGCAAACGATATTGAATTTCCTGTAACAGAGACAAATGGCAAATGAGAATGCAGAGTTCTACTCCAAGTAGCCTGGGGCCGAGAGTTTTTTGTTAGTATGTTTCTAGGGCCCATCTTAGTCATTAAAAAGATTGTTAAGGCTAAAAAACAAAACAAAACAAAACTGCAGCTCAAAGAACGGTAGCTTTGAATTGGGTTACTTCCTGTAGTACCTCTAAGATAATCTAAGAGAATCACAAATTTATATCAAGGGGCCAGAAGAAATTAGCCTGCAGATGGGATGATTTTCTAAGGACAGTTAGAGGCTGGGGAACAACTACCTCAAATCGCAACTCAGATCTGTGAGCACCACAGGCTATTTCCTCCATGCCTGGATCATGAGAGCAAAACCAGAGGTGGTTTTCAAGCTTTTTTGAAGCCACAAACCCTTTTGTTCAAATGACATGTTACAGGTAAGTGTAAACCCAGACAATAGAAGAGAGTACGTCTGTTCAAAATGAAGAGAGTGAGGAGGTCTCAGGGTCCCCCCACGACCACCCAGAGCCCCTTCCCTGCCTCAAGCTGATCCTGGGCTTGCAAAAGCATGAGGTCCTGCATCCAGCCTCCCCAAAACTGGCATCAGATCACTGGGGAGCAAGTTAAAATGAAGGGGTGGGGACAGACCCAGACCACAGTTAGTACCAGAGAGGGACTTACTTTCCATGAAAGGTCATCATGGGAGACATTTTGAAAGGAACTTTCTTTTTTTTTTTGAGACAGAGTTTCACTCTTGTTGCCCAGGCTGCAGCGGAATGGTGTGATCTCTGCTCATTGCAACCTCTGCCTCCGGGGTTCAAGTGATTCTCTTACCTCAGCCTCTCGAGTAGCTGGGATTACATAGGCGCCTGCCACCACGTCCAGTTAATTTTTTGTATTTTTAGTAGAGATGGGGTTTCACCATGTTGGCCAGGCTGGTCTCAAACTCCTGACCTCAGGCGATCTACCTGCCTTGGGCCTCCCAAAGTGCTGGGATTACAGGCTTGAGCCACTGCACCCGGCCTTGAATGGAACTTTCTAGAGGTCTGGCCTGAGACAGCTACACTCAAGTTATTATCTCTTGGGTAGGGGGCAGCTTCTAAATCCAACACACAAGGTGAAAATTGTACACAATTAAAATATCATTGAAAATTGCCCATAAAATCCAGCAGGCATGTTTAAGCCACTCTCGATATAAATATAATGTGTACAACAATGCAGAGCATATAGTAATATGAATTTATATGGCTATTTACAATTTTAGAGTATTCAAAAATACATTTTGTTTGTCCATTGCTGCACTTGCAGAGTGGAATTTACTGAAGTGACTTGAGCTTGTGCTCTGACTCCGGGGTCCTGGGGCCACATGCTTTAAGGATAATACCCCAGTGAGTCCTCACACTGACTGTGAGATTGGCACTGTTAGCTCATTTAACAGACGAGAAATCCGAGACTTGGAGACGTGAAGTGACTTGCTGGCTGTCACATGGTGATTGGCAGACGGGATTCAAACCCAGCCCTGTCTCCACCTAAAGCTGGAGCTTTTGAGCAGGAGAACCTGTTGCCCTCTTCAATTTAGAGTTGTGTACTTTTGCTCCCCCAAACATTTCTGTATAGAGGGGGTTGTTCTAAGGATCAAATGTAATTAACTGGATAGGCAGATGTGAAACAGTCTCTGTTGTGAGGAACAAAAATCAAATGCAGGAATGCTGCCCTGGCCCAGGATGGCTTCCAACAGCCTCATGAAAGACCCAGGACCTAATGTCACTGCCCTACCAGGGCAAAGCAACTTGCAAAGGTGGTGACTAAATGGCCACCACTAAAGGTCCCAGCCCAGCCCAGGGTAAGTACAGGCTCTTTCTCAGCTTAGTGGGCCCCAAGAGTGCTATGTGACTCTGTCAACTCCTGGGACCCAGATGGGGTCGAGGGCAGCAGGTGGGACAAAGGCAGCTCCTAGGGAAGGAAAGCAATGGCTGGTAGAAGAGGCTGGTCTTCAAATCCGATTCCAGTAGTCTCTCCACTGATCTGTCAAATGAGGGTGATAACCCCTTATCTCACACAGTACCAAGGGGATGAAATAATAGGTGGGATGAAATAACGGATGGGATGAGTTTGGGATACTCTGCGGTATTCTGTGCATGCAAAGCCTGATTGCTCTCCTCAGGAGAGCTAAGAATGTTCTTGAAATACATTTAACTTACTGGTCAGGTTTTTGTTTGTTTAGGTTATCTCTTAGGTTCCTGAACTCTATCACCCCATCTATTTATACAGTCTGTAATTTTTTTTTTTAGATGGAGTCTCACTCTGTTGCCCAGGCTGGAGTGCAGTGGTACCATCATAGCTCACTGCAGCCTTGAACTCCTGGGCTCAAGTGATCCTCCTGCTTCAGCCTCCCGAGTAGCTGTGACTACAGGTGTGCACTACTATGCCCGGCCGAGTCTATGATCTTTGGAAGATGAGGTCTGACTTTGGCTCCTCGCTGCAGTTAGAGGCTGCAAGCTGCAGCAGGGGCTGAGGAACCCAAGGCCACACCCAGGTTATACACTTACTGTTTCATGAAACGAAGCCGGGCTCTCCTCCGCCGGCCTGGAAGAGGAAAGCAAGGGCGCCAGTCAGTGTGGGCTGTGGGTCACTGCGCTGAGCCCCAGAGGCCAAGGAGGATTGTCACAGGGGCAGCTGACACCTCAGCCCACCTCCCTGGTCCCAGACCCTGGCCCAAACACTTTACACATTTTAATCCCCTTAATGCTCACTGAAAACCTGAGTTGGATACTACTTTTAAGATCTCCATTTTATATGTGGGAAACTGAGACACAGAGTGAGTGAATTACTGGATAACATGCCCAAAGTCATGCAGCTAGTAAGTGGGAAAGCCAGAATTCAAACTCAATTAGTCAGCTGCAGAGTCTGTGTCCTTAAACACACCTGCTTGCCCTTCACAGCAGGTCAGACATGAAAGGTCCCAGAGACAGGCAGTCTCAGGCTAGGGCAATTGCATTCAGAGGGTGAGCGAGATTTCCCACTGGGAGTTAGGAAGAAAATAAAAGCATGTCTATTGACATTTGTATTTCAGCCTTTATTACTTTTGATTTTCATTTATTTTTTTAGGAATGGGGTCTTATTATGTTGTCTAGGCTAGACTTGAACTCCTGGGCTCAAGTGATCCTCCCTCCTCAGCCTCTCGAGTACGGGCACTTGCCACTACACCCAACTTACTTTTCATTTTGAAGCACATTTAATAACATACATAAAATATTAAATAAGTAAATACAGCCAACTGCTGCATTTACTTTATAATATTCAATTAGCTGTATTCGCTTATTTAATATTTTATGCATGTTATTAAATGTGTTTCAAAATATTTTACCAATGAGTTCCTTCCTTGATCGAGAGAGTTTGCAAACCACTGAAATTTATGGGTTTCTTAGAATGGGGTACATGGGCCCCTCTGTGGGGAACAATTGTAGGCAAAAGTATGCTCCTGGGTGCATTTCTGTGGGGAGAGGTCCGTTATTTTCATCGTATGTTCAAAGGGGTCTGTGACCTACAAAAGTTAAGAGCCACTGATCTAGTTCATGCCCTTGCTGTCCCACCTGCCCATTTCATAGATGCGCAGAGAGGGGAAGGGGCTTGCTCGAGGTGGCACAGGTGAGCAGAAGAACCGGGGTAGAGTCTGGGCTCTGGGCTCTAGGGCAGCCATGCAGGCCTCCCCTCTGGCTCCCCGTCTTTCTTGTGAACCCAGTGCTGTGCAGAGCTTGGGGTGGGGGCCATAGAAGGAGACAGTCCCGTCTCTGGGGTGGCTGGGAGCAGCAGTCATTTCTGTTTCCCACAGCCTCATCAATATCGGTGTCGTGGAGAGGATTTCTAGCTTCTAGGAACACAACACAAACCCCATAGGCAAACTTTTCTGGACACTGGGCTTTGGTCTCAACTGCTCACGTGAGTTCCCACTCACTGACACGTGCCGGGTGCCAGGCATTTGGGGTAGGAATTTACAAACAGCAACTCTGGGAGGTAGCTAATGTCCTACCCCCATCTGAGGCAGCCGAGGCTCAGAGAGACCGGGGCACTGGATCAGGAAACAGCCACGTTGCACTCAAACCCAGGTTTGCCTGACTCCAGGGACAGGGTAGTCTTTGGTTTTGGCTGCGTAGCCCCAGGCCAAGAACTACCTCTGGAAATACCGTAGGTTCTCTGAGGCAAATTCCCACCAGGCTGCCATCTGCTCTGCTCCCCTAGAGAAGAAAATATCCCAGGGACACTTCAAACAGCAAACAGGGACACCCAACAACCCAAGAGGAGACAACTCACAGCACAGGTGGATGGCCACTCCCAGGGAAACCAGCAGAACCAGGACGCCAGCCACCAGCAGGCCAAGGGTGATGGGGCTACAAAGTGGGCCTGGAAAACACACATGTGACATGTGTTCAACACGGAACATTTTTCTGCATGAGACACGCAGAAAAATACAAGGAGCGAAAAATTCAACTGGAAGCCCCACCTCCCAGAGAATACCACCATTTGTATTTCGATGTAATGTATTTTTCCTCAAGTATTTTTTTTTTTTTTTTTTTTTTTTTTTTGAGACAGAGTCTTGCTCTGTCACCCAGGCCGGAGTGCAGTGGTGCATTCTCAGCTTACTGCAACTTCCGCCTCCTGGGTTCAAGGGATTCTCGTTCTTAGCCTCCCGAGTAGCTGGGACTACAGGCATGTGCCACCATGCCTGGCTAATTTTTGTATCTTTAGTAGAGAGAGGGTTTTATCATGTTGGCCAGGCTGGTCTCAAACTCCTGGCCTCAAGCAATCCGCCCACCTTGGCCTCCCAAAGTGCTGGGATTACAGGCCTGAGCCACCATGTCCGGCCATCGTCTAGTCTTTGTAAGCACTTTAAACATTATTGAAATCATTTTATTATAAAATTTCATGTCCCACATTCAAATTTTTAAGAAGTAGACAATTTTCATGCCTGGTAATGAGTCTTTTACTATTTATTTTTAAAACTTTTAATTTCACAAGAAATAGCTGAATATATTTTCATTGTAAGACATTTAAATATAGGATTAGAGTGCTCCCTGACATCTTTGCTCCTTCACAGAATTAATCACCACTGATAATTTAGTAACTTTCTCTTTCCATGCCTATGTAATTTTTATATATACATATAGGGTTTGTTCGTTTGTTTGTTTGTTTTGACACAGAGTCTCGCTCTGTCACACACAGTCTCGCTCTGTCGCCCAGGCTGGAGTGCAGTGGCGCAATCTTGGCTCACTGCAACCTCCGCCTTCTGGGTTCAAGCGATTCTCCTGCCTCAGCCTCTCAAGTAGCTGGGATTACAGGCGTCCGCCGTCATGCCTGGCTAATTTTTGTATTTTTAGTAGAGACGGGGTTTCACCACGTTGGCCAGGATGGTCTCAATCTCCTGGCCTCAAGTGATCCACCCGCCTCAGCCTCCCAAAGTGCTGGGATTACAGGTGTGAGCTACCGCAACTGGCCTTAAATACATATAGTTTTAAAAAATATATAGAGTGGATTATACTGTACAAATTGTTCTTTTGTACCTTTATTTTTTCAACGTGCCTTTTTTCCTTCACTTAGTCAATGTGTTCTTTCTTCCAGCAGAGTAACATCTGACAGCATGGATGTACCATGAGTTACTTGTCATCAGTGGGCCTTTTGATTGTTTCCTGTGTTTTACTTTTACAAATAACTCTGCAGAAAACAACCTGTATATTTCCTTACAAAGGCACCTTCCTGAGGTAAATACTGAGAACGGGAACTACTAAACCACAGACTTTGCCCATTTTAAATTGTGACAGATGCTGTCAAATGCCTCCCTAAAAGGCGGCACTGACTTCCGTCCCCACCCACCAATAGTGCACCTTGCTGACCCTTGATATCATCAAAATGTTTTAGTTTTTGCCAGTCAAGTGGGGAAAAATGTTATTTCACTTAAATTCCCTAATTTCTTATAAGCTTTGGCCTATTTTCATATATTGGGAACTTGTATGATTTTTCTTCTACGAGTTGACTATCTGTTCCTTTGTCCATTTTGTGTGCTATTTAAACAGCAGACTTTACACTATCAATGTCCCAAATCCTCCTCTGACACCCTTCAGGCCCCTGTGGCTGGTCCCTTGAGTAGCTGAGGGGCAGAGCAGGGCCCATGGGTGAAAGGGCAAGGCTGCAGATTTGGGCTTGAGGTTCGGAAAATTGGAAAGCATTGTGGATGTCAAGGAAGAGAGAGAATTTTTACTGAATACATATGTGCTAAGTACATACTAAATGCAAACTCCCATCTTGTGAGGAAGAAAGGTATTGGTATTTTTAAATTATTTATTTATTTATTTATTTATTTATTTTTGAGACGGAGTTTTGCTGTTGTTGCCCAGGCTGGAGTGCAATGGCAAGATCTGGACTCACCGCAACCTCTGCCTCCTGGGTTCAAGCGATTCTCCTTTCTCAGCCTCCTTAGTAGCTGGGATTACAGGCATCTGTCACCACACCTGGCTGATTTTTGTGTTTTTAGTAGAGATGGGTTTTCACCATGTTGGCCAGGCTGGTCTCGAGCTCCTGACCTTATGTGATCCACCTGCCTTGGCCTCCCAAAGTGCTGGGATTACAGGTGTGAGCCACCGTGCCTGGCTTGCCATTATTTTTACCTCTCATTTCACAGTTCAAAAAACAAAAACAACAAGATTCAAAGAGGTTAAATTATATAACCAAGGTCACCCAGCTACTAAAAGGCAGGACCAGGGTGTGGACACAGATCCTCCGAGTTCCAAGCCCCTGTGGGTCCCACCTCAGCTGCATGAGGGCATGAGAGGTACAGGAGGGAAGGGAGTGGGCTGCTACATGGGTGGCAGCCCACTGTCACTAGAGGGGAACAAGCCAAGGCTGGATGGCTGGGGTGTGGAGAGGAGATTCATACACGGACAGGGAGGCTGGATGAGGGGCCCCTCTGAGATGCTGAGGGCATCTGCTGGGCTCCCTCTCACCTCCTATTTGTTCTCCCAACCTGGATGAACCTCAAAACATGGTGCTAAGTGAAAGAAGCCAAGCATGAAAGACCCCATGGTGTGTGATTCCACTTCTATGAGATGCCCTGGGGAGGCAAATCTGCAGAGGTAGACGGTAGATTAGTGGCTGCCAGGGGCTGGGAACAGAGATGAGCTGTGAACAAGCACAGGGAATCTTACTGGGGTGATGGAAACCTTCTAAAACTAGATTACGGTAACGGTCGCCCAACTTGGTAAATTTACCCAAAATCATTGAATTTGTATGCTTAAAATGGGTGAACTTTGCGGTATGCAAATTATATCTCAACTAAGGTGTTTTTTTTTTTTTTTTTTGAGACAGGGTCTTGCTCTGTCGCCCAGGCTGGAGTGCAATGGCGTGATCTCGGCTCACCACAACCTCCGCCTCCTGGGTTCAAGCGATTCTCCTTCCTCAGCCTCCTAAGTCGTTGGGATTACAGGTGCCCACCACAATGCCCAGCTAATTTTTGTATTTTTAGTGGAGACGGGGTTTCGCCATGTTGATCAGGCTGGTCTCGAACTCCTGACCTCAGGTTATCCACCAGCTTTGGCCTCCCAAAGTGCTGGGATTATAGGTGTGAGCCACCATGCCTAGCTCAACTAAGTTTTTAAAAACTGTAATGGAGGTGGGTGCAGGTCACAGGGATGTACAGGGCGGCACGGCTCCTTCCTGAGGAGAGGTCATGGTTAAGACCACTGTGGAGGCCAGCAATGTAGCTACAGGTCTCCTCTGGAGCACTGTCTCCCATCCAAAATTTGACTCTCCGGGAAAAGCTGCTGCTGCAAATAACGTGCTTGGGTAAGGGGCCATTTGCCAGAGCCACACCAACGACACCCCCAGCCCAGCCTTCCTCATCTTACCGGGGCCTCAGGGTCTCCTGAGCTCTGGATCTGCACTCTGCTCCTGAGTCTATGGTTTAGAAATGGTCCCCCAGCACCTAAGGGTGTTGTCTTAGGAACAGACCTAAGCCTCAAGGGGCAGTGCCTTCTCAGTGACCCCATGGGTTTCATTCATGATAACAGGCTTTGAGGTCTGTGTGGACGCCCCACAAGCTCTGAGTGCCTGGTGTATAATAGCATCTCATTTAGCCCTGCATCCCCCATTTTACAGACAAGGAAACTGAGGTTCATAGAGGCTGAATCACCTATTCAGTGTCTCATAGTACAGGCAGTGGTAGACAGAGATTCAGACCTAGGCCTGACTGACTTGCCACTAGGCTACACTGACCCAGGGCCACTCTCCTCAGTGTAACCTCCACCTACTTTCCCCACACCCATCCCCAGCCTTACTCCACTAGGTCACCTTCACACACATCCGGGTTATTCTTAATAACCTATTAATGTTTGGTTTGCATTTTGCCCTGGGAATTTACTGAGGGTTAGTACAAGAAATGATGCAAGAGGCCAGGCGTAGTGGCTCACGCCTGTAATCCCAGCACTTTGGGAGGCCAAGGCAGGTGGATCACCTGAAGTCAGGAGCTCAAGACCAGCTTGGCCAACATGGTGAAACCCTGCCTCTACTAAAAATATAAAAATTAGCCAAGCGTGGTGGTGGGCACCTGTAATCCCAGCTACTCTGGAGGCTGAGGCAGGAGAATCACTTGAACCTGGGAGGCGGAGGTTGCAATGAGCTGAGATCACGCCACTGCACTCCAGCCTGGGCAACACAGTGAGACTCCATTTCAAAAAAAAAAAAAAAGAAAGAAAGAAAAGAAATTATGCAAGAAATCTGAAGACCTTTGTTTTTGCCATCATTTATAAAAGTATGACTGAGTTTGCCGTCATTCAGCTGTCCTTACATGAAGATGAATGGGCAGATTGCTTCTCGAATTTAGTGCTAGGATGAAGGTTTCTTCTTTTGGTGGCAGGTTGTTTCTTTCTATCACTGGGGTTGGGGTGCCATACAACTTGGGGTCTTCCCTTTGTTTAAACTGATGTTGCCGGGTTCTCCACAGCCGTAGCACACAACCGGTTCTTGCGCCCTCATCTTAGTGGCTCTATTGTATTTGCCTTTTATATCCTTTTTATGGTAGTCTGCCTGAAATCGTTTAGGTGAAGGGGTCAGGGCATGGGACTTTATAAAATAAGGTTACTCTTAAGCTCCTTAAGACTTTACTCTTCTGTACATTGGTTCTGATTTTCTTTTTACTGTGACCTCATGTGACGGCAGCTTCCCACCCTGGTCTCCCAGATCCTATTCAGTGCCGTCCTCAATAATTTCTGGTGCTTAAAATATTTAAGACAAAGCAAACTGAGCAGTGCGAGGCAGTGCTCCAGGGGCTGCTTGTGGTTTGTTTTCTGGGTAGCAGCAGATGGCACTTTCTGTTTGTCACCAGTGACTTTTGCTGGGCTGAGGTCAGTATTTTTCCAGAAACACGTTTGGGCTGATGGGTTTAAGGAAAACGTGTGCATGGGCATGTGTGTCTGTGTGTGTGTGTATGTGGCATACACTCCAGCTGAGGTGTCTGGTGTAGCATAGAGAAGCAAATGTGTTCATTTGCAAACAAACATGTATTCATGAACTAGCACATACTGTGTATTAGGTCCTCTGTTAGGTATTAAAACTGGAAACTTTTTTTTGAGACAGGGTCTGGCTCTATCACCCAGGCTGGAGTGCAGTGGCAGGATCTCAGCTCACTTCAATCTCCACCTCCCAGGCTCAAGGCATCCACCTCAGCCTCCTGAGTAGCTGGGACTACAGGCATGTGCCACCACGCCCAGCTAATTTTTTTACATTTTCGTAGAGACAGAGTTTCACCGTGTTGCCCAGGCTGGTCTCTAACTCCTGAGCTCAAGGCGATCCACCCATCTGGGCCTCCCAAAGTGCTGGGATTACAGGTGTGAGCCACCACATCTGGCCAAAACTGGAAAAGTTTAAAGTGCTGGTCCTTTGAGTGGATTTTTTGTTTGTTAACAGCTTTATTGAGTTATAATTTACGTATAAAGTCCCCTTGTTTAAAGTGTACAATGTCATGGTTTTTAGTGTATTCATGGAGTTGTGCAACCATTATCATAATGTAATTTCAGAACATTTAAATTCCCCTAAAAAGAAACCTTATACCCATTAGGAATCACTCCCCATTTCTTTCCCAAGCCCCCAGCCTTAGGCAGCAACCAATCTACATTCTGTCTCTACAGAGGATCATATGCTGGATATTCCATAATCATGGAATCATATAGTATATGGATTTTTGTGACTGGCTCCTTTCATTTTATTCTTTATTATGGCCAAACAATATTCCACGATAATAAATAAGCCACATTTTGTTAATCAGCTCATTAGCTGGTGGATGTTTGGGTAGTTTCTGCTTTTGGCTAGTATGAATAATGAAGCTATGGACATTTGTGTGCAGGGGTGTGGGTGGAGATCTCCTCCATTAAGCTTTGTCCAGTAACAATTTATGAGTCTGTCTCCCACGAGACTGTGAGTTGCTGGCACACTCAGCATCCTTTCTGACCCTAGCTTAGGCCGGGGAGATAGGCTCTAGAGTTGACACTTGGAAAGTGCCTGGGGAAGGAAGGAGGGGAGGGAGGGAGGGCAAGGGGATGTCTGCCTTGTTTCTGAGGGTGCAGAGGGATAGGGAACTCACCCTTCTGGGTCTCTGGCCTGGGTAACCGGCACACTCTCTTCTTGAGGGTGGACTTCTTGGTGGGCTGGGCAGTGGTGGGAAGGAAATCAACTACAGAAAGAAAGCAAGACACATATCTTAGCCAAGTGAACACCACGTGGACTCAAAGACAAAACTTTGTCTTATGGCGGGTGCGGTGGCTCATGCCTGGAATCCCAACACTTCCGGAGGCCAAGGCAGGAGATCATTTGAGCTCAGGAGGTTGAGACCAGCCTGGGCAACATGGTGAAACCCCCTCTCTACAAAAAATAAAAAGTTTAGCCAGGCGTGGTGGCATATGCCTACAGTCCCAGCTACCCAGGAGGCTGAGGTGAGAGGATCACCTGAGCTTGGGAAGTCAAGGCTGAAGTGAGCCATGATCATGCAACTGCACTCTGGCCTGGACGACAGAGCAAGACCCTGTCTCAAGAGCAAATAAATGAACAAATGAACAAAATTTGTCTTACATCCAAGTACTGAAGTCCTTATGACTGTTCCCCAGGCTGCTACAGGGCTTGAAGGTCACAGAGCAATAGAATGTTTGATCTGCTTTCTGAATTCTCAGATGTTGGGAAAGGGGTGAGGGCCTAGAGATGGGGTTCAGCTTGGTGTCCTGGAGAGAGGAAGGCTCTGGAGCCACACAGAACTGAGCAGAGCCTACACCTCTGATTTATTTATTTTTATTTATTTATTTATTTATTTATTTTTTGAGACAAAGTCTCGCTCTGTAGCCCAGGCTGGAGGGCAGTGGCACGATCTCGGCTCACTGCAACCTTTGCCTCCCAGGTTCAAGCAATTATCCTGCCTCAGCCTCCAGAGTAGCTGGGATTACAGGCACGTACCACTGCATTCGTCGTGCCACTGCATTCGTCGTGCCACTGCATTCGTCTAATTTTTTGTATTTTTAGTAGAGACGGGGTTTCACCATGTTGGCCAGGCTGGTCTTGAACTCCTGATCTCAGGTAATCCACTCACCTCGGCCTCCAAAAGTGCTAGTATTACAGGTACGAGCCACCGCACCCGGCCGACCTACACCCCTGATTAACCGCTGTGTGACTTGGGACAAGTCATAGCATTTTTCTGTGCCTTGATTTCCTTATCTGCTGAAATAATGATAACTGCCACCTCCTTCTTGGGATTATCTGAGAATGAAAGGGACAGTGTGTCCAAAAAAAGTTTCAGTAGATGTGGCTCCACCTGGCTGAAGACCTTGAGCCCCAGGGCTGGATCGCCCAGCCTTTGGCACAACGAGCCCCTCCGCCCAACTCGGCATTCCCTAAGCACATGGAGGAAGCTCATGGAAGGAGGGGGTGCCCTTTTCTGCATGTAGAGTACCACACAGGTGTCATATTTGGGGATTGGTTTTCCTTCTCAGATGGCCCTAAAATATATATATAATACCAGAGCTAAGGGAAGTTCAGTCTCAAACTTTAATTTCAAAGGTGAACGCCAGAGATGAGGGGAGCTGGCCCCTGCAGCCCCAAGTGGTGAGTGCTGTGTTGGGACCCCAAACCCCTGTCCTGACTCCTGGATGGGTCACCCCTCTCCTTCATTTTTACCCAGTGACCCCTGCTGAAGTGTTGGGAGGGGCAGTGGGCCAGCACCCAGAGCAAAGGAAGACAGCTGTGGCTCTGATGCCTACTGGGGATGAAGGGGGCACTGCTGGCCACAGAGTCCAACCCTTGCCTTTGTGGGTTAAGGAAACAGATCTCTCTGCACTGATTTTCTCCAAAATGGTAGGAGAGGGAGTAAGGAGACACCATGAACCTAAACTCTAGAGTCAGGGGGACAGAAAAAAAAAAAAGAAAAGAAAAGAAATATTAAGGCTGGGCGCGGTGACTCACGCCTGTAATCCCAGCACTTTGGGAGGCCGAGGCAGGCAGATCACCTGAGGTCAGGAGTCCAAGACCAGCCTGGCCAACATGGCAAAACCCTGTGCCTACTAAAAATACAAAAATTAGTTGGGCGTGGTGGCACGTGCCTGTAATCCCAGCTACTCAGGAGGCTGAGGCAGCAGAGTCGTTTGAACCTGTGAGGCAGAGGTTGCAGTCAGCCAAGATCCTGCCACTAAACTCCAGCCTGGGTGACAGTGACTCCGTCTCAAAAAAAAAAAAGGTTTTGGGGGGTTGTAAGGGGGAACAGGCAGGGGAAGCCCACAGATCAGTCATTTTTGGGCTGGCATCTTCTATATAAAAGTAGACATTTTAACCCCTCACCTCTCTGAGCCTCCTCTGGAAAGCGGAGAGAACACGATCTGTTTGTCTGCTTCAAGACATTGATGGGAAGAAGCAACTAGGATGAAAGTGCACTAAGCTCCAACCATGTGTGGGGAGCAGTGCTGAGCCTTTCAGCATAAGTTTACTGGACACAACAACTTTTGGGGCAGGCACTGTTGTCCCCATTTTATCCAGGAGGAAGCCTAGGCTCAGAGAGCTGAAATAATGTGTCCAAAGTTAGACAGCCACTGGCTGCAGAGCCAGTATCTGCACCAAAAGACCTTGATTCTAGAACCTGTGCTTCTCGTTCTGCCACACTACCTCACGTGCAAAGATTTTCTGACAAAAGTTGAACACTTTAGGTCCACCCAAGGCCCTGGGTCATCATAGTGCTGAGGGCAACTATTGTAAGAGGAAACTGTCATCAGCAGGGTCGGAGAGCGTGCAACGAGCCTGGCCCTCTCCTGGGAGTGTTGCCTCCTTCAATCCTCATGGCCCTAGAAGTAGTTCTGTTTGACTTATTTTCTACCCGAGGAAGCAGGGACGTCTTTCAGATGGTCAGTGGTGAGCCCAGAGGGGAGCCAACTCTTTGGGCCCTCAGTGCCTTGGCTGGGCACCGCCGCCTGGGTCTAGTGGGAGACTCAGGTTGGGGGACTGTTCTGTTTTAAATTCTTCTTGCCTAGAGCCAGGTCCCCCTGGATTCCTCCTGAGCACCCAGTTTAATCTCTCCCTCTCTGTTCTTAAAAGGAATAAAACTTCGAGCCCATGATATACTTAAGGGCCTGAAAAAGGCCCTGTCTTTCCCCAAACACTTTCTCAACCATCCCAGCTTTGTCCTCTAAAAGGCCTTTCTTGGGTGAGAAGGTGGGGTTCGGCTCCGAAGAAGGTCTGGTTGCAAGCCCTGGGGAGAAGCAGGTTTGGCTGCAAGCCAGAGCTGGAGAGAGGCATTGACATTCCTATAGTGCTGGGAGGGGTTTGGGGTTTGGAAACACGGAAGTCAGGAGTGAGTGCGGTTGGGATGGAGGCGGTGGGAAGCTCTGGAAACTAGCTGTGTTTATTGTACCCTCCACCTTCTCAGACTCTGAAATCTCATGAGTGGAAAGGTGTGGGGCTTACAGAGACAAAAACAATAAGCTAAAGCCAAACCCCAAACCCCAAACCCCAAACTCCCAAAGTCCATTTTTCAATACGAAAATCAGTGGACCCCCACGTGAAGGGATGCCTCAGCTTCTTGCCTGCAATACACCCTCCCAGGCTAGCAAGAGGTGGCGGGGCATCACTTTGGTTTGTGTCTTCCTAATTGTGCTGCTGTCCCCAGCTGCCCCTGCACTTCCTCACGCTGAGTGGTCTAATTTCTGGGTCCCCTTGTGGCTTTTAGTGCCCTCAAGTGAGCAGGAAGCAGGGCAGTGGGAGCCCTGGAGGGGGTTGGCTCCAGCCTTGGGCCAAGCTGGAGGTGGGGCTAGAGCCAGAGCCAGGCTGTGAGAGTTACCACCCATAACTAAATGCCTTCTGTCCAATATGCCACAGGTGCTGCTGAGCACATGAAATGTGGCCAGTCTGAATCGAGATGAGCCATATGTTTTATGTAAAATGCTCATCGAACACTTAGTATGAAAAATGAATGTAAAATATTTCAGCAATACTTTTTATATTGATTACATGTTGAGATGAAAATATAGTTAATAAATTGAGTTAAATATAACATTATTTAAATTAATTTTACTTGCTTCTTTTTGCTTTTTTAAACAAGACTTTAAAAATTTAGAATTTCATCTGTGGCTTGAAATGTGCGTCTGCTGGACTTGCTGACTTAAGTCAGAGGTCTGCAGCTTCTCTGGGATTAAGTGGGTCATGGAGGCCATCAGCACCCCCGTGTGACACAGAAGAGAACACTGAGGCCCAGGGGAGAAAGCATGGCAAGTTTGCAAGCAGAGCTGGGCCTGGCTCAGTCTCCTTACTAACTTCGACTCAGGTATGAATTCGAGCTGTAGGCCCTCACAGAGAACATAAGGGCACCTGCCCCTAGAAATGCCCTCACTGGGTATATCAGGGCAGTGAGGGCCTCCTTTCCCTGTGTGCACACTCTGGGGATTTCTAACACCACTATAAGGCCAAGGGGCTCAGCCCAATCCAGCCGTAGCTTTGAATGTCCCTGATGTGGCCTGAAGGACAGCACTGCCCTGTCCCCATAAGAAGAATAATGCCTGGCCAGGCATGGTGGCTCACGCCTGTAATCCTAGCGCTTTGGGAGGCTAAGGTGGGTGGATCACTTGAGGTCAGGAGTTCAAGACCCACCTGGCCAACATGGTGAAATCTCGTCTCCACTAAAAATACAAAAAATTAGCCAGGTGTGGTGGCTCATGCCTGTAATCCCAGCTACTCGGGAAGCTGAGGCAGGAGAATCACTTGAACCCGGGAAGCAGAGGCTGCAGTGAGCCAAGATCGCACCACTGCACCCCAGCCTGGGCAACACAGTGAGGCTCTGTCTCAAAAAAAATAATAATAATAAATAAATAAAAAAGAGAAGCACAATGCTCATCTCTGACTCTGGCCCGTCTCTTCTAGTTTCATCTTATTCCCACCTAAAGTGGTTAGGTAATAGACCTACCTTCCAGGGTGGTTGGCAGCATTAAGCAAGCTAACTATGTAAACACTTGGAGGGGCTTGGCCTGGGTAAGTCTCCACATGTTCTTTCTGTTACTATTAGCAGCAGTGCCATTAGTCACGGCTGCAGAGTGGGGCACACTGAAGCCTGGTGGTCCCAGTGCCTGGCACGTGCCTGGCACACAATCGGTGCTCACTGATAGCATTGAGCCTGCTTCTTACCCACACTCAGCTGAGTTCCCTTCCCGAAGGTCAGCTCGGGGCTCCCGACGATCATGCAGAAGTAGATGCCACTGTCTTCCGGCTTCACGCTTGTGAGATTGAGAATGAACCGGCTTGCATCCCGAAACACAGCTATCTTCTCCTGTTCCACCTCTTCACCGTGGATAGTCCCTTTTGCGGAATCCCAGAGGGCCAGGAACTCGTGGTGACTGTCACTGCTCGGTGCCTGGCGCTGTCTCAGCCAGTAGATGCGCATGTTACTGAGGGAGATTTTAGCCTCGCAGGACAGCATCACCATCTTGTTGGTTTGCACCTTTATGTATGCAGGGGTCTGCTGGAGGACTGAGTTGCCATGGAGAACTAGGAAAAGCCAAGAACAGAGACATCACACATTTTCCTAGCCACAGCTGTGGGACCTTGCAGTCACACTGAGTCAAGTGTCAAAGGAAAAGCCATGGAAGGACCTGCCCAGTTACTGGGTCCAGGGAGTGTGTTGAGCGCAGCTGTTGGCTCCTGGACTCAGAGTTCACATACCCCACCTCCCAGGAGATCATCTGGAAGGGAGGTGTTTGCTAAGTTCAGCTTTACAAAGGTACAGGGGAGAGAGCTGCCATTTGTTTATTGTGTACTTATATGCCTGGCCCTTGCATAAAGGAACTCAATCAAGCCTCAAACTGGCTTTGGAATTTTTTAAAAGACATGGGGTCTTGTTATGTTGCCCAGGTTGGAGTGGAGTGGCTACTCACAGGCACTATCATAGTACACTTCAGCCTTGACCTCCTGGGCTCAATCTATCTTCCCACCTCAGCCTCCCAAGTAGCTGAGAGTATAGGCATGTACCACCACAAAAGGATAGATCCAGGATTTTTAATCCTCATTACACAGATGAGGAAACTGAGGCATGAAGTTACTTGTTCAAAGTCCCACTTACAGTATGTAAGTGGCCTAGGAGTCAAACTCAAGGATTTGAAGTCTGAAGCCAAAGCTGGTTGCCTTTCACCTCCCCTGGCTGCCACTGGATGTACAGCCCTTCGGTAGGCTCCAAACTGCCGAAGGAGACCCAGGACAGGCTGGGAGAGGAGCCCAGAATCACAGCAGAGCATGTGGCTGGTCTGTCCGTTGCTGGACAGACCCTGGTAGGTACAATTACAGCCCATGACCCCCGAGCCCAGCAACTGATGGGTCACTGGATCCCTATTCCCCAGTGGAAGGACAGACACCACAGAAGCAGGGCTGGGAGTTCATCTTAGACTCTGACGAGAAGCACCCGGCAAGCAGGGGCTTATTCATGAGGAGCTAGAGCAGGACTCACAGACCTGGCCCTGAACCCAGCCTCTGGCCGTGCCAGCTGTGAGACCTCAGGCCAGTCACCGAGCCTCTGTCTTCTTATGAACGGAGGACAGCTTGGGGCTGTTGTCCTGCCTGCCTCTGAGGGTTGGAAATAAATGAAATGCTGTCCAAAAAAGCACACTGTAAACTGTATGGCCATGTACACAGGTAAATACTGTCCCTGTGTCTCATATCACAGGGTTGTTACTGGAGGTAAATTAAATCTCAAGGAGAAGGATCAGAACAGGTTCCATACACACCAAGGCTGCACAGCTTCCAACAAACACAATCTGACCTGGTGAGCCCTTCATTTTGGCTGTGGAGCAAAGGGAGACATTGCAGGCCAGGGCAGAGATGCAGGAGTTGGGAGGCACAGAGAGGACACAGACCTGGGTAGGCAGAGGGGGCCAGAGGGCATGTGTGTGTGCCCAAGAGGAGCCAGCTTACTGAGCACCTCATGTTTAAAATCCTGCCTGCACTTGCAGCTCAGGCTCCGTGGCCCCATAATGGCCTTCTCCAACACTGATGAAATGAACTTCGACTTTTTGACTTCGCTCCTGGACCACTCTTAGCTTTCGCTCGCATCAAGAATGAAATGATGGGGCCGGGTGTGGTGGCTCATGTTTGTAATCACAGCACTTTGGGAGATCGAGGCAGGAGGATCACTTGGGCTCAGGATATCGAGACCAGCCTGGGCAACATAGTGAGACCTTGTCTCTACTAAGAATACAAAAATTATCCAGGCATGATGGCGCGTGCCTCTAATCCCAGCTACTAGGGAGGCTGAGGCAGGAGAATCGCTTGAACCCGGGAGGCGGAGATTGCAGTGAGCCAAGATTGCGCCACTGCACTCCAGCCTGGGCGACAGAGCAAGACTCCATCTTGGAAAAGAAAAAATTATTAAAAAATAAAAATAAAAATAAAAACAAGAAGGAAATGATGCCTGGGGCACAAGTGGCTGCTGGACTTCCTCTTGTTTCCCCAAACACCACACTGCGGTTCCAGCAGAGCAGAGGTTTTTCCTTGCTTTGGGTCACTCACTTCTTGGGGGAGTTAATAAGAACCAATAATGCCAGTTTATTGAGCTGTGCCTGGCATGGCGCATACATTATCTCATTTGATCCTCACCAAATCCTGTGGGGGAGATACTGTTTTGCACCTACTTTACCCATGAGGAAAGAGAGACTCAGGAGGGTTAAAGATGTGCTCAAGGTCACACAGTGATCCAGATTAAAACCCAGCTTGTGGGACCCCAAAACCTGACTTTGAACCACTGAATTGAAGAAACCTGCAATCCTCTCCCTGATGGTGGTTATGTGCTCACGAGCACACAGTGGGGCTGCAAGTACACAGGTGCCCGAAGCCCTTCCGGGAAAACCCAGAAGCGACTCCTGTAAGAGCAAGGCCTGGGCTGTGAGTGTGCATTTCCTCTCCTGGCTGAGACACACCCCGGCTCTTCCCGGGGCCCACTTGCTTTTTGTCCCCTAGGAACTGAATACTCCGGGCTGTGGCCAAGGCCCTGCTGTGTGCTGGACATGGAGCCAGGCCTCACTGCATGTTCCCCTCGGTAACCCAGGAATTCCATTCTCAGAGGGACCTGATGTTTCTAGATCCATCAGTAATGACTTTAGTGCTCTGAACGGCCTGGGCTGTTTCTATTTATGATGTTGCACTCACTGGGCCAGAACCCCCGGCGGGCAGGCCTTGTCACCCCCTGGCAAGATGACCAGCTTTGGGCTTTTTGGGCACGAGAGCAAATCGACCAGTTTGGGTAGTTTTCCGGGTGTGTGGAGGCTTCTTCCAAAAGGCAGTCTGGCTGGGCTTATTCAGAAGGACAATCCAGATGCCCCATCCAACTCCAACAACCCAACCTCCAGGCTGCTTCCTAGGGAGCCACGCTACCCATGACACCCAACACCAGCGACATCAGGGAGAACGGGAGCCAGAGGGATCACCCTGCCCTAGCCCTCCGAGAACTGAGAACGCCCGATGTTTGTCTGATTGTACTACAAACACTTCCCCGGAAGTAATAAAAATGTGTCCACAGGACCCATGGCCTGGCCAACCTTCCTCCGAGCACATCCTGCGGGGACCCTGGGCAGGGACCTGTTTCCTTCCCCTGGTGACCTCCAGCGACCCTCTCTTTCCTTCCCTCACTCGCTCCCCTTTTCACTGCCTCCCCTTCTCCTGCGTCCAGGCTTTTGAGGGGAGGTGGCCTCAGTCCAGGGGCTCTCCGGTCCCCCGGGGTAATGCGATATGGGGGTATTTTATTTCCACCCTTAGGGACCGTGCCTGCCAAGCTGCCTCCCGGGCGCCCCGCCACCGCGGGCTCGACGCTGCACCCTGCCAGGACCAGGGCCAGGACAGCCACTTATCACCTCCCCGCTCAGGCCCCGGGAGCGCAGACCCTTGGGTAGCCCGCGCGCCGCCGCCTTACCTGTCAGCTGCGCGGCCAAGAGGAGCCACAGCCGCGGCCGCATCGTGGCGCGCCCGGGACACCTGGCCCCGGGGGCTCGGCGGAGACAGTCGCGGCTGGGGTGGGTGAGGAGCTGGCCGGGCGGGGCGCCTGGGTCGGGGAGCTGGGGGGGCAGTGGGGAGGGCGGGACCGGGCGCGGTGGCGGCGGGAGTCTGGTGTTGGGGACCGCGAGGTCTCCGCCCTCATCCTCCTAGCATTGCAAAGGTCTGGGCTGCGTTTCCAGAGCCCACCAGGACCCTCCGCTTTCCAGAAAGGAGGGGACACCGCCGGCCTCCCCCAGGCAGCTGCATGTGTGTCATCGCCCCCTGCCCCGGGAGGTGCTCAGGAAAGGGTTGTGACCCCGAGTGACAGTAGAGGCTCAGAGAGGTCAGGATGTGTAGTGCATGGTGGAGCTGGCCACTAACTCGGGCCGCTTCTTGTCTTGTTTGAGTAGCAATTGAGGGGCTCCTGGGTGCCCCGGGCTGGGCTGGGCCTGGAGTCAGCAAGCCCCAAGTCTTGCCCTCCCTTGCCAGGGAGGAAGGAAAGGTAACCGGCTGTGACACTGAGGGAGGTGAGCTGGGAACTGGAGGTGCAGAGAAGGCCCCGACGCTGTTTGTAGGTTGTGGGGGTGCAGCAAGACCTAGATCTTAAGAATTTCGAAGGACTGTGACGATCACCGGCTGCGCCCTGCCGGCGAGTGCCCTGGGGCTGGCTCTATTTGTTGCGCGATCCAGCCCTGGTGGGGAGATTTGTGAGGGGAGACCTGGCTCAGGCTGTGTCTTCCTGTTCAAACGGGGGTTAGTAGAGAGGGGGTTGGGGAGGTCCAGGGAGAACTGGGCATGCAGCCTGCAGGGGAGAGGGACCCCTTGGAGGGCTGCGGGAGAGGCTCCTTGTAAATGTCAACAAAGACCCAGCCAGGCAGGTCCATGGGTTACCCTAAGAGCTTAGAGTTTATCGGAGAGGAAATGGCGTGTCCCCTGAGATCTAAAGCAGGCAGCCGGGCAAGGACACTGTCACATTTGGTCTCCACATCCAGTATTCTTTCCATCCCACTCTTGCCCCAGCCCCTCTGCCCATTGCTGGTGACAGCATTGCTCATGGCTGAGTTGGGTGCAGAGAGTTCAAAGGCACTGGGGGAAAAGAAGTCACTCAGCCCAGCCAGAGGCCAGAGTCTCGCTGGATACTGCCTTGGCTCCCATACAATGTGTGGTCTTTAGCGAATGGCTTCTTTGACTCAGCGCAATGTTTTTCAGGTTCATCCCCATTATAGCACCATTTCTTCTTATTGTTGAGTAATATTTTGTGTATGTACCTGTATATACCACATTTTCTTTATCTGTTCATCTAATGATGGACATTTGAGTGGGCTACTATATCTACTTTTTGACTTTTGTGAGTAATGCTACTGTGAACATTCTTGTACAAATATATGTTTGGGTGCCTGTTTTCAATTCTTTCAGGTATGTACTCAGGCAGTGCAATTGCTGGGTCATACAATAATTCTATGTTTAACTTTTTGAGGGACTAACCAACTGATTTCCATAGCAGCTGTGACCATTTACATTTCTGCCAACAATGAAAGGGTTCCAATTTCCCCACATCATCGCCAACACTTGTTATTTTCTGTTTTTGTTTTGTTCCATCCTAGTGGGTGTGAAGTGATATCTCATTGTGGTTTGGATTTGTACTTCCTGAATGAGAAATGATGTTAAGCATCAATTCATGTGCTTGTTGGCCATTTGTATTTCTTCTTTGTATGTGTATTCAAAGTATTTGTTGTTTAGAAAACACAAGCTACCTCTTTCTATCCACTCTCTCATGGGCGCCACAGCATTGCAAAAGGAACAACTTTCTCAGTAAATGATTAAAAGTTACTCACTGCTTTGTCAGGTATTGTCTAAAATCATAGACAGGGAACCCCTGGATGCATTAGTTATGGAAACTCTTGCGTCTGTGATAAATTAACCTCTAAATATTAGTGGTTTAACTCAATACAAATCCCCTGCATTGTTCTGTGACATTCAAGTGCAGTTGTGCCAGGGAGTAAGGAGTATTTGCTCCACTCAGTCCTGCAGGGGACCAGGGTCTTTCCCCCATCTTCAACTCATGGCTCCAGAGATCACTGTGCAAAGGGAAAAGAGGATGACTGCCTTCACCAGGGCAGTGTAGGGGGTGCTGGGGCTGGGTACCAGGCCTGGAAGCATCAACATCACTCTGTCTACTTTCCACTGGCCAGAGCTCAGTCACATGGACTCAATCATACCATAAGGGGCCTGGAAAATGGAGTGTACTTGAGTGCCCAAGAGGAAAGGGGAAATGGAATCAGTGAATACATAACCAGCATGGACCGCACTGGTATAGCAGAAAGAGCACTGGTTAGCATCACTTCTCTGCTACTTACGCACTCTCAGGCCTCTGTTTCTACGTGGATAAATGAGGAAAATAATACCAACCATGCCATCTCACTGGGTTATCTTCAGGGCTAAATAAAATCCGGGATCTGCTTGCCCATTGAACTTGGAGGAGGTAACTCAGCAGGTCTCAGATGAAGCTATCACTTTCTTGTGGGACTGGCTTGGAAAAACATTGAGGGCATGGAGATGGTCATATCGCTTGAGGTGGGCTGTGGGCAGTTAGTGGGTGGGGTCAGGGAAGCCAGGTGCACAGAAGGACCTTTCCTTTGATGTTCATGTGTGCCATTGGATATTCATTCAGGTGAATAACCTGTTTGTAATTAATTGTCTGAACCTGGAACAAAACTCAGTTTTGCCTGTCAACATAAAGTACCTTTCCCTCTCAGGTTTTGCCTTCTCTGAATGTAGCGGTTTTTAGTCCACCATTCACTTGTGCCTTTGCTCTTCCATTTTCCTGGTCTTGGCTACAGATCAGCTCATGCTCTGACTTCTCTTCGGTTGACGTTTGTTCAGTACAGGTTGGTATAAGTATTTGGGGACCTCACTATATTGTCTTCTGCAGCTGTGCCTGAGTGTTGACTGGTTAAAATACTTGTCCATTTATTATAAAGCAATCTCCTCTTTTATATAGTTCAGGATTTTTGTTGACTTGTTTTGAAATTACATGTGTAGATAGAGCCTATTATCTGTGAAATTCATTTCAGGACAGTGAAAGTATCATTACAAAGAGTCGTTCTGGTGAAGGAGGGCTGGTCTGATGGGTTGAGAACTGCTAGATTGGGTCATCGCAGTGTGACCCGCTGCCACTGTGGTGCCTGGCCAGAACTCAGTCACATGGACTCAACCAAACTGTAAGGGGCCTGGAAAATGGAGTTTAGTTGGGTGCCCAAGAGAAAAGGGAAATGGAATCAGAGAATACATAACCTGCCTGGACTGCACTGGTATAGCAGAAAGAGTGCCTGTTAGCATCGCTTCTCTGCTATTTACCCACTCTCAGGCCTCAGTTCCTATATTCATAAATGAGGGGTGCTCTTTAAATAGCTGTGGAAGGAGTGAACAGGTAAAAGGACTAGTGTAAAAATTAAGATAGTGCAGCCAGGCACGGTGGCTCAGGCCTGTAATCCTAACACTTTGGGAGGCGGAGGAGGGTGGATCACCTGAGGTCAGGAGTTCAAGACCAGCCTGGCCAATATGGCAAAATCCCATCTCTACTACAAATACAAAAATTAGCTGGGTGTGGTAGGGCACCTGTAATCTCAACTATTCAGGAGGCTGAGGCAGGAGAATCGCTTGAACCCAGAGGGCAGAGGTTGCAGTGAGCCAAGATCGCGCCATTGCACTCCAGCCTGGGCGACAGAGCAAGACTCCATCTCAAAAAAAAAAAAAAAATTAAGATAATGCAATAAGAAAATTCCAGAATACAAGCAGATTTTTAGATCAGTTTTACAGAGAACATTTTGAACCATGTAGAATAAAAGCTTATTAGGCTGATGCTCACTTTCCACTTGGAAATCTCACACTTAGTTCTAACCCAAATCAAAGAGAAGAAGTCTAGATTGCTTTTTATAGTCTCCTTAGGAAAAAGTCTCAAATATCAAACTAACCACCATCAAAGGGAGCCCAAATCAAACAAAAATATATTGAATAAGCCTCTTTTAGTAGGGAGTTAATGATTCCACTGTTACCATTAAAAGAAATGAAAGCAGAATCCCTCCTACTCAGAGAAGTGACATGAGGTGTAAAGCAAAGAAAATAATGTCTTTAGAGAGTTTATTTCCAAGTTGGAGACCAGGCCCATGGAATGCTCCCCTATTGGAGGTCAAAGTGCAGCTCCATATCTCAAAATCAAGTTCGTACAAACACTTTACTAGTACTACCTCCCCAAGGACACATTCCACCTTTTTTTTTTTTTTTTTTTTTTTTTTGTAGAGACAGAGTCTTGCTCTGTTGCCCAGGCTGGAGTGCAGTGGCGCTATCTCGGCTCACTGCAACCTCTGCCTCCCGGGTTCAAACAATTCTCTTGCCTCAGCTTCCCGAGTAGCTGGTATTACAGGCAAGTGCCACCACACTCAGCTAATTTATTTTGTATTTTAGTAGAGACAGGGTTTCACTGTGTTGCCCAGGCTGGTCTGAAACTCCTGAGCTTAGGCAATCTACCCGCCTCGGCCTCCCAAAGTGCTAGGATTACAGACATGAGCCACCGCACCTGGCCTCCCACATTTTTATTTTTCCACATTAATTTTCTTATTTTAGTGATTTTATTTTAAAATGTTGAAACACTATGTTCATATTGTACTGTCAATCAAAAATAAAAAAAAAAATGTTAAAAAACATAAGAAAGAATATCCAGGATTTTTAAAATCACATAAAGAAATGAAAGTCTCTTTTTCTGCTTCTACCAATTCCAGACTCTAGGGTGAGCCTTTTAACAAAAAGAAATTATTCAAATAAGAGAAAGAGGGCCAGGTGCAGTAGCTTGCACTTGTAATCCCAGCTACTCAGAAGGCTGAGGTGGGAGGATTGATTGAGCTCAGGAGTTGGAGACCAGCTCAGGCAATATGGTGAAACCCTGTCTTTACCAAAAAAAAAATAAAAATAAAAAATTACCCAGAGGTGGTGGCGTGTGCCTATAGTCCCAGCTACTTGGGAAGCTGAGGTGGGAGGATCACCTGAACCCAGGAGGTTGAGGCTGCAGTGAGCCATGATTGTGCCACCGCACTCCAGCCTGAGCAACAGAATGGAAACCTTGTCTCAAAATAAAAAGGGATTTTTTTTTTCAGGAGATCAAAAATGTTGATCCAGTAGAAAAGTTAATTCCTGGCCAAGCAGAGTGGCTCATGCCTGTAACTTTGGGAGGCTGAGCTGTGAGGATCGCTTGAGGCCAGGAGTTCAAGATCAGTCTGGACAACATAGCAAGACCCCCATCTCTATTAAAAAAGAAAAAAAAAGAAGGAAAAGCTAATTTAAAAATTATGACTACCCAGAAGACATCAACCATTTCTGTATCTAAATTAGCAAACTTATTGCAACATAAATCTCTGTTCCTTAAATACTTTTCAGACTAAGTGTGCCATGCTTGTTGGTCTTTTACTTCTTTGTGCACAAATGCAGTAGTAGAAGGAAGAAAATGAGATGGGCTGGGGTACTGAGTGTCAGTTAAGGGATCTGGCTTTGCTCAGGACCTTGGCCAATGAGAGATCTATCGGTTCTAATTATATCTATAGCTATATACGCAGGTGCATATGCATTTATATTATTTTACATAGTTCAAAACATTCTCTGATAGATTGATCTAAAATCAGCTTGTGTTTGGGAAATTTTCTTATTGTTTGGCAGTCTTAGCTCTTAGCTCAAACCTGGTGAGCAGAGTGGTCTAGATTCGAGCCCCCACTCACCTCCTTGGCTGAGCATCTGTATCTTGTGGCCCTGGGCCTATCAGCAAGACATAAATTGGAACCTGGGCTGGACACTAACTGGTGCCCTGCCTTGGGGGAATGGCTTTCCTATCTGGGTCCCACAGTTCTCATATGAATCACACCTACTTCACAGGACATTTTGTGTGATCAGAGTCAGCATGTAATGCAGTGTGTTCTATGCCCACCACCCCACACATGCTTACTGAGCACATGCTCTGCTATTCCAGGCCCTGTGCATTCCAGGCATTGTGCATATATTGATAAACTAAACAGATAAGATTTTTGTCCACGGGGAGCATAGAGTCTTGTGAGATAGACAAATAATAGGCCAGGCATGGTGGCACACACCTGTAATCCCGACACTTTGGGGGGCTGAGATGGGAGGATCACTTGAGGCCAGGAGTTCGAGACCAGCCTCGTTAATGTAGTGAAACTTCATATCTATTTTTTTAAAAAAGCAAATAATAAATAAATGCTATAAAAAATGTGCAATGAATGAGCCTGGTAAAGAAATAGAGGCCCAGATGAGACTTGGAAAATAAATTTTTTTTTTTTTTGAGGCAGTCTGGCTCTGTCACCAGGCTGGAGTGCAGTGGCACAATCTCGGCTCACTGCAAGCTCCACCTTCCAGGTTCATGAAATTCTCCTGCCTTAGCCTCCCGAGTAGCTGGAATTACAGGTGCCCGCCACCATGCTCGGCTAATTTTTTGTATTTTTAGTAGAGACGGGTTTCGCCATGTTAGCCAGGATGGTCTTGATCTCCTGACCTTGTGATCCACCCGCCTTGGCCTCCCAATGTGCTGGGATTACAGGCGTGAGCCACCACGCCCAGCCGGAAAATAAATAATTTAAATAAGTTGTTGCAACCTTATTCTGTGGCTTGAAGAAAATGTGACTGTGGAACCTGAGCTACATAGCTAACAGCTGCAACTTCTGCTTATCTGATTATAGATTCATCCTTTTTAAATTTTTTTTTGTTTGTAAAATGTTGTGAAAGACTGAATGGCACCAAGATAAGACCCCTTCCCTTCTGAGTCACTGATCTTTTGTTATAGATTAACTTCTTCTCTTGTACCAGGTGGCACAAAATACTCCATGACTATTAAATTACTCAAGATGCAGCTGGAAGCTGCATCAGCTCAAGATGAGCACCTTTATAATCTCCCTCACCAAAGTCAAAAAAAAAACAAAAACAAAAGAGCTTATCTAAAAAAACATAGAAATACACTTACTTCCAGATTTACAAACAAGTGGAGTTATTTCATCTAGTGGGTGCAGCATGCTGAACATAGTGGGTAAAGTTTCTCTAGCAATAAACAAATAATCAATTAATTACCAATACGAGTATGTCTGTGCACAAATTTTGCACTTCTATTGAAAAGAAATCTCCAGATTACACAAGCAACTAGAAACCTACTATCTCAAAACGCAATCTTCTGAACTTTGTACATACTATTTTTCACATTGTCTTCTATTTCATTCCTAGAAATCTCTCCCCTGAGAGTAATTCTATCAATGCACCAACAGAGGAAAATCAATATAGTCCAGAGAATTTCTGCAAACAGCAGTCATCACAGTACAGAACAAATGGAGTAATGTGTATAAAGCAGTCTTTTTTTATTGACCTCTCTTACTGGCAGTGTGTCTTTGGCAGCTAAGAAAGAAATTTATTCTCCCATACCTGCTGACAAAGGAATGCATTTTTTAAAAAAGGAAGAAACAAACTACTTCAAGTAAATTAAGTCTGCTTTTTTTTTTTTTTTTGAGATGGAGTCTCACTCTGTTGCTCAGGCTAGAGTGCAGGGGCATGATCTCGGCTCACTGCAACCTCCACCTCCCAGGTTCAAGCGATTCTCCTGTCTCAACCTCCCGAGTAGTTGGGATTACAGGCACACACCACCACGCCCAGCTAGTTTTTTTGTATTTTTAGTAGAGACGGGCTTTCACCATGTTGGCCAGGCTGCTCTCGAACTCCTGACCTCAGGTGATCCACTCGCCTCGGCCTCCCGAAGTGCTGGGATTACAGGCGTGAGCCATCGCGCCTGGCCAAGAATAACATTTAATTCACAGCAAAATAACTTTGTGGCTTTAGAGGAGCTGCAAAGGAACTACATAGGCTTTGGGTGTTTGTGTAACCATATAGGACTCTTGCCCTATGAGCAGCAAGTCAATACATGGAAACAACGGGGATTGCAGCAGATAAAGTGTTTTACTTGCAGGGCCACCGAACTAGGAGACTGAGGAAACTTCAAGTCAGCCTCCCAAAAGAGTTAAGGTCTAGAGGTTTTTTTTTTTTTTTTTTTGAGACAGAGTCTTGCTCTGTTGCCCAGGCTGGAGTACAATGGCATGATCTCGGCTTGCTGCAACCTCCGCTTCCTGGGTTCACGCCATTCTCCTGCCTCAGCCTCCCGAGTAGCTGGGACTACAGGCGCCCGCCACCAAGTCCAGCTAATTTTTTGTATTTTTAGTAGAGATGGGGTTTCACCATGTTAGCCAGCATGGTCTCGATCTCCTGACCTGGTGATCCGCCCGCTTCGGCCTCCCACAGTGCTGGGATTATAGGCGTGAGCCACCGCGCCCGGCCCAGAGGTTTTAAAGAGAGGGTAGTGGGCTAAGGTATTGATTGGTCAGAGAATGAAGGATGTAGTCATAAGACAGAGAGATAAACCACATTCTCATGCTAATGTGGTTCCTTGATGGGGTCTTAAGACTAGCTTGCATCATCTCAAAAGTCTTAGGCTCCTAACATTAAAAATGCTGTCCATAGGAACATGGTATATATAAACAGGTACAGGAAAGTGGATCAAAGGGCAATCTAATTATGCTTATCTGTACTTTTGTCTAAAGCCTGTTTGCTTCCTAACCTTGTGATGAAGGCTTTAACAGTTATCCACATTTTTTTAGTAATAAACTGTACTGTAATAGATTAATAATTAGATTAATTAGATGTAATAATTAATTAAAACCTAATACCCTTAAATCTGCAAGCATAACTGTTCCATGGCTAGAGTTATTCATGCCTCAGTTCTCTGGGTTTCGACCAATAATTGAAATTGATTGTAGTTATATATTTAGGTGGGATTGGGGGTGTCACAGCTACTTAAGACATTTGATAACCTATGTTTTTTGTAGATTGGTCAGCTGAAAGCAGTTCAACCTCTGATGAATTAGAGTAATGTGTGGTTTTTTATTGTTTTATTCCAATATGACAATGATCCCTTAGATGTACTTTTCAAATGAGGTTCTGGCATCTAACCAGAAATGACCTTAAATGTTGAGAAGCCATGTAGTTATGGGACTACAGAATACAACTTGTCTAAATACTTCATATATAAAGTATGGAAAAATTAGCGTATAGTAGTGGGAAACACGGGATAGGTGGTGCGGGACATAAGTACTTGTTGCATCTCAGTGGTTTCCTATAGTGGTAACTGTCAGTCTGTGACTAAAATGTGATAATTGCAACTGTCTGAATCAGATCTAGAATGCCCTTTTATGTTATGACCAACTTATACACTTACCAGTCTGATATAATTACTTGACACCTATGTAAGGATTAATGACTTGTGTGTTTATGGTATTTTTATTCTAGTTTTGAGTCTGGAAGCTGACCAGAATGTGTTTGAATTCATACAGAAATAATGTTGATATTTGGAACCCATGTCGAACTTCTATGAAGAAAGGACAACGAAGATTGCAGCCAGGGATTTGCAGGAATTTGTTCCTTTTGGTGGAGACCACTGCAAGCACCACCCTAATGCTTTGAACCTTCAACTTCGCCAGCTGCAGCCAGCTTCTGAATTATGGTCTTCTAATGGTGCTGCTGGCTTTGTGGGATCCCTTCAGGAGGTTACAATCCACGAGAAACAGAAGGTTCCATTGAGTTTCCCATTGTGTTTTTGAAATGTAGAGTGATATAATCTACTTGTAATTTAAGGCTACTAAGATGCAACTGAGAGATCGGTGTGATGCCACTTCTAGGGTAGAGTTAAGGTGTGGTAATTTCAATAAATGTTGAAAATAATGACTTTATTACATTGTCATAGCGACTTATTTAGATACCCTCTATAACTTGTGGTTTTATTTATTTTTTATTTTTTAATTTTTTTGTTTGAGATGGAGTTTTGCTCTTTTTGCCCAGGCTGGAGTGCAGTGGTGCGATCTCGGCTCACCGCAACCTCTGCCTCCCGGGTTCAAGTGATTCTCCTGCCTCAGCCTCCCGAGTAGCTGGGATTACAGGCATGCACCACCACCCCTGCTAATTTTGTATTTTTAGTAGAGATGGGGTTTCTCCATTTGGTCAGGCTGGTCTTGAACTCCGGACCTCAGGTGATCCACCCGCCTCGGCCTCCCAAAGTGCTGGGTTTACAGGCGTGAGCCACTGTGCTCGGCCAACTTGTGGTTTTATAATGTGAGTCAGGTTCAGTAGTACGATTGTTGTCCATTTTAAACCTTTTTCTTTTCACTTAATATGTGGGGACCAGATTTCATGTTATTTAATGATTAAATGGTAGAGATTAGAAGTAGTCCCTGCTGCAGAAGATTTACATGTTTCTAAAGGAGAGAAGAAATGCCACAAAAGTAGGTAGAGTAATAGTTTTTTTTTTTTTTTTCCTGAGATGGAGTTTCACTCTTGTTGCCCAGGCTGGAGTGCAATGGCACAATCTCAGCTCACCGCAACCTCTGCCTCCTGGATTCAAGCGATTCTACTGCCTCAGCCTCCCGAGTAGCTGAGATTACAGGCATGTGCCACCACGCCCAGTTAATTTTGTTTTTTTTAGTAGAGGCGGGATTTCTCCATGTTGGTCAGGCTAGTCTCAAACTCCAGACCTCAGGTGATCCACCTGCCACGGCTTCCCAAAGTGCTGGGATTACAGGCATGAGCCACCACACCCGGCGAGTAATAGTTCTTAAGTAGGGGAATGAGATGTTAAGTGTGTGTCAGAAAATGAATCCCTCCTGCCTTATTCCATTGTCATATCCCTTTGGGATACCAAAATCTCGGGGAGGGAAAGCCTATGTAGTTACAAATGGAAACTTCTCTTTCTTCCATTCATTTTGGTGGGTGGGACAAAGGAAAAGAAGGTGAATATATATGTGATTGTGAAGCAGGAAGTCTGCATTTGTGCGTAAACTCCCCGAGTGATTCCCACGTGCACCTCACTGTCCTTTCCCTACCCTACCTCATATACTTAATATGTCTTTTTAGTCTCCCAAGCATGTGATTTGACTTTTGGAACTATAGAGAAGGTGTACTTTTTGTTCGTTTTTGTTTTTGGCAGAGTAATATAGAGGAATAATATAAAACATTCAATATAGAGAATTATTGCGTAAATTCTTCATGTAATTCTGTAATGTAATGCATATATCCACATCCTCTGTTAATCAGTGTACCAAACTTTGTAGGAGTTGTGTTTGAATTGAGTCTTACTCCATGGGCAAATAAATTTTGTTCCAGATTTTTGAAGAACAAAAAAAGAGTCCTTGAATATGTCTTACATGTGTTAATTTTTAAGGAAAGCTGGCAGTTAAGGAAAGGAGTAAGTGAAATTGGAGAAGATGTGGACTATGATGAGGAACTCTATGTTGCTGGAAATATGGTGATATGGAGCAAAGGAAGTAAAAGCCAGGCATTGGCAGTTTATAAAGCATTTACAGTTGACAGTCCTGTTCAGCAGGTGAGTTGATTTGAATTTTAGCATTTGATTCACTATTTAATGCAATTAAAAAAAGTTTTGTTTTAAAATTTAACAGAAATGATAAAACCAGCCTAATGATCTCAGCAGCTGGGTGTACGTTGTAACATGACATAATGTAATGTGAAGATAATCGCAGGAAAATAAAAATTTAATTTTATTTTATATATCATCACTTTTTTTACACTCTCCTTTGTCACTTTAATGGTAATCTTTAAACACTCTGTCCTTATGTAATTCAATTTGTTATTGCCAGCAAAAACCTATGAAACATTAAGAGTACAGAAATATTTTAACACATGATTACTATAATTGATTGCAAAGATTTGAATAAATAAAAATCGTGGGATTCATAATGGTAGAGAGAAAGGAAAAAATCTGCTTTGCAACCATTGCAGTTGGCTGTTATAACTAACTGTTCTGAAAGTTGATAATGAAAGGGAAAGAATTAAGCATTTGCCATATTTTTTCAGGAAGACATGCAGTTCATCTCCATTTGATGAAGGAAAACTTGTACTTAGAGAAGAATGCCAGCTAATAAATGTAAAAGGAATTGTAGAATTAGAATATCACCATTTTGTAACCTCCATTGCAATAATGGATTCAAACAAGGATTGTAAATGGATACTAACACGGTTGGTTGAAAGAATATTACCATGGCACCAACACATCACCCTATGGATTACCTGGTAAATGTGAAGGAACAAATGTACCTCTACTTTGGAGTTATTTGTCAATCTCCACCTCAATCAAGTGATTGAGTTTAGCATAATTAGTAGTGACATGAAGGAATATTATGTGCTTCTAGCTGTAATACAGAATGAAGTACGTGATGTCATCTAAGTTTTCTTCCCAAAAATATGAATATTTAGACCTAACTTCCTGTTTATAGGAAATATAGGCAATAGAGAATTATATTTTAAAATACCATGAGATAAGGAAATAGATAGCTAGGAATGGCTAAAGCTTTATTATTATTATTGTTGTTTATTTATTTATTTATTTGTTTTTTGAGATGGAGTCTTGCTCTGGCACCCAGGCTGGAGTGCAGTGGCATGATCTCAGCTCACTGCAAGCTCTGCCTCCCAGGTTCATGCCATTCTCCTGCCTCACCCTCCCGAGTAGCTGGGACTACAGGTGCCTGCCACCACACCCAGCTAATTTTGTTTTTATATTTTTAGTAGAGCTGGGGTTTCACTGTGTTAGCCAGGATGGTCTCGATCTCCTGACCTTGTGATCTACCCACCCACCTCGGCCTCCCAAAGTGCTGGGATTACAGGCATGAGCCACCATGCTCAGCCAAGCTTGATAATTATTAAAACTGGCTGATGGGTATTCATTATCCTATTCTGTTTACTTTGTATTTATTTGAAATTTTCCATTATAAAAAGTTTGTAGTCTACATTCTGGTTTCTTTAAAAAAGTCACGGAGAAAGAAAAAAAGGTGGGGACTGTTCTATATTGAAAGAGACTGAAGAGACATCACCAAATGCAGTAATTTTTGATCCTTGTTAAATGAACTTTGATTGAGTCCTGGTTTTAGAAAACTAGCTAAAAAGATATTTTTGGGGAAAATTTGGGAAAGTTGAAAATTACTGGCCAGTAGCTGATGTTAGAGAAGTATTATTTTTTTCTTAGGGATGATGATTTTATGGTTTCATAGGAGAACATCTTTATTTTTAGAAAAGGCATGGTGAAGTATTTAGGGGTGAAATGTCATGATGTGTGTGCAATTTATTTTTAGACAGTCAGCATTCCCATTCCAAAAATCCCATATGTACACAAATGCACACATACAAACAAATATGGCAACATTTTCATGATTGTTGGATTTAGGTGAAATATGTCTGCTGCATTATTTCAACTTTTCTTACTGAAAATTTTTATAACAAAAAGTTGGAGGAAGAACTAATGCATTTATTGTAGATGAATTAGGGTTGACAAGAGGTTTTGGAGGCTTTGACTAATGTTAAGTTTCATTTTTGTAAACGCTGAAATCTTTGTATCTGGACACTGCTTCCTCCCACTCCTCCCACCTACCATTAACTATTTCCTGGTGAGTATTGTATTCTAACTATTTATTGGAAAGGATAAACTGAATCATTATTCCAACATTTGAGGGCATATGTGAAAGCATTTGTGTCCTGGAGTGTTGAAGCCAGTGATCTTTTTGATGGTAATTTTTTTCCCATATAATTCATATAGTTAGTATAGATGTGAAAAGTGCATTTGATGATATCCAAGTAGTTCTTTGCTTCTATATCTTCATCTTAATTTCTCCAAGAATGGTTGCCTGTTTACTAGATTCCATGGAAGTGCAGTTAGATACATTATCTCCTTTATCTTAAGATCACTTGTAAGTGTAATTGTAAGATTTGGAATTTCAGTCTTTTGATCTGGAAAATATATTGTTACTTAATCTTCTTGCTAATATGGAGAAAGATAATTTTCTATTTTGTTTATGAAATAATATCAGGTATATGTGACTCCGATTTTATCTGTTCATTGTTTTACCTATCCTGCAAGTATTTTTTTTTGGTTGTTCTTTTTATTTTTTCATTTATTCTTTTTGTTTTTTAATAGAGATGGGGGTCTCACTATGTTGTCCAGGCTGGTCTTGAACCCCTGGGCTCTAGTGATCCTCCTGGCTTGGCCTCCTAAAGTGCTGAGATTACAGGCGTGAGCCACTGTGCCTGGTCTTCTGCAAGTATTTAGTCTCACTCTGTTTCAGACATTATGCTGGGGCTACAAAGGTGAATGTAGTTTCTGCCATTGAAGGACTCATAGCCTAGAAAGGAGAACAAACAGATCAACTGAAATGCTGTATTCTGAATGCTGTATAATAACTACCTGTCCACAGAGTGATGAGAGCCCAAAGGACTGAGTGCCAAAGGGAGGGTTTTTCAAAGAAGATGCTATTTGTGTTATAAAATGGTGGCAGAAGGGCATTCTAGGCAGAGGAAATCATAGCAAAAAGAATTATGGAAAAAGATGACTTTTTAAACTTCAGAATGGCTGTACAAAAAGAGTGGGTGTGGAGAGATGCAAGTGGATGCTGGCAATATACAGACCAAAGGGCCTTGTATATAAACCAAGGAATTTGGATTTTAAGCTGTGTGCTGAAGGGAGCTTGCCAAGGATTTTAAAATGGAAGCGATCAATTTTGTGTTTTGAGAAGAGATTGCTTTGTTAGCAATATATATATAGGATTGACTGGAGAGGAGGGAGACTGTTGTCAGGGGCACTATTTTGTGACTGTTCAGGTAAAAGATTGGTGCCTTGGCAAAGAAGGGGTGATAAAGCAGAGGGAGATGTGGAAGGGGTTAGTGATCTCTTAGGTATCAGGGATAAAAGAGATGTTAAAATATTTACTTTTAGAGGCTGAGAGGATGGGATTTCATGAAAGGAAGTTGAGACTGTAATCGGTGCATTGTAGATTTTGGACGTTTCAGGTTGGAGCACAGCTCTCATGCATGGTTTTCTTCATGAATTTTCATTTCTTAACCATTAAAATCTCCCACAACTCAGCAATAAAACAAACTACCCAATTAAAAAATTGGGCAGAAGGACTTAAATGGACATTTTTCTAAAGATGCACACATGGTCAATAAGCACATGAAAAGATGCTCAGCTTCGCTAATCATTAGGCAAATGCAAATTACAACCACAATGAGATACCACTTTACTAGGTTGGCTGTTATTAAAGAAACATAACAAATGTTGGTGAGGATGTCCAGAAATTGGAACTCCTGTGCATTGCTGATGGGAATGTAACATAGCTGCTGTGGAAAAGTTTGGCAATTTCTCAAAAAGTTATACATGTAGCCAGGCATGGTGGTGCATGCCTGTACTCCCAGCTGTTCAGGAGACTGAGGCAGGAGGGTCACATGAACCCAGGAGTTCTAGGCTGCTGCGAGCTAGAATCATGCCTTGCATTGCAGTTTGGGTGACAGAGTGAGACCCCATCTCTTAAAAGAAAAGTTACGCTTAGAATTACCATTATGATCCAGCAGTTCCAGTTCTAGGTATATGCACAATTGAATTGAGAGCAGGAACTCACAAATACTTGTATACCAGTGTTTTCAGCAGCATTATTTATGACAGCCAAAAGGTAGAAACAACCCATGTCCACTGACAGATGAATGGATAAACAAATGTGGTATATGCTAACAGTGGAATATTGTTTAGCTTTAAAAAGGGATAAAATTCTGATACATGCCATAACATGGATGAACCTTGAAAACATTATGTTAAGTGAAATAAAAGAGATATAAAAGGACAAATGTTGTACAGTTTCACTTACATGAGATACCTAGCACAGGCCTTTTCATAGGGAAAGTGGAATAGAGGTTACCAGAGCTCAGGGCATTGGGAAATGGGGAGTATTGTTTAATGGGCACGGAGTTTCTGTTTGAGATGAGGAAAAAGTTCTGGAAATGTGCAGTATTGTACAAGCTCACAAATTGTACTAAGCTCATCAATTTAATGTTAATGCCACTGAATTGTCTACTTAAAAATTGTTAAAATGTTAATTTTCATATTGTGTATATTTGACCACAGTTTAAAAAAAACCACAAAATGCTGTTAAATAATAAGTGATTGCCAAGTATGTCAGTTAAAGTTTAATAGCTTTTCCTAGTTTATATTTTGTAAGATGGGCTTTTAAGAAAAGGAGGAGTTAATTTTTCTAAATACTTTTTCAAAAGTCAGTCTAGAGAGAGTCTAAGAATAAGATCAATTGTTTAATCTAGAGATTATAAAGTTTGAATAATCTTTAGTTTTATATAGGATATAGGGTTTAGTATGGTTTGAGCCACTATTTGAATTTTTGCTGCAAAGTTTCTATCTGGTAGATTTTTTGATTCTTGTCTTCTCTTTTTGTAAAATTTATTTTTTTAATTTAAAATTTTAATTCCTATGGATCTTTTCATAAAATTTAATTGTAAACGTATTTCGTCTTTCCTTATCATATTTATCATTTATTACTCTAATTTATTTTTTCTTATTCTTTTTGTTCCCATGATTGTACATGTTGAGCTGAGGAGGCAAAGTTATTATGTAGATGCTATTATTATTATTTAGATGCCATTAGTTAATAGATGATTATTTAGATATAATTTTCTTAGGTAAGCATTTTGTTTTGATTTTAGGCACTGTGGTGTGACTTCATTATATCACAGGATAAGTCTGAAAAGGCCTACAGTAAGTTTCTTTTTGAAATTTTATTTTTCTTATGATGATTCCAAATATTTATCTCATTGTATTTTTCATTCAAATGAAGTAGCCACTAGTAATAGTGGTTTACCATAAGCATCTTTATATTGTGCATTAAATAATTTGTGCTGTTAGGATTGAATTCCTTTGAGGGAAAAAACATATAAGTCTTGTTGTACCCTTTCTTTTCAGGTAGCAATGAAGTAGAAAAATGCATATGTATATTGCAAAGCTCATGTATTAACATGCATAGCATAGAAGGAAAGGATTACATAGCTTCCTTACCATTTCAGGTAAACAAGTGTTTCAAATTTTGGGGGGGTTTTGTTGGAGAACATTTTTGAATTAATTGGTTTTAGAGGCATGTCTTATGTCTCATGTTTCGTAGTAGTCAAAA
This sequence comes from Homo sapiens, assembly GCF_000001405.40. NCBI lineage: Eukaryota > Metazoa > Chordata > Mammalia > Primates > Hominidae > Homo > Homo sapiens. Next base: position 86,878,978 of record NC_000002.12, read on the forward strand.
ATGTTATTTTTACTCAAAATAACTAAATTTTGGCAGCTTTAGTGGCTTACCATTTTTCTGTACTTCACAAAAAAATAAGTTATTTAATGAAGTAAATTAGGAAGTCTTCTGTGGTATGTGTTTGTTGGTTTAAATGATATGTAAGAACTTTTGGTTATATTAAATAAGGCATATGAATAACACCAGTCTTTTTTTGTTACTCATCGTCTTTTTAATGCCTAAGGCTATTGTTAACACATTGTCATTTTGTTACTGATCCTGGCCAGTGGCAGGAATTTCACATTGAACAACTCCTCTTTATTAGATTTGATTTTATCTTAGAGTTGCTTATTTGTATTACTTTTTAAGAAAATACCATATTTAATGATTATGTTACTTTGTAAAGCTATTACTAAATTGGAAAATAAAACATTCTGTAATGTTTCTTTAAAACATTTTATAAAGGGGTAGGTTCTCTTACTTCTATCTTTTCCCACCCTTTTACCTGAAAGGTTGCAAATGTTTGGCCCACTAAATATGGATTGTTGTTTGAACGAAGCGCTTCTTCACATGAAGTACCTCCAGGTTCACCCAGGTATTCATTTTATTCACTTCAGAATATTACTGCTTGGGATTTGTGTGTGTGTGTTGGTTCTGAGGTTTATCTAAAAGTCTGAGATGATGATAATTTTCATGCTGACAGCATAGATATATGCCATTTTCTCTCATCTCAGTACAAGTTGAGTATCCCTGATCCAAAAACCTGAAATTCTCCAAAATCTGCAACTTGTTGAGCTCCAGCATGACACTCAAAGGAAATGCTTATTGGAGCATTTCAGGTTTTGGATTCTCATATTAGGGTTGCTGTCATCAAAAAGATAATATGTCATGATCAAATGGGTTTTGTCTCAGGGATGCAGGGATGGTTTAACATACACAAGTCAATAAATGTGACACATCACATAAACAGAATTAAAAACCATATGATCATCTCAATAGATGCAGAAAAAAGCATTGGATAAAATTCAGCATCCCTTGATGATAAAAACAAACTAGGCATAGAAGGGACTTACCACAAATTAATAAAAGTCATATACAACAAACCCACAGCCAACATCATACTGAATGGGGAAAAGTTGAAAGCATTCCCCCTGAGAACTGGAAGAAGACTAAGATGCCTACTTTCACCACTTCTATTCAGCATAGTACTGGAAGTTCTGGCCAGAGCAATGAGGCAAGTGAAAGAAATAAAGGACATCCAGATTTGAAAAGAGGAAGTCATACTATCACTATTTGCTGATAATATGATTATATACCTAGAAAACCCTATAGACTCCTCCAAAAGACCCCTAGATTTGATAAATAAATTCAGTAAAGTCTCAGATTACAAAATCAGTGCACACAAATCAATAGCACCGCAATACAACAACAATGACAAAGCTGAAAATCAAATCAAGAACTCAGTCTCTTTTTTTTCGAGACGGAGTTTTGCTCTTGTTGCCCAGTCTGGAGTGCAGTGGCATGATCTCGGCTCACCACAAGCTCTGCCTCCCAGGTTCAAGTGATTCTCCTGCTTCAGCCTCCTGAGTAACTGGGATTACAGGCATGCACCACCACGCCTGGCTAATTTTTTGTATTTTTAGTAGAGACGGGGTTTCTCCATGTTAGTCATGCTGGTCTCGAACTCCCGACCTCAGGTGATCCGCCCACCTTGGCCTCCCAAAGTGCTGGGATTATAGGCATGAGCCACCGCACCTGGCCAGAAATTCAATCACTTTTATAGGAGCAGCAAAAAGCCAAAAACAAAAACCTATGAATACGCTTAACCAAGGAGGTGAATCATCTCTATAAGGAGAACTACAAAACACTGCTGAAAGAAATCACAGATGACACAAACAAATGGTAACACATCCCATGATCATGGATTTGAAGAATCCATATTGTGAAAATGATCATCCCGCCAAAAGCAATCTATACATTTCACCATAATTCTCATCAAAATACGATCTTTTTTTTAATAGAGTTAGAAAAAACAATTCTAAAATTCATATGGAACCAAAAGAGCCCAAAATAGCCAAAACAATCCTAAGCAAAAAGAACAAGTATGTAGCCATCACATATACTGCAAGGCTATAATTACCAAAACAGCATGGTACTGGTATAAAAGTAGGCACATAGACCAATGGAACAGAATAGAGAAACCAGAAATAAAGCCAAATACTTGTAATCAAGTATTTGATCTTTGACAAACAAGCATACAAAAACATAAATTGGGGGAAGGACATCTTATTTAGTAAATGGTGCTGGGAAAACTGATACCTTTTTTAGAAGAATGAAATTGGATTTTTTTATCTCTCACCTTATACAAAAGTCAGTTCAAGAGGGATCAAAGGCTTTAAGCCCTGAAACCATAAAAATTCCAGAAGATAACCTTGGAAAAACTCTTCTGGACATTGGCCTAGGCGAAGAATTTATGACTAAAACAACAGAAGCAAATGCAACAAAAACAATAAATAAATGGGACCTGATTAAAATAAAAAGCTTCTGCACAGCAGAAGAAATGTCAGAATAGACAGATAGTTCACACAGTGGGAGAAAATATTTGCAAACTGTGCATCCAACAAAGCACTAGTATCCAGAATATATAAGGAACTCAGATCAGCAAGACAGAAGCTCAAAAAGTGGGTAAAGGACATGAGTAGACAGTTCTCAAAAGAAGATATACAAATGGCCAACAAACATGAAACTGCTCAATATCACTAATCATCAGAGAAACACAAATGAAAACCACAGTGAGATCTCACCTTACTCTTTAAGGAATGGCCATTATTAAAGAGTCAGAAAAACAATAGATGTTGGCATGGATGTGGTGGAAGGGGAATGCTTATACACTGCTGGTGGGAACATAATTAGTATGACATCTATGGAAAACAGTATGGAGATTCGTTAAAGAACTAAAAGTACGTCTACCATTCAATCTAGCAGTCCCATTACTGGGTATCTACCCAAAGGAAAAAAAGTCATTATATGAAAAAGATACATGCACATGTATGTTTATTGCAGCACAATTCACAATTGCAAAGACAAGGAAGCAGCCTAAGTGCCCATTGACCAATGAGTGAATAAAGAAAATGTATATATACACCATGGAATACTAATCAGCCATAACGAGGAAATGAAATAATGTCTTTTGCATCAGGCTGGATGAAACTGGAGGCCATAATTCTAAGTGAAGTAACCCAGGAATGGAAAACCAAATACTGCATGTTCTCACTTCCAAGTGAGAGCTAAGCAAGGAGTATGCAGAGGCTATATACAGAGTGTTATGATGGACTTTGGAGACTCAGAAGGAGGAGGGTGGGAAGAAGGTGTGGGATAAACAAACTACATGTTGCGTACAACATACACTACTCAGGTGACAGGTGCACTAAAATCTCAGAATTCACCACTACATAATTCTGTGTCACCAAAAGCCACTTGTACCCCCAAAAGAATTAGGGCTGCTCAACTGTTAGTGTAAGGTAAATAATCCAAAACACTTATGGTCCCAAGTATTTCAGATAAGGGATACTCAGCCTGTAAGTATACTCATGAGCTCTACGCACTTGGCACTTAATTAGCCTTTTTTCCCAATCTAAGTGGTAAAATTGAATATGCAAATAAATGGCTTCAAAAAAGATTTGGCCAGGTACGGTGGCCCACGCCTGTAATCCCAGCACTTTGGGAGGCCGAGGCAAGTGGATCACCTGAGGTCAGGAGTTCGAGAGCAGCCTGGCCAACATGGTGAAAGCCCGTCTCTACTAAAAATACAAAAAAACTAGCTGGGCGTGGTGGTGTGTGCCTGTAATCCCAACTACTCGGGAGGTTGAGACAGGAGAATCGCTTGAACCTGGGAGGTGGAGGTTGCAGTGAGCCGAGATCATGCCCCTGCACTCTAGCCTGGGCAACAGAGTGAGACTCCATCTCAAAAAAAAAAAAAAAAAAAAGCAGACTTAATTTACTTGAAGTAGTTTGTTTCTTCCTTTTTTAAAAAATGCATTCCTTTGTCAGCAGGTATGGGACACACTGCCAGTAAGAGAGGTCAATAAAAAAAGACTGCTTTATACACATTACTCCATTTGTTCTGTACTGTGATGACTGCTGTTTGCAGAAATTCTCTGGACTATATTGATTTTCCTCTGTTGGTGCATTGATAGAATTACTCTCAGGGGAGAGATTTCTAGGAATGAAATAGAAGACAATGTGAAAAATAGTATGTACAAAGTTCAGAAGATTGCATTTTGAGATAGTAGGTTTCTAGTTGCTCGTGTAATCTGGAGATTTCTTTTCAATAGAAGTGCAAAATTTGTGCACAGACATACTCGTATTGGTAATTAATTGATTATTTGTTTATTGCTAGAGAATCTTTACCCACTATGTTCAGCATGCTGCACCCACTAGATGAAATAACTCCACTTGTTTGTAAATCTGGAAGTAAGTGTGCTTCTATATTCTTTTAGATAAGCTCTTTTGTTTTTGTTTTTTTTTTGACTTTGGTGAGGGAGATTATAAAGGCGCTTATATGAAAACTGACTTATAAAAATAATGTAATGTAAACATTTCACAAAAATAACTTCTATTTTGAATTTCTTGAATATCATGGTATTAACTGCTCAACAGTTATTTTAGTAAAAATAAGGTATATAAATCAGTGAGGAATACCGATATATTTATTAACCTACCTGTAGATGCTTTGTTCTTTAATAGTTAATAAGTAAATGAATGATACTTGGATGAAGTAAAGTTTATTTTTTGTTGTTGTTTTGGGTTTTTTTTTTTGAGAGGGGTCTTGCTCTGTGGCCCAGGCTGGTGTGCAGTGGCGCGATCTCAGCTCACTGTAACCTCTGCCTCCCGAGTTCAAGTGATTATCCTGCCTCAGCCTCCCGAGTAGCTGGGATTTCAGGCACACGCCACCGTGCCTGGCTAATTTTTTATATTTTTGGTGCAGACGGGGTTTCATCATGTTAGCCAGGCTGGTATTGAACTCCTGACTTCAGGTGATCCACCCACCTCGGCCTCCCAAAGTTCTGGGATTACAGGGGTGAGCCACCGTGCCCAGCTGCTTTTTATCTTCTATATTATGTCTTGGCAGACTGCAGGCCATGGGCTAAATCTGGCCTGCAGCATGTTTTTGTAAAACTTGTGAGCTAAGAATGGTTTTTTTTTGTTTGTTTGTTTGTTTTGTTTTTTTTTTGTTTTTTAAGACAGAGTTTTGCTCTTGTGCCCAGGCCAGAATACAATGGTGCGATCTTGGCTCACTGCAACCTCTGCCTCCTGGGTTCAAGCGATTGTCTTGCTTCAGCCTCCCAAGTAGCTGGGATTACAGGCGTGTGCCACCACACTCAGCTAATTTTGTATTTTTAGTAGAGACATAGTTTCACCATGTTGGTCAGGCTGGTCTTGAACTCCTGACCTCAGGTGATCCACCCACCTCGGCCTCCCAAAGTGCTGGGATTACATCATGAGCCACCGCACCCAACATAAGAATGGTTTTTACCTTTTAAAGGGTTGTAGGAAATAACAAAGATTATGTGATAGAGTCAGTATGTGGACAGCAAACTGCACTATTTAGTCTTTGATCTTTTACAGAAAAAGTTCAAATTTTATGTTGTTACTAATTGCAGACAACCCGAATAAACATACTAGGGCCTGGGATTAAATGGCATGCAGCCTTTTTTTTTTTTTTTTTTAAGTACAATTTCCATTTTATTTTTTCTCTGGAGAATAGTCTGTCTTCAATCTTTTTATTTTCATTTTGTTTTTTTTGAGACGGAGTCTCGCTTTGTTACCAGGCTGCAGTGCAATGGCACGATCACAGCTCACTGCAGCCTCCGCCTCCCAGGTTCAAGCGATTCTCCTGTCTCAGCCTCCCTAGTAGCTGGGATCAGGGGTGTGCCATCATGCCCAGCTAACTTTTTGTATTTTAGTAGAGATGGGGTTTCACCCTGTTGCCCAGGCTGATCTCGAACTCCTGAGCTCAGGCAATCCACCCACCTCGGCCTCCCAAAGTGCTAGGATTACAGACATGAGCCACCACGCCTCGCCTTGTCTTCAGTGTTTAAGGACTCAGCTCCTTACATGGGCTTTGGTGGGGGTTGTGGGGCAGCACTCCTCGAAGGTCTAAATCGGGGTGGGTGTGTTTGGTCCTTGTGGGCTTTACAAGGTGGATTCCTGATGACTTTTCTGTGAATTGCACATCTCACACAGTAATTTAGCTTCCCATACAGCTTGGGAAGCACATAGGCATTGAAGACACTCGCTTCAGAAATGTCCCTGACTGCTGCAGCCTCCACCACATTTCGAATGATGAATTAATTTCTTTTTTTTTTTTTTTGAGACAGAGTCTCACTCTGTTGCCCAGGCTGGAGTGCAGTGGCGGGATCTGGGCTCACTGCAAGCTCCACCTCCCAGGTTCACACCATTCTCCTCCCTCAGCCTCCCGAGTAGCTGGGACTACAGGGGCCCGCCACCACGACCCGCTAATTTTTTTATTTTAGTAGAGACGGGGTTTCACTGTGTTAGTCAGGATGGTCTCGATCTCCTGACCTCGTGATCCGCCTGCCTCAGCCTCCCGAAGTGCTGGGATTACAGGCGTTAGCCACCGTGCCCAGCCTCGAATGATGAATTTCTTAATGGCCTTGTCCTTGGGCACGCGTCAGGCACAGTTTGTGCAACGAATAGGCTGCATGTGGCTGCGCCCCTTTTTGGCACGATTGTTGTTCCTTCTTTTCTTTGTCTTCTTGGAGGCACGGACTGGAGGGAGGAGTGCAGCCATTATTGATCATATTTTTGAATAATATTTAGTGAACTAGAAGTTGCTTATTTGTAATGTCAAGTAGGATACAAAACTTTAACACAGTATGATTATAATTTTGTAAAAATGTATAAAGTGTGTATATATGTATGAAAAAAACAAAAATTCTCTAATGTATTAATAGTAGATATTTTGAGATGGTGGCATGATTTTTATTTATAAAGTATTTCTTATGATTATAAAATCATATTTTAAAATTTTTCAATATTTTAACTGAATGGGAAACATTTCCTGTCAAATAAGGATATGGAGACCAGTCCATGGTACTTTAGATTAAAAGCTGAACTCACTGGGAAAAACCTTATTTTGCATGTGTAACTAGTAAAGCAGAAACAACAGTGTACTGTTCGGCACTGTCTGAATAGTAATTATAGAGTACAGCTTTCATACAGAAGAACAGAACCAATAAGGAAGTCAAACTTGGCAGAATAGTTGAGTGCAATTTATAAATAAGTCAGTTGAAGAAATCATCGACCTTTTACCTGTGGCTGATTCGTGTAATGGTGAGAGTCAGCACAAATCTTAACATTTAGCAACAGCATGTATGTGAAGCTAAAACTTGTAATGCTCTCATCTTTAATGTATTTTAAGGAAGTTGATGCCTAAAGTAAATTTATTAAAAATTCAGAGTTAATTATTTAAGATAGTAATAGATTTCGTGCTCTCTTTGGCTTGGTTGTTCTTTATCTTTAACAATTTTAAGAGCTCCGTTCATAAATATCAGTCTTGTAAAGCCCGTTGTTCTATACCTGATTTTTCTATTTTATTTTTAAGGTCTTTTTGGTTCATTACGGGTGCAATATGTTGTAGATCATGCAATGAAAATTGTTTTCCTCAATACTGACCCCTCTATTGTAATGACTTATGATGCTGTTCAAAATGTGCATTCTGTGTGGACTCTCCGGAGAGTCAAATCAGAGGTAAGGAGAAAGGCAAGTCACTTCTCCTTAACAGGAAAGGGTAGGCTGGGTGCACTGGCTCACACCTGTAATCCTAGCACTTTGGGAGGCCAAGGCAGGCGGATCACTTGAGGTCAGGACGTTCAAGACCAGCCTGGCCAACGTGGTGAAACCCCATCTATACCAAAAATATAAAAAATTAGCCAGGTGTGGTGGCTTCTGTAATCCTATCTACTCGGGAGGCTGAGGCAGGAGAATCACTTGAACCTGGAAGGTGTAGGTTGCAGTGAGCCAAGATCGTGCCACTGCACTCCAGCCTGGGTGACAGAATGAGACTCCATCTCAAAAAAAAAAAAATGTATGTGTGTGTGTGTATATATATATATGTATGTATATATATGTGTGCGTATATATATGTATGTATATGTGTATATATATATGTATGTATATATGTATATATGTGTATGTATATATGTATATATATGTGTATATATATGTGTGTGTGTGTATATATATATATGAAAGAGTAGTTAATACTTCATACCCTCACATTTTTTTTTTGGAAAAATCACTTGTGAATAGTTGTTTTATTATTATTATCATCATCATCATCATCATCATCATCATCATCATCTCTAGAGACAGGGCCTCACTCTGTCACCCAGGCTGAAGCATAATGGCACAATTACAGTTCACTGCAGCCTTGAACTCCTGAGCTCAAGTGATCCTCCTGCCTCAGCCTTCCGAGTAGCTAGGACTACAAGTGTGTACCACCACTCCCAGCTAATTTTTAATTTTTTGTAGAGATGGGATCTTGCTATGTTGCCCAGGCTGGTCTTGAATTCCTTGGCTCAAGCTATCCTCTCGCCTCACCCTCCCAAAGTGCTGGGATTATAGATGTA